>NC_000017.11:13824444-14127474 GCF_000001405.40 Homo sapiens | reverse complement strand
ATTAAGAAGATTTTACATCAGAATATACTTTATCTCTCCTTCCCTGCACTCAGTATGTAAATATATGAAAAAACTGAGGTAATGGAGTAAAAATAATAAACAGCTGAAATAAGCTTATAGTTGAGCTGTCTCGAACTCTATCAGAATGTCTCAATGTTATAACTTTATTTACTGGTAGCACACCAGGAAAACAGACAGAGGAAAAGTATTCTTCTAACAATAATCTATTCAAAACATCAATTTTTTAAAAATATACATCTACAGTAGAAAGGTTGGTTTAGTGAAGACAGCAAATAGTTAAAACAAGTTTCTTTATGCCTTTCCTTAAAATTAACTCTCTTTTAATAATCCAGAGCTAATTCAAAAGTTATAACACAGTTTTGGTCAAATTAAACTATTTTATTTCAAGTTTATAGTTCAAAGATTAAAATATGAAGATTTAGGACAGTCATTTGCACCAAATTCGTGATTCTATTTATTACTCAAGGAAACATGAATTCGAGTCACTATCTATTTTTTTCTAAAGTTAAAAACAAATCAGAGACCAAATCAATAAGATTTAGCATATTTCAGTAATGCTCATACTGATTAATATTTAAAGTAAATATTTCCCCATAAATTTTAAATACTAATAAAACATTATATAAAGCAAAAAAAGAGAGATATTAATAATTCAGGAGCTTGAAAGAGTTAAATAAAACACCAAGTTATCAAAGGGACATTTAGCAAATTCTCCCCCTCATGCTATACTCCATTGCATCCTCCCACCCAGCAGACATCCCCTGCCACCAACACCCTAATATCAAGGAGCTGAACAAAAGATGAATTTTATCAAAATAATAAGAGGAACAAAACT
This sequence comes from Homo sapiens, assembly GCF_000001405.40. Classification (NCBI taxonomy): domain Eukaryota; kingdom Metazoa; phylum Chordata; class Mammalia; order Primates; family Hominidae; genus Homo; species Homo sapiens. The sequence continues at coordinate 14,126,618 of NC_000017.11, read as the reverse complement.
GTGACCACTGTCACCATAAAACACACACAGTTCAATTAGGCAGCTTAAAAAATGTATATGCATAAAACTACAGAATACCATACTAAAATTTGAACACATCTACTATATAAAGTCAGAACACTGCAAAGAGAAAAGAGTTTTAGTTTTCAGTTGTTAATTAGCTGTGGTCACAGGATGTTTATTAAAACTGAATTTATTTTTAAAATATACGTTATACATCTTCAAAACTAAGAAGAGGATTATAGAAATCAGAAACTTTAAAAAGTGTGTTTGAATGCAGTAATTCAAGAGTTTATACGGAACCTTTTATTCAATGGATTGGCTAAAGGAATTTAAATTAGTGAGACCCTAATGGCCTAAGTTTAAATGGATATTGATGGAGAAGTAAACATTTGGATACATTTTAAAATAAAGATGAAATGGCAAAGTGCCTTCAAGCTAAACATATTTAAAATAATAAATAGAAAGTAATGAAAGATGCATCCTTATAAGGAATTAGAAAAAGAAAAAAAAACCCAGCAATGAATCAACACAAGTACCCCTTATTAATCGTAGTGTTTTGTTAGAAGCATTTTTCTAATTGACACTGAATTAGCATTTACTATCCCAGAGAGAGTTCTCCGTGGCAAACACTTTAATGGAGGTTGTCTGATGGCTTTGGCTCCTAATAGAGGTGTAACAAAATAGATTTAGTGAGCAGAGTTAGCTGCGGTGGTACAAACAGCACCGTGGAATAGTTCTCCTCCTCACCCACAGAACAAGTTATGCATGAAGCTCTTGCCCTTGACTAATATATTAGGTCCTCTAAAACAATACATTAATTATGCATTCACTGTGAGTTCAGACACTGTGCTTAATATGATTAGTGCTGCTGTCTACCCTACTTAAGTATTGACATGTATTTTAAAAACCGAAAGTGAATTGGATGCCATCTACTACCCAGAACATTAGCCGTGAAGTCCTCTCTGAGAACATACAATAAAGATGAATACACACATGCCTCAACTACTAACACTGGTAGGAGTCCTGGTTTAGTTCTTTAAACTCATAGGCATTTCCCTTTGTAATCCTCTCTCAAATGTATTTGCCTCCCAAAAGAGCTGCATTTCATCGTCTGGCTCTGAATATGTTTTAAATTTTTACAATGTGCTTTTCAGTATTAAAGTAAAAATTTATTTTTCAATAGCCAAATTGTTTCCCTGTTAATGGCAATACCCTTAATACAAGGCTAATTCAACAAAGAACGAATTTGACACTGTAAACATTACAAATAACAACCTAAAATTCCATTTTAGAGAGTTGTAGAATTTTCTTACATTTTTATCAATAAGCTGGCAATGTTGTGCAAAACAGGCATGCTGTCGCTTCCTATCAGCTGTAGCAGTAGAGCCTTCTATTTTCAGTGCATATTGAAAACTACAGCCTCCATGAAACGTTTCAACTAGATGTGGCAGGATAAAAACTTTCCTGTCGTTATTTTACCAATGTGCATTCGTCAGTGACAACCTGTGTAAATACATTTAAAGATGAAGTTCACATTTCACTGTTCACATTTTAGGGGAGGAACCCAACCAGCATCTCATAAATCAATTTGTGACTTGATTTTACTGACCATTTTTTATTGGATTTCACTCCAAAGTGAAAACTAGTAAAGCAATAGAAAAAATAACGAGATTGAAATACATTTTACACAAAAGGGAAGATTTCTAAAATTGGAGCACATTTGTCTCAAGTATAGCTCATAACCTGGTTGTGACTTAACATTAAACAAGTAAGATCCAACATGTGAACATTCTCATAACATTAAAACACTCAGTCCCCACAAGTCCATCTTATAGGGGAAGGAAGATGTCACATTATGATAGATAAAGAAATGAAAGAGGAAAGCACGGTTAGCTGAACTTCACCCCAAAACACTCCACAGAGGTATCTGCACCGGACCATCGAGGGCAAGAACATGGCAAGTCACTTTTTTCCTTTCTTATGTAATCCTAACAATCAACTGTTATGAAATGAATATACCATCTTAATTATCAAGAAGCCCATTAACAAATTACATGTGCAACATGAACTGTGAGAACAAACATTTACCAAAAAAGCACAGTGGGACTGGAACAGCATTCCCAAACTCTAATATTCTGAACAGAGTAAGAAAAAATAACCTACTCTGAGTTGTCCTAGAGAATTTGATTTTTTCACCCCTTAACTTTATGCGAATGGAAATTAGGAAAAAACTTACTGTGTAATATGCTTAGGATATGGCTCTGCTTCCCTAAAACTATTCTACTTCCCTATCTTTGATAAAATGGCAATAAAGTGTAATAAACTCTAAGTAAAAATCTCTCTATTTGGCTTACAAGTCACAAATTTTGTGCCAAGTTAGAGATGAAGCAATTCTTTCTATCATTAAAAAAGAGTTGTCAAGTCTAACAGAGTGGTCACCCTGCAATATTTGATGCAACAACTAACCTATTTATAGCTGAACCGAGCAGAAAACAAGAGTCAGGCAACCTGATTTATTCTTTAGAGACCCACAGTCACCTTGACAGGAGTGAGAAATGTGAAACTAACCACCATGCAATCAACTGTAACTGTTGTAAACATTTTATCTGCTTTTAAGTAACAAAAGGCAAGCCTAGTTTCACAGCTGGGTACTACTAATATGGAGCACTGAGGAAAAAAAAATACTTGATACTGAAAGGAAAAATGTCTATGTCTCAACATCATATGGTTTGACTTAAAACGGACTGATTAAAGATACTTAAACTACTCTTGAACATAAATTGCATGCACCTGTTGTTCTCATATTGGTAGCCCTTCCACACCTCTTGTGAGCACGAGACTGCTTCTCCATCCACAGAAAGCCCTGGTTAACTCCGTCTCACATTGCCTAACACTGCAGGAGAGTGAATTTATTAATCGATTTCACAGTTTCTTTGGGATACATTATTTACCTTAAAACATAACATTAAAGAGACTACAGAAATAACATTTACATTCTCTATTTAATGGCTTTCATTACAAACTGCCTTCCTAATTTTATGATTTGTATAACTTTTTCTTTTAATCAGACAAACTAGTTTCATGTGTTTCCATCATGCTCTAGGCTACTTTATCTACGCTGGAAAAAAATTCTGAATTCTTAAAGAAGTCTTAATGTTCATAGCTCACACATCAATAATATTGCCTGTGAGTCCATTCTATTCAAATGATCTTGAGAAAATTACTGAGTTATTAATGCTGCTGAGAAGAGATTTAGCATTTTGGACTTCAGATTCACTATGATAGATTGTGAATACGCAACTTAAAATTCTGAAGCAATAACTTCCCCAAATCAAGAGTTTACTGCATGAGCTGGTAGAAAAAGCAGCAGGTTTAATGATAGAAGAAATTGGAATTTGTAGTTTAAGCTCTGGTACTGAGGTAAGGCATTTTAACGCTGGGCCTCAGTTTCCTACTCTTTACTCATGTGGTGAAACCTGTTCCATATACCTCAGAGAACTGTGGGAAGATCAAAGACAGGGTACATGAAATAGCACTGTAAACTGTAAAGTGCTCTAAAAATGTAAGGCATTATACTATCATTGTCACTCCTAGCTCCCTGTCCACATCCAACTGACACATCCGCTTTGGTGCTATTCTCTTTCCAGTGCTGACCTGGCTTGGATTCTGTTCTCAAACCATTTCTGAAGTGGGCGGATGCCATGTAGAAGCAGCTCCTCCAAAGGCAAGCACTGGAGAAACATTATCTTGGTTTCTTTGGGTACAGGTAGGATTTAGTTAGTTTCTGGCTAATGCATAATTATAAAAGATTAATTTAATGTGGTTTATTGAAGCAACAGTACTTTGGCCAATGGGCTGGCCAGTCACCTCGTGTTTAACATGACTAAGAGATGGTGCAAGTATTCTGTGGCAATGAACAGGCCAAGTCTCAGAGATCTTGGCACCAATCGCCAACTGCCAGGACTTCTTACAGGTGGACAAGGGCATTTTTCTCCTTCAGAGCATCCCAACAGTCACTGCCACCAACCAAGACTTCAGGCAGCCCCACACAGAAAATCATTTAATAGCAAATAAAAGTACAGAAAAAAAAATCTCTCACCAGAATCATATATGATTGTATTAAATGTCCCTTGGTTTCCTCTATTTTTAAAAATTAAACTGAACAAATGATGATAAACTGTAAGTGGATAAGCAAGGATCTGGTAAGATTACAGATGGTGAGTATCAACTCATTTAGTTGGTTGACGGGGATTGCCAGAGCACATTGAAGATTTTGCAGCCTCGTGTGTTTTATAAGCATAAGGACCCTGATCACAAAGTGGTGCCTGACACCCAGGCAAACAAGTGCCTCTTTGTTTACTGATAAAGTTATAGCTGAAAGTAAATCAACTTTCTCAGAATGAAGGCCCTTTTTTCCCCCAAATCCATTTCCTCTTCTGCATTATCTCCATCATTTCCAAGTTCCTGTTTCCTGTAGTTGCTGGGGCGATGGTAATAACACCCTAACTGGTCGACATGCCTCTAGGCTTTGCCCACTTCAATGGCTCCCTACTGCCTACAGAATCCAATCTCAACTCTTTAGAGCTGGGCAATTACGATACTCAACAACACGACCCAAGCCGTATGGCCAACTACTTCCTTTTTGCCATCTGACATTCTAGGCCTCTCCACACCACACACATGCACATGTGTATGCTTCCCAGCTTCCCTCTCTGGGCTCAGGTTATTTCTTCGACTAAAATCCTCCTCTCCTCATCTTCAAATCATGCACACCCTGTGTACTCCAGCTAAAATGCACCACTGCCTTTGCAAGCATTCACTACCACTTTCCACCACATAAGCCAGAGATAATCTTTTTTCTATGATATTCTATATCACTTTATTTATGTTCTAAATTAAACTGCATTTATTTATGTATATATCTTATATTTCCCACTAGGTTTTGCGAGTAGAAATAATGTCTTACTTACCCATCTCCAATGAGAGCAAATGATGCAGGTAGATACTATTATTACTGTCTCCATTTTACAGATGAAGAAATCGAAACAGAAAAGTAATTTGCCCCATGTCACACAACTACAAGTAGTGACAGCCAGGGCTCACCTCTGTGTCCCTAGCCATCGTGGTATACAGCCATCAGGAAACTGCAACTGTTAGAACTCATGATATTTTCATTGTCACTTTAATTATTAGGTTGCTTGAAGCCCAAGTGACTAAGTTGCAGCCATGACAGCAACAGCGTAGGATATTAAGATACGCATCCCTCAGCCTTAACCTTGCTTCTGACTTAAGTTTTTCAATTTATTATTATCTTTTCCTTGCCATGGTTTTTAGAAAGTGCCTGGGAATAAATATACAATTTTTAAAATCATTACTTCCTACTCACAAAATTCAGATCATAAAGCCTGATATCAAGGGTGAGATGAAATACATCTGGCTGAGGCAGACAAGATATAAAAAGAGAACTGGAAGTTATGAACAAATAAACTTAAAAATACATTTTCAGAACTGAAATCACTAGAAATGCTAAAGAACAAAATCCATCCCAAAGGAACTTAAGCCAATTAGTCACAGGCAGAATGAGCATGACACATTCACCCAGGTTACAGAAGCAAAGGACAAAGAGATGAAAATGTCAGGAAAGAAAGTGGAGAAGGAAAACATAACCAATGCCTGTATGGGAACACTAAGTGTTACAAAGATGCAGGTTCTCCACATCATAATTCCTGTATTTCTAGGGATCTAAGCTTTAGGATATAAAGCCACTGATTAGAGAAGCCAAACTTCCACAAATCTTGGGACACTATATTCCAGAGGATATAGTTTTCACTCATTTTTGTGTAAAATTATCTGTACTCACTGTCTAAGTTTCATCACTTATTTCTCTCTCCAATTTGATTTCTCATGGCTACTGTGCTGCATAACTCCTGGAACTACCATTCATTTTTATCCCATTTGCATGACATCTGCTGGAATTCTGTCTCACTGTGGGCCTATGGCTTCCCCATCCAACAGACCAACAAAGCAGCTTTTCCTAAGGTCATCACTGGTCTCTTCATCACTATATCCAATGGACTCTTCCAGTCTTCAGTTCACATCACCTTATGACAGCATTCTATTAATCTTCCTTCCTCCTTGAAATATGCCCTCCGTTTCTGTGATACCTTGGTTTTCTTCTTTATGTCCTCTGCAACATCATCTTCTTCCATATGCTGTTCAATTATGTAGCTCTTCAAGGCTAATCCTAGGTCATTTAATCTCATTGGTGTCCATGGCTATAATTACCATCTCTATGCAGATGATTCTTAAGTTTCTATCTGCAACATGCTCCTCTACTCTGACCTCTAGACCTACATATCCATCTATCCACTTGATGTCTCCTCTTGGCTACACTGAGGGCACCTCAAAGTCAACATGTCCAAAACTGAACTTATGATCCTTCCACCAAACCTAGGTCCGCTTTGGGTAGTCAGTGATATCACTATCCACCTAATTTTGTAAGCTACACCCTAGGAGTCATCCTCAAAAACTTCTTTCTCTCTTTCCACCACTGCTAATCAACCTCTAAATATCATTTATTTTATCTCTTAAATATCTTTTAAATTTATCCCCCCAACCATCACCCTAGTGTAAAGCATCATCACCTTTTGTCTAGAGCATGGCAAAAGGCCTTTTGGACATTCTCTCTATATCCAGTCTGGTTCAAACAACAAATCTGATCAGGTCTCTCTCTAAAGCATGACAATGGTTTCCTAATGCTCCAAAACTAAAATAAAAGAAAATCTTAACATAGTCTATAAGACTATTCATGGTCTGAGCTACACCCTCATCTCACTCAACACTCTCCTTTCTGTCTCTGTCTCATCACAGGGCTCTCAGTTTTTCTAAACCACGCTTCCTCTTGTCATTGGGCTTGCGCACATCTTATTCACTCTGCCCAGAACCCTCTTCCTTGTCTTATTGCCTAGAAAACTCCTACTCATCTTTAGGATTTCAGCCGGAACATCACTTCCATCCCTTTTACAAATTCAAATAGTACCAGGTATCACTCAGTTTGCAGCTCCCACTAAAGCAATTTTATAATTTTTAAATAAGGTTTATAATTATTTAATTATTATCTACATTCTCATCCCTCACTAGGCAATAGGTCCACTGAGAGCAAAGATCGTGGCAGGTTTTTTTTGCCTACCATTGTATCCTCAGTGCTGAGTGACAGATGCTCAGTTGAAGACATAACAGGTGAACACAAGTTGAACACATGAATAAATTGCTTTAATAAAGGCATAAATTACAAATTTTCACAAAATATCTTAAGTAGGACCAGGAAATGTAACCTCAGAGCAGATGAACTCTCCATAAACATTAGGTAGGAGATATACGCCTGTCAATTATTGGCAATCACAAGAGCAGAGAGGAGGCCTGTAACATCAAGTCTGTAGATACTACAGATTCCAGTAAATACCACACACTCTGCATATGAGCAAATACTGCGACTGAATGTACCTCACTTAGTTCAATGATGAATAAACAGAGGGAAATAACAGCAACTGAAACTGTCAAAACTCCCCAACATAAAAAATGGAAAACAATACTGAGAGGTGATGAAAAGTCTATTTGAAAAAAACAATCCTACTAGAGAAAAACAAAAGCAAGTTTTGAAAAGCATTTGTCTTTTACTCTCAATACCTAAAAGAACTAAGAGAAGATATGACAACATATTTGTATGAAAAAAAAAAAGCTCCCTGACTACAGGTATTATAGAAATAAAAAGAAAATGGGTGAGAAATGGAACTATTTTAAAGAAACTAAAAAATCTAAGAGATAAGAATACCTAGAAATGAACATTCAAAAACAGATACAGATCTAAATTTTTGAAATATACTTTACCATGAAATATAAGACAAGATCAGGAAAAAAGTAGCATTTTATAAAATTTTTATGCCTTTACTCCCCTACATTATAGTACTTCTGAAATGGATTCCTCTTCACATTGATTTCTACATTTAACATTGTCTAATGTTAGCCACCCTCCTGCCATCAAGTGTTAGTAAATGGTCTTAGTCTAAGAAATACATTTGGTTACGAAGACTAAAATAGTGCAAAGATGTATACTTTATACAAATACATAGGCAGATACAATGTAGTCCTAATTATATCCTAATTTTTAAAAAGAACTTCAAAAAGTAATTCTTAACCTCATCTGAAACAATAAACTGATTAAAAGACTAAAAAAGTCTTGGAAAAGGAGTGCACTGTGGGAAGACTTGCCCTCTCAGACATTAAAGTAAATAATAGAGATGACATGGGTGGGGGCAGGGAATTGCTGAGTAGAGAAGGGCAGGGTCCTTGGTGAGGGCTCTACCCTCAGGCCTGTGTCCATGGACCTAAATGAGGACAGGCATTTATGTTTTCACACCCCAAAAGTTGCCTTTTGGCCTGCGATGCCCACCTATCCTGTGCCCATAAAAACTCAAGATCCTAGCGGGCACAGACACAAGCAGCTGGATGTCAAGAGAAGCAGAAAAACAAACCGACAGACACCAGCAGACACTGGCAGGACATCAATGGCAGAACAACACAGACGCTGAGGGGAATTCAGCAGGGAAGGTCAGAGGAGAGTCCAGCTAGGTGGGCGGCCTGACTCCGGGAGACGACCACCTTCCCATTCCATCCCCCTTCTGGCTCCCCATCCATCTCACTGACAGCTACCTCCACCACCCAATAAAATCTTGCACTCATCCTCCAAGCCCACATGTGATCCAATTTTTCTGGTATACTAGGGCAAGAACGTGGGATACAGAAAGCCCTTTGTCCTTGGGATAAGGCAGAAGGTCTAACTGAGCTGATTAACACAAGCCGCCTGCAGACAGCAAAGTAGAAAGAACATATGCCCACTTGGGTTTCAGGAGCTGCAAACACTCACCTCTAGATGCTGGGTCAGATTTTGGGTCAGAGCCCAAAAATGCTCCCCATGATCTCTACACCTGCCTGTCTGCATGTTCCCCCTCCGGGTTTGAGCAGCAGGTTACTGAAGGAGTGAGCCACACCCCTGTCACACGCCCTGAAAGGGGGATAAGGGAACTTTTCCCATTTCAGAGATATAGGATGTGATTTTGAAAACGGAATAATGAGTCAGAAACAAATCCAAAATACAGCATAATGTGGCACATTATAAGAGTGGCATTTAAAAATAAGCCCAGAACAACCAGCTAACAGTTTAGGACCGAATTAAGTTAAATCACCACCTCACACATTTTTTTAAAATCCACCTATTACTATGTAAAGCCTTTCTAATGATCTTTCCCAAGGAAGAAACTACAAAACAACAGATTTGATATTTTGAAATGTAAAGCCTCCATATAACCCAAAATAAACATAAAGAGCAAAGTAAGGGACAGGATCAGAAAAACAGTTGTAACAAAGGGTTAATGTTTTTAACGTAAAAAAAGCCCTTGTATGTTCTTTAAAAATAAAATATCTTCATGCTAAAATGGACAAAAGATATGACAGAACAATACTGACAACTAACAAAAAGGGAAATACAAATAATGAATAAATATTTGTAATTAAAGCATGGTGAACATAAGCCCATGTTACTTTTCTCAAAATTTAAGATAAATAACATGAAAAGAATGTGTTGACCAGTGTGTGAAGAAACAGGAGTTAGGGGTGGGTGGCACAATGTTCACACAGGACCAGGGAAGTCCCTGCAAGGTTTTGATTAGAAGAGGGATATGATCTCATTTATATTTCCAGAAGATCGCTCTGGATGTTGTGTTGAGGATGCTGTAGAAGGAGAAGGTAGAAGTAGTAATAGTGATAGAGAGGTTATTACAACCCTGGCAAGAGATGATGGTGGTGCTAACATGAAGGCTGTAAGAACTGGCTGGAAAATCCAGCCATCCTCTAATCATTCCTCACAACTTCCACAGCTAACACGTGTGTGTGTGTGTGTGTGTGTACATGCATGCACACAATCAGCATAATTTCCTGATGGCATGAATGTGGGGTTTGAGAGAAACCAGGAGTCATTGATGACTCCAGCATTTCTGGCCTGAGCAACCAGCAGATTGGATTGACAGTAGCTGAGATGGAAGTCAGAGCAGGTTTGAGGGGAAAGATCAGAAGTTGTAGAAGTGTTAAACTTGTGGTGTCCTGCGTAAGTCTAAGCGGAGCTGTTGAGAGGGCAGTTTAGAGATCTAGAGAGAGTCTGAGTTTCTGTATCTCCTAGCTTGTGTTTTCCTCTAGTAATGAAATTTCTGATGAGAAAATGTATCTTTGAAATACATTTTCACTAATGGCTACTCAGGATGGCTGGCAACTTAAACTTAGGAATTATTTCTTGAATTTTCCGTTTAATATTTTCAGATCTCAGTTGACTGTGGGTAACTGAAACACCAGAAAGGATAACGGGGACTGATGTACCAGTTAATGAAGGGTAACTTTTAAAAGCCTTCAAATGACAAAGAAGATGAAATTAATGCACAATTTCATTTAGTATTATATGAAAAAAAACTGCTATGCTGTTATAAATAACTTTTACATTGCCATTAACTTTAGCTTAATTTTATCTCTTCCCTTAGTATACCATGTTTTTAAAAATAAATGTATGGGGTAGAAATGTAATTTTACTGCATGTATAGATTGCACAGTGGTGAAGTCTGGGCTCTTAGGGTATTCATCAACTGAATAACTTACATTGTTCCAGTTTCTCATCATCCACCCTTTCCAAACCCTGTCACCCTTTTGAATCTCCACTGTGAATCATTTCATATTCTATGGCCATGTGTACACATTATTTAGTTTCCACTTATAAATGAAAACATGCAGTATTTATCTTTCTGTGTCTGACTCGTTTTACTTAATATAATGAACTCTGGTTCCATGTTGCTGCACAAGACATTATTTCATTCTTTTTAATGGCTGAATAGTATTCCATTTTCTTATCCACATTTTCCTTATGTAATCATCCATTGATGGACGCTTAGGTTGATTGCATATCTTTGCTACGGTGGTAGGGCGGTGATAAACATATGAGTGCAGGTATCTTTTTGATACATTGATTTCTTTTCCTTTGGGTAGATACCCAGTAGTGGGATTGCTGGATCAAATGATAGTTTTCTATTTTTAGTTCTTTGAGAGATCTCCATATTATTTTCCACAAAGATGTGCTAATTTACATTCCTACCAACAGTGTATGAGTTCCCTTTTCTCTGCATCCTCTCCAACATCTGTTATTTCTTGTCTTTTTAATAATAGCCACTCTGACTGGTGATTATTACCCAAATTTTAATTCAACTTGTTTTATTATAAGCTCAATGACTAATACATTTCCAAGAAAATGTGTACAAACAATAGGACCATCTTCCTCTGTACATCGTAAAATGTAGTTTCATTTTTAAATGACAGATCTGATGAATTTGCAGTAATAAAGAAACAAAGTAACACTGTGTGTTTAGCCCCTTTTAATTGTTGAGTTTATGTTCTCATTTGTTGACCCATGCTCTCCTTCATTTATTCAGCAGCCATTCACTGAGTGCCTGTCAGGTACCAAGAATTAAGATGAATAAAATATGCCCTTATAGCAAGAGGGGACTCATAAGCTAGTGGAGCATTCAGATGCATAAAAATATACTGAAGTGCAATTTAATAAATGATATAACAGAGCCATATACAAGGAGTTAGGAGATCTCAGAGGAGAATGTGTCAAAATTCTAGAAAAGATTAAATTAAGCCCTATCTAACTTGCAAGTTTATGGAAATCAAGTAGCAAACAACTATTGATTAAAATGACCTTAGTGGAAAAGGTTAAATAAACTAATATAGGGACATTTTTATGCAACTACATGTAAACCCTAATTACCATAACTTAAGAATATTCATTTTAGGTGTTTTCTATCTAACAACTAAGAGTTCTATATGGATATGACTATAGGTCTTTCACCAAATTATTTAACTCTAAAGTATTCATCAAACACCTAAGGGCTAGACTTCTTTCACAGAGGATTACGGTGTTAATGTCACCCGCTGGCAACTTGAGGCTTTGTAGTAAAACATCAATGGCATAATCAAAAATATTTCTTTGAACAATGAATTATTAAAAATGAATGCTGAATTTTTTTACTATTATACTAACCTATACTGACATTTAGAATGCAATTACGAATTCTATGTTCAATTACTATTGAGATTTCAACTTGATAGAAATGATGATAAAAATAAGGATGAAAATAAGCATGACAATGAAAATAAGGATGACATGTTTAAAGTGATTTGATTTTCTCTTCTTGCAAAAAGAACACTGGAGTTAATTGGCTGAATGCCTAATTCAAGTGTTTATTTATAAAGTTCATGTGAATTTTTAAACACTATGCTTGCAAAATAATAATGATATCTAGAGTACCATACTTAATGTACGTGTGAACTGTTGCAGGAAAAAATGGGATAACTGAGGGAAAGGATGATTAAGAAATGTGGATAACTCTTTAAATACTGAAGTCAAAAAATATACTAATATGGAATGACACAAAAAGTAAATTAACTTTAGGATCTGGTGTTTTAATTTGACAGCTGTTTGACAACTGCAAAATGGAAAACTGACCTCAGACAACTGAGTATAAATGAGAGGCGATTAGGCCAAAGAATTTCACATGGAAAGATACAATATACATTGTCGTAACGCCTCACATGGGAATAGATAAATGCAGGCTGGAATTTTTATTGTCTTTGAAGGTGCTGATATTCAATAGACTTAAATTTCACAAAGAGAGCTGTGTGTTACTCTATCACAATTAATGGCACTTTCTGAAACATAATGCCATCAGTAGAGAAATAATTGTAAACACATTTGCAATTACCAGGTGTTTCTTGAAGCAATTTTGAGTCTCTGTGACTTTACCTTTTGAATGCTAAAGCAGTAACATACTCCTCCTCTTTTAAAATTTAAAAACAATGAGCTCTTTTACGATATAATTCAAGAAGACACAATTATCCATGGTTAGCAGCTGAATCTACGAGCTAAAATTCAGTACCTGTGGCTTGATTCTATATAAGCTGCTGAGATAGTTCATGCTTCACTTTCTCAACATGAAAATAAGAGAGAAAACTACATTCTATTACTTACTTGAGAAGAATTCCGTTTTCAGAAAAAAGCTCTTTTTCATCATCATCCTTTTTTTAGTAAATAATATAAACATTGTATGTCCTACTTCAAAGACAAGAATTGGGGTGGAGGAGTCAAGACAAGTTCAACCCAATGACAGGTTTTGTTGGGTATGAGAGTGAAGGGAGGAAGGCACAAGGGGGCAGAGTACACAAGAACAGAGGACAGAAGGGAGGTTGAAATGCATGGGCTGATTTTTGGTGCTTTCTGTGATGAGAAAATGAAGATATTGAACAAACAGAATTAAAGTTATGCCAGAGGAGCATGACTAGGTCAACTGAAATGTCTGTTGACATTTTAATGAATGAATGAATGACGTTTTAGCTGAAATCTAGAAGATCCTGTAGTTCGGACGTGGACAGCGAAAGGAGATGGGTCTTGAGAAGAATCAGATCATGCAGAGTCTATAGGTCAAAGTCAGGACTTCCTTCTCTAGCCTAAGATTAACAGAAAGCCATTAATTATGTTACCAAAACCTACCAATGGCTGCCCGACACCTACAGGGTAAGTCTGGTTGCTTTAGCAAAGCACATATGCCCTTCTCGGCCTGCCCTCCTGCTTCTTTAGCCAAATGTCTCACAGTATCCTCCCAAACTTGTGCTTCTGCTACACTGCAATGTTTGTAGTTCCCCAAATGGTCCTCCATGTTATAAAATTTCACATCTCTGGGTCTTTACTCATGATGCTCCCTCTGTCTGGAAAGTTCCCCTATCACATGCACATACTTAGTAAAAAACCCATCTAACCTTTTGATGTTCTGGTCACTTTTCTGAGAAGCTTTCGTGACCTTCACAGGTAGAAACGGCCACTCCCTACACCTTCCTTTACTTGCCTAAGGCACTGCCTATATTCTGTTACAGAGCCAATAAATGTTATTGTTTTATTGCACTTATTTATTCATCTGTCTTCCTCTACCAGACTGTAAGCCACTTCAGAGTAGGAACCAATCTTTTTATCTCCAGCAAAAGTAATCAATACATATACATGGATCCTTCCAGAAAATAGCTTTCAAGAAAATAACAGCAAAGAATATCAGCACTTTCTACTATGTAATGGCATTCTCCTTTCTGGTCCAGCCAAATCAGAATTACTTTCTAATAGGTGGGTGAATGTCAAGAGGATTTCAACTGCCTTCCCCAACATCAATAATCTGCATTTGAACTAAGTAGAATAAACAAAATTCTGTGGAAGTGTGAACTGCTTTTTGAAGGTATTAAAGTCTTAAAGCCTGAATGTTCACTGAGTGTTTACAAAGAGGGTCATTTCTGATGTAACCTGACTTTACTTAAGACGTAGGTTCTTAGGATGGCTGAATATGTTCTGCTGGAAAACTTATAAACTATTTTTCCTCTTGTGGAAAAAATACATTACACTTTGTGCATGCTCACTCAAATACACTCTTCAGCCACGCGCTCAATCAGAGTAAGTGAAAATCATGAAAGGAATTCAGCCTCAGTAAATTCTGTCCTTAATTGATATTCTAATTTATAAATCCCTGAACATTTTTATAAGAACTGAGAATCTGGTCTTATGGTATGTTCTTAAGGTCAGAAGCTGTATTTAATCCCCATTATTTTAAGTTAGTAGATTACATCAGTAACATTAGGGGAAGGATCTTTATCCACATATCTTCAGCTAGCTGTTTAAGGAAATTATACACTGTACTATTTAATCCTTTGTATTTACTTCATCTAATGACAGCAATATGACACAATGGCATTTTCTAGATTACCAACCATACTTTTGCTAAAAGCAATATCAGATCTTAATTTTATTCAGACATATTAATGAAAATGATGGAATATTAAATTAGACTTTTATTTCTTTCTTGAAATCAAAGTTTTCTTCCTTGTAAGTGGTAGTTTTCTTTCTTGTAAGCTAGCAGGTAAATACCTTTTAGTACTAAGGAAAGGCCAGTCAGAATGAAAGCTAAAGCTGTACTTTAACTTAGTATTTTAAGGTTACACAGTATATTTTAAAGTATAAAGATATTCTAGATTACAAGTATACATAAATCTGATTAACTACCAAAATTTCTCTTTTGTTTCATCCTATCTCTACATTCCATCATTCAAATCCTTTAGAATTTCTTTGTTCCCCCTGTGATCGTTGTTTCCGGAAGAAATCTGGCATAGGATCTGAAGGAAATGCCAGAGTGAAATTTTCCTTAAGATTAATCACACAGGTAAGTAATTTCCCTTTCTTGCCCAACAATATTTTCTAAAACTTCTTAGAAAATTGATAAGACAGAAATGGGTGGTCATGAAAATGTGAATTTTAGGATTTACTTAATCACTTACACACAAATTTTAAAGGTCTAATAGCTTGCTCAAAGCAGTCTGGAGCTCTATTACTAGTTAGAAACAGCAACAGACAAAGAAGTCTCAAAAGGTAGTCTGGGTTAAAGAAGCATAGGTATAACAATTAACATCTGCTCTACTGTCCATCCCCACCACCCTCTGACATCCCAATTCCTATTCCTTTCAGTGTCTGGGGGCTCAGTTTAGAATTCAGAATCATCCAATGATACCAATTTTAAAGCAAAAAATACATATGAAGGCATCGAAATGTTCACAAATTAAACCTTAAAAGCAGTTTGTCACTAAGGCAAAGAGAGTATGAGACAAAGAAACGATACAGTCTCCCAGGGATCAGCCACACAGTCAGTTTTTACATCAATGCCATCAGTCATCAGTCAACCAACAGTCAATCTAACCCAGATAACAGGGAGGGGAGTCTGTGGTTCAGAGCAGAGAACTAGGAGGCTAATGGGATTCAGAAGAACAAAAACCATCAGGAATGGCAAAATATAACTGAAGATTAAAAAAAGAAAAGAAAGAGATAATTAGAAAAGAGCGTTACTTTGACCTCTGCTAGGTGGGGGTGGTGGGGAGATGAAGGAAGCAAGTCTCCAAGCCACCCAAATCAGGTTTAATCACAACATGCTACCCAGAGATACACACCAAGAATTATAACTCCCCAAGTCCACATTGTATCATTTCCATTATGTCTCAATTAATTATCTGCTTTTGAATCACCCTTTTCCACCAACATTTCTTTGATTTACCAGAACCTCATACATAATTCCACAATGCTTACCGAATAGCAGAAAATCAATGTCTGCTGAACCCAAGACATCACCACATATCCAAATATGAAGAATTCATAAACAAGTATATACATACTTGACATAAATATATACATATATTCATAACATACATATATTAAAGTTTGCCAGTATAACCCAAGTCTTAGTACTCTGAGAAAAATAAACATGTTTCCTTCTCATTAAGACCCTGCTTCTCAGATCTGAAATTCTACTTATGTTTTGTGCCTTTCTTGTAATTTTCTCCAAAATAAAGTCTCTGAGAACATCAATGGTTCTCCTTAAAGCTAAGTTATAAATTCATTCACCATTTATTTCATCTTCCAAAATAGTTCTTTTTTTTCTGAAATCCCAGGAATCTAGACTCAACCAACACTGGAGATAACTGCAAGATATTCAGACTCTGAACATGTGAAAGATGTGGGCCAAAACCTGACCAAACTTTTATGTTAATAACAATAATAATAGCTAACATTAATGGAACACTTAGTTTGACTAAGACATAAGTGCTCTAGATCCACTCGATGTCGTTAGAGGTAGATACATCACCACATCCACTATGTTAACTCCACCTCTACTACACCGTGGCAAGGATGTCAGCAGTTAACCTGGTAGCAGGAAGACTCATATTAATAAAGAATACCCTGATTCCAAGGTAGTGACTGGAATAAGACATCTCATTTGAGAGGAAATAGTAGTGAACTGGGTCCACAGGTTCTGCTCCCAATTTGACCACTTTCAAACACGTGTGATCAATAGTACCATTAAGCTTCATTTTCTTCTTCTACAATACTGGAATAATGCCACCTCACAGAGTCATCATTAAGAAGCGAATAATGACCAGTGGCATGTAAATTATTGAAAAACTATTTACAAATATACGTTCGAATTATCATAATTTCTGCATTTGTTGGCAAAACCTCACCTGGAGTTATTTTGGTTATAAACACCAATGCCAAATTCACTCCACTGAGATGGATCATTCTGGAAAGGGGAATCAAATGTAATTTAGAAATTATTTGAGGTTATTTAAATTCAGGAAAAGAGACTCTGCATTCAAAATGCATTTTCTTTCTGTCATTGTTCAGTAATGCTCATCATTTTCCTTATATATAAAAACCATATTTAGTTAGAGACTCTTTCCCACATGGTATTCAAGAACTCTCTAGGCAAACCTGATCTAGTGCAGTAGCTAATTTGAATCATCTGAATAAGCCATGAGTTATCAACTTCAGAGACCACTGAATGAATGCAAGTTGCCCAGCAGCTAAAACATCAAAGTCAAACAAATCACAACATTCAGAAGAAAAATATATTTTTCATATTGATTTTTTCTTATATGTATGATGTTCAATAAATCACATCACTGGTATTCACTAACATAAGTCTTATTCTCCTAGAATACAACATCAAATTTAATAACCACTTTTGTTCAACATAGAAGATGAAAGTCAGTTTCTATTGCTCTAGGCAGACTGTATAGTCAAAACACAAGAAACATCAGAGAAAAGGAAAATGGAGAAAAATGCATTAGATATTAATCTCATATTCACTGGGAAAACAAAAAAATCTTTACCTGTTTTTCCTTTCAGAGTTTAAAAAGATGTAAATTTTCTTTTGCCCTACCTACTCTATAATTCAGAGCTCTTTATCCAAAGCCCTTCTTTTTTTACCTTATTTCAGCCATGAATGTCTCTCAAATATTGTCAGTATTAAACAAAAAACATGTCTCTTCTTGACCCTATTTTATTCACACCTCTTGATCTTTCATTTGCTTTCACAAAAATTATTCAACATTCACAGATACACTAGATCCCAAAGATAACATACCCTTGTCACACTTACCTTTCTAATTATAACCTGGTTCTCAGATCTGAAACTCTACTTATGTTTTGTGCCTTTCTTCTAATTTTCTCCAAAGTAAAGTCGCTGAGAACATCAATGGTTTTCCTTAAAGCTAAGACTAAGTTATGAATTCATTCACCATTTATTTGATCTTTCAAAAGAACTATCTTTTTTTTGAAACCTGATGAACCTAGACTCAAACAAATGATCTAATGTATGTACAATGCTTAGAACATTCTTTGGCATATAGCACAAGTGTTTGCTGCAATTAGTGTTATCATGAACACTTATTGCTACTTTCTCCCCTCCCTCATACATATTCCTTCAAAGTTGTACTCTACTGTCTTGCTCTATATGCTTGTGGGCAGAGGTGATGGATGTACAAAATATGTTAGTCATAATCATTGGTTTCCAGAAGTTAAGAGTTCTCTAGGAAAGAGATATAAATGAATAACTATACAGCAATACTACAAGTGGCTACTAACCATAGTCAGAAAGTGATACACTGGAAGTATTATCATATGAAAGAAAAAAGAACACTGAGTTTTTCCACATAGCAGAACTATGACCAACAGATTGAAGTTATAAGGAGGCTGACTTTGGCTCAGGATGAGGAAGAGCATTCTACTCATCAAGGCTGTCCACTTATAGAGCCAGTGGCCTTGGGAATCAGTGACAACCATAGTAATGAGGAGACAATCTGCTAGGAATATTGTAAAAACTAAGGAGATCAGTCATCAAGATTCTAGAACAATTTGCTAATAGCAGAGTAATAATGGATGTGAAATGTTTTCTAAGGTCGTGTGTGGTGTGTGTGTGTGTGTGTGTGTGTAAAACAGTACAATTAGGCTGACAGTAGAGCAAGATGTAGCTACAAAGAGGGTGAAAGCTGAGGCCAGCCAGGTGACCTTGGCTGTGGTCAGGAAATCTCTACTTGTCTCATGGGAACACTTGTGGAAAAAGAAAGAAAGAAAAAAAAAAAGAACCAAAGAGGAGATTTGTTTTGATACAAAGATATTTTTACATCTCATTTACAGTGAAAGATTGAAGGCATAGGTGGGCTATGAATAGCAAGACCATACAATTACTTGTCCAAACTAGGACACTTGAAAGTAAAAGAGGCATTCATAGTAATTACGCCATGAACACAGGCATAAAGAAGTACATATGGTCACCCTAGCTATCCACGAGTAATTAAACAAAAAGAAATGTGGGCCAGCGTTTGCCTGAGACAGAAATTATAGCCAGGATCTTGGGCAAAGATCTCAGAAAAAAAAAATGAAAGTAGAAATTGTTAAAGCAGTGGTTCCTAATTGGGAGTGATTTGGGGCCCCAGGGACCATTTGGTGATGTCTGAAGACACTTTTCAGCTGTCACAAGTGGGGGTGGGGGAGTGCCGTCAGTGTCCAGTGGGTAGAAGTAGGGGTGCTGGGATGCACTCTGCAACACACAGGACAGCCCACACAACAGACATCTTGTCCAAACTGCTAGTAGTGCTAAGATGAGAAATTATTAAAATTTCTGTATTACATTTGTATTAAAATAAAAAGACCTCACTGTAAAAACATGAAACATCTGCACTGTAAAACATTAAAGACAAAAACTGAAGAAAATATTTGCACCTTATAAGTCAATGCAAACTATATACAGCAATAGCCCTTAGACAAAGGCAAGCAGCCCAACAGCAAAACAGGCAAACTCACCAGCAAACAACTGACCAAAAAACCCCTAAATGGCCAATAAGCACTAAAAAGTAAACACACTCCCACCTCGTAAGTCATCAAAACAACTTGAATTAAAAGAACATTTCTGATGTTACCTACAAACCGAGCCAAGATTTTCCAATTCACGGCATTAATGATGAGCACTTTAACACACTGACAAACAGAAGTGTAAGTTGATTTCAAACAAACAAAAGACTGGGAAGACATTTAGTTTTACTTGAAGTAGTTTTTCTTAATTTTAACTTTTTATTTTGAAAACTTCATAATCTCTTGACATGACCACATATTTTTAGAAAACTATCGAAATAAATAAGGATATATGCAAAGATTTAGCTAAAAGAATTTCAGCTCAGCATTGTTTACATGGACAAAAACTAGAAATCCCTAAAATGTCGAATAAGGAGAAACTGATTAAACAAATCAAAGTATATCCATATACAACTCTTAAAATCATGCTATGCTGGCTGGGTGCAGTGGCTGACACCTGTAATCCCAGCATTTTGGGAGGCCGAGGCGGGTGGATTACTTGAGGTCAGGAGTTCAAGACCAGTCTAGCCAACATGGTGAAACCACGTCTCAACTAAAAATACAAAAATTAGGTGGGCACGGTGGCGGGCGCCTATAATACCAGCTACTTGGGAGGCTGCGGCAGGAGAATTGCTTGAACCCAGGAGGTGGAGGAGGTTGCAGTGAGCCAAGATTGCACCACTGCATGCCAGCCTGAGTGACAAGAGCGAAACCCTACCTCAAAAAAAAACAAAAACAAAAAAACATGCTATACCAAATACTGACATGGCGAGATGTCCATGACATACTATTTTATGAAAAAATATACCCAAACTATATATATGTATGATATATATGTGAAGATATCCATGTTAAATATGTTTTATATATGTTATATATATGAAGATATGTGTGTATGTGAAGAAGTCTATAATAATATAAATCAAAATGTTAACAAATGGATCTATTTGGGTGGTGAGATATAGGCACTACAAAAGCAAGATATTTGTTTGTTTCCAGCTGTATCTCTAACACAGAACAATGTCCGGCATAAAGGAAAAGTAAAATAAAATTTGTTATTGTTATTTTTGCTTATCTATATTTTCTCACTGATATGCAATGAAAACATTATTTGCATGATACATGTTTTAAATGTTGCCTTCTAAAAGAATAATTCAATAGCAAAACAAAATGTTTTACACATAGAAATAGAAGGAATACCACCTACTTTAAGGATTATAAGCCTTAAAGAATAATTTATGTAAATATGCTCTGCAAATTCTACAGCACTGTATAAATGTAGAAAATTAATTATTTTGTTAAGATCATTTATTCTGAAGTTAAAGCAGTTTCATGTGTGCTTTAACTGGCAGCCATCCTCCCAGCAATTTCATTTCCAATAATTTGTCCTTTAAAAATAATTAGAGATCTGTGCAGTGTTACTTATAGAAGCAAAAAGCTGCAACAATGGAGAACTGGTTGAGAAAGTTGAGGCATATCCATAAAATGGAATATCATCTCACCATTAAAATGTATCTTGTAGAAATGTATTTACTGACATACACACTGACTGACATAACCAGTCTAAAAAATCACGTATATGTAATCTAGGTAAAATAATCCCAATTATAGCTTATTATAACACTATTATGTCAAATCCTCAAAATAATGTTATAGTTTTTTGATAATTCTTATCTTTTTAAATTTGTTAATTCAGCTATTCAGTTTGTCACTTGTTTCTCAAGACTTGATCAGTTAAACCATCCACAATATTTTATCTTTCAGCTGCAAAATTCAAAACATTTTATGGATTTTTCCATCCTTTGAAGGCATATGTGCTTTAAAGCCACACTACGGTTTCAAATGAAGCATGTGTACGTATTACAAAATATGTACGTAATTTACTCTAACATTTTAATGTTAGTGGTTTCTTACACAAATCTCTTTATGCACTAGTCACTTCTTCATAATTCAGAAGCTGAATTTCATTTTCTCTCCTTAAAACAAAAGTAAAAACAGCTTTCCAAAGCTTTATTTTTTCTACTTTCACAGAGATCACAGAAATAGAGTACAAAGAATACTGAAAACTAAATGAATAACTGCTAAAAGAAAATATTAATAAATACAAAATATAAATAAAATTTGAATCTTTTTATAAATACGAACAGAAGGAAAGTTTTCCTCCCATAGAATTTTATTAGAAGTGAAGAACTTTTATACAGACCAACCGCATATATGTATTTTTAATTTGAACACTAGCCCTCTAAAAAAAGTATAGTAAACTCTTCCTTTTTGCTAAGGACTATTTCTTTATTTATATGCTGCCCAAAAACTCTGTTGAACCCTTATTGCCCAGTGCTCTTTGTTCTGCTTACCCTATTTAAAAACACTAATAAAAATGATTTTGCATTCCTTTATTTTAAATGTATAAGATTGCCTAACACTGGAACTAAAATATCCCTAACATTATTGGGAAATATTATGATTTGGGAAGCTGACTGATACCATAATGATAACACTAGGATTCTACTCTACTGGGAATCGTTGAGATTTTTAAAGTGTTGTGATGCTTCCAAACGAAATCACAGCCTGAGACAAGTGGAAGGAAGCAATATGAGGGGTACAAAAAGATGGAGAAATTCACTTGTACCACAAGCACTGATGAGGAACTCACGTCACTCAGGACACTGCAGAGGGCTGTGTGGGATGAGTGACACATGGAGGAACATGACACGGAGTTCCAGCGGAAGATCAGGAGTGCTGTGTAAGTGGGATGCGGAGCAGGGCTGGAAAACCAGCCTAAGGAGGAAAGAGGCAGACACTGCACCTTTTCAGGACCAGAAAGAATCCCAACATGCATTCTGTGGCTTTCCCCCGTATTTTTAAAATTTACAGAATCCAACTCGCTCCCTATAGCAAAAATACTTCTACAGACTAAAAATCAAGCAGCCACCTAAACACATCCTTTTAAAATTTCCAAAACCTTGGCTTATGTTCAATTTCTGTCTAAATGTAAATCATTCAATTTTTATTCCTCCAAATACTTTCTTGATCCAACTGAGAGGTTTTTTTCATGATAAATTCTTGAGCTACCTATTTTTGAAAAGAAAAGGGGTGGGATGAGAGGGGAGGAGGAGCAGCTCCAACTCAAACAACTCTTATTTTTTATAATATTTAGGAGCTTCTGAACCATTTGATGCTTTTTAGTTATTTTTTCTCTGAATGTCCATATTTTATTTTAAACATTTTCTTTGAATCAACATAATTTAAATCCTTAAGATAATTAGTATCTCAAGGATAAATGTGGCTTTTCAATTTACGAAAAGGAGGCTGAAAACTAGAATGTGCTCCTGGCTTAACCTCGGGTCCCAGATGTATAACCAAATAGAGGTAGTAACTTTTAAAAATAAAAAATAGACCCAAATGGACAAATAAATCAATTTGGCTTATATTGCTTTTCATTCGCATTTTCATTAAAAATATGTTCATGGTGGAATCATGTTTATTCTCTTTACCAGAAAACATGGGAAGGTAGCAAAAGGAAGAAACTACTTGGAAGAGATGGTGTCCTGCTTTATAGAAGGGGATGATCTTTTTGGTAAAGTGGTAGCACTATTTGAACCTCACTATAAGATTGTTTTGACATCCAAAATAACAACAACAACAAAAAAACTTATTTGAAATAGATTGATCCTTCTCCAAATAGCTGACAATATATTGTAGAACCATAATGACTATAGGCATTATCACATTAAATTCACGTATTTTGCACACTAGCAACTTATATGTCCACTCAGCCAAGCTGTTTTCCTGCTGGTAACTTGAATTCCTGTTTTAAAACTGAGCCAACTCCTCTTGGGTGTTCTGGTAATGAAAACGATTTTCCTTAAGTTTTGGCCAAAATTTTTCACTATAATATCTTATGAAAAAGCCACAACGTTAAGGCAGACCACAGTGACTAGATGGGAAAAAAAATTATTTGGGAGAATTATTTTGATGTTTAAAATAATAGGGGGGGATGTATTAAAAATAATATGCTAATTTTGGGGTATAACCGTATTCCATATACCAAGTTAACTGAGTACTAAATTATGATTTTTTAAAAATAGCTGAATATGCATAGTTAAAATATATTCTGTTCTTTATAGCAGTGGTTTAAAATGCAAAGAAATCAAACCAAGAAAGAGTAGTGCACAATGACAAGCTCAGGGAAATGTATCTGAAATGGATAAACAAAGATACCACTAAGAGTAGAAAGTTATGACAGCTCAAAAACATGTTTTAACCCAAGGAATCCTAGTCATTTGAAGCATCTAATCTACTGCTCTCTCACCTGAACATATCTGAAAACCATTCACCTCAAAAGAAAAGACAAATTGGTTATGAAACCCACAGGCTCCTATAGGATATATAGTGTTACAAATGCTTCTCCATCAATATATGAGTTTGGAAGGTATTTAAAAATATGACAATACAGCCATCTAGGAAAAAGTGACAATAACATAATTTAGATGAAAGTGAGAAACTGACCTGATTGATGGAGTTGGCAGCACAGGATGCAAGGCCTGTCCCAACAGAAGTAAGCAGGAAACAGGGCCAGTCAAAAGGGCCCGGAGCCAATGCAAATCCAGCTGCAGTGGTACTTACAACCAGAGCTGCGATACAGAAACAGAGCAGACACACTGTTACCAACAGGAGTCCCAACTGTAAAGGCCAGAACGACAAAAAACAAGCCATCCTTCATATAAACTAATTGATTATATTAATAACACAAAGTACAGGCTGATCTTTGGCTTAAAAAAGATCCACATTTTTCTGATTATAAAAACTACATGTACTAATTATATAAAAATGTTAATTTTCTTTTAATTCCATACTCAAGAGAAAAAAAATAAGGTCAGTCTTCCAGATTCAATCATTCACTTATTCATTCAACAGACATTTACTAAATACCAAATTTGTAATCAGTACGCACTGCCAGGGATAAAGATGTATATGGTCTTATTCTTGCTCTTGACTAATTTGAAAGGGAGACGGCAGATATGCCTTAATAACTGTAACACAAGACAGCAAATAACAAGGATCCCAAGTCTGTGACAAACTGCAGACAAGCCTAGGAGTGGTCTTGCCTATAAGAGATGATGGTCCCAGCGGTCAGAGAATGCGTAGTGGGAGATGATAATCCTACAAGCCACCAGCAGGAACCAAGGGAAGAGGCGAGGTACAGAATCAAAGCCAGACATTTCAAGCTTCCACCAAGGCTGCTCCTTTTCGGTAGGCCCTGGCGCTTCTTTCCTGGGGTTTACAGAAGCTGACAGGGCCAGAAAGTGTCCAAGAGTGGTGCTGATATGCAGCTGTAGAAATCCGCTGGAAAAAGGATCACCATTGGTGGGCAAATCTGGGAAAGCTTCAAGAAGATGACATTTAAGTTGGATTTTCTAGAGAGGATGAAGAGAAAGGAAGAGAATGGTAGGGTGAGCAACATTACAGGTACATGGATAATTCCAAGAACAGGCACAAGGGAAGGGAAGACCTATGTCAAGAATCCAAAGTATGCATGATACCATCTACCTAGATTCTTCAACCAAAAACCTAGGAAGCATATTTGATTATCTCCTTTGTCACTCGCTATATCCCGTTCATTGCAAAGTAGTGTCTGTTCTATCTCTACACTATGTTTCAAACCCATCACACTGCCAGCATTTAGTCCAGCAGTTCTTAACCAGGGGTAGTTTTGCCCCCCAGGGGACATTTAGCATTGTCTGGAAACACTTTTGATTGCAGGGGAGGGTGCTACTTGTCTTCTAGTGGATAAAGGCTGAGGATGCTTCTTAACATCTTATGGTGCATAGGACACCCCCCAACAACAAATAATTTTCTAGCCTAAAATGCCAGTAGTGCTGAGCTTGAGAAACCCTAACATAGTCCAAGCAATTGCCATAAGAGCTTTACCCCCTAACTGGTCTCCTTGCTTCCATCTTGCTTCTCTTCAGAGTGATGTTTTTAAAATGAAAACAGATCAAATCACATCGCTGCTTTGAACATTGAAAATTCTTTGATGCTATACCTGATATAAAATGTAAACTCTTTCTCTGCCAGTAAGTGCATCTCACACTTCTCTTTAGCTCAATCACTATTATCCATTCATGAGACTTCTTCTATTCTTTGAGCATTCCAAGCTCTTTCTTGTCCCTGGGTTCTTGTACTTTTGTTTCATTTGCCTCTTTCCACAGCTGGCTCCTTCTCATCCTTCAGATCCCATTGGAAATACTACTTGTTAAGGGGAACCTTCCTGATGACCTCATCTAACGTAAGTCTCCCCAGTTACTCCCTCGCTCACATCCTCCTTTTATTTCCTTCATGACACTTACTACACTCTGACTCCTCACTGGAATATAAGCTCCATGAAGGTAGGACCCCTGTCTGTGTAGTTCACTGCTGTATTTGGGGGGGCTATCACTGAGCTAGGCATAGAGCAGTATTTACTGGAAAAACAGGAGGAAAGGTGGCAAATGTCAGACTGCAGAATAGCAAGCTGAGGAGTTTGTAGTTTGGTTGGTTGGCAGTGCAGAGTCACTGAAAGTCTAATGCAAGAAGGCAATCTATAAGTGGAAGTATCTGTGCACTGTGACTTAAGAGAGGCAGAGAGTTTTCCAGAGAAACATGTTAAGAGGCCATGCCATTAATTCATTGTGAATAAGGGTTGTAAAAATGGGATATTTTGATTAGAGAATTGTTAGGACCTGGTAACTGGGAGAGGTAGGAAGATAAAACAACAAAAAAGAATGAATGGAAAAGTGCACTTTACCATTTACCATGCACTTGGGTGACATGGAAAGGAATGATAACATTAACAGAAGTAAGGACATTAGGGAAAGAGGTGATGAAGCTAGCTGGCCTTAGGAACATGTGCTGTTTTGAGAAACCGTGGGACATCCAGGTAGAAATATAAAGAACGCAGACGAAATATGAAACTAAAGCTCAGGAGGGAGACTTGAGAGACTGGAGAGGCATGAAGCTCTGGAGTTGCCTAGAGGCCATGCCTGAGCCTGAGGGAATGCATGAGATCAAGGGGCAGCATGCATGATGCAGAGAAGTATGTGAAAAAGTCAGACCTTTACAGATGGGGGGAAGGAAAAGAATGAAAGACACAAAGAATATTTGGGGACATGCATCAAGACAATAAGGTGGCATGGGTGTCCAGTAACCATGAGGGGGGCTACAGCAAGCAGAACAGGAAGGCACCACTATTGGCATCAGGAGGTACATGCTGGAGAAACTGGTAGTTCCTCCTAATAATCATGAATTGGCTGGTATGTTCTTCAATCTAGTCTTATCAGCAACTTACAATAATCCTTTATAGTTGTACCATATGAACAAGCCCCTTCCCTAATATCTAGATGGGTCACGGATTTCTTGATATTGCTAAATCAAATGAATACTATGGCTGGGTTCGATGGTAGTTCGTAAGGTGCCTTAAGTATAACTATCTCAACTCAAAGTACCTAGAGCACAAGTATTTTGGCAAGGGGTCCTTCCTTTAACTCAGTTGTTCCCAAATATGGTGTGCATCTGAATCTCCTGGGGGAAGATTTACCTCCAGAAACGAGAGACATGCACAGATATAAGTAGAGAGCAAGGTTCAGGAATGAGGGTGCAGGTTCGGATAAAGATTACAGGAAGATGAGCAGATTAGGAGCTGAAGGCAAACGAGAGGCTAATCAGAAGTCATGAAGACACACACATTCAGGAGAAAGGTAGCATGGCTGAGGTGGGGAGTCTAGGCCAGAAAGCATGTGTTGTCCCCTCTCACATCTCCTCTGCTTAGGGGTACAGCCTGTTCTGGCCCATATATGCTACTACAAGTCATAACACAACAAGTACACACAAGGTACCTAACAGCAGCAAAGAATCACATGGAGCAGAGGGCAGCAATCAAAGGTAGAATACTCAATTTCAAAGTAAACATTCTGGAAAAAGTTTTAGCTATCTAATTCTGTTAACAACTTATGCCCAAAGGAAAATGCCATGGTGATTACTGACTCTGAAAACAGTAGTCGCAGGTATATTTTACCCTTGTGCCAATGGGGAACGAACAGTCTCTCCTGTCATAGGCCATTTAGTTTTACCTGCACACATTTAAAGACCATCAAGAAAGGCACTATTTTTAAAGCAAACAACAAAGCTCCATTTAGAATACTCAAATAGCACCCATCTTTGAGGAAGCTTTTTCGTTCTTTGTAGATATCACACCATAAATTGCAAAACCTCCTGGACAGGCCAGTGTTAAAGAACAAGAGCCATTTTTTTTGCAAGACTCAAGAGCTCTCCAGACTGGTTAGGCGACTCTTCACATATTGCGTCAGTGACAACCAGGACTAGAAGAAAAATCCTTAACATCCAGGCTGCCTCTCTTTTGTATCAGAATTCTACCATGCAGAAGAAAGGCTGATAGTATCAATGGGAGAATTTGAGGGAAAAGGAGACTGCAGAGGTTTCTCTCTTAAAATCAAACTAAGTAAACTGCTTCTCTCCATAGAGTAAATCAGCCAAAATAATCTGACTATATTTTAAGGCCTTGAACACAAACGTAGCGTTGTTTACTACTCATAAACAACTGTAATAGTTAAAAGAAAATCTACTATAACATTCTCGATAAACAGTTAGTAAAATCTAGAGTCACAAAAATAGAAGACTTCTGTATCCATAGGTTCCACATCTGTGGATTCAATCAACCTTGGATCAAAAATATGTGGAAAGAAAATAGTTACATCTATAATGAGTATGTACAGACTTTTTTTTTCCTGTCATTATTCTGTAAACAATACAGTACGACAATTATTTACATAGCATTTACATTGCATTAGGTGTCATAAGTAAACTAGAGATGGGATACTAGAGCCAATCCCCCAGGGATACTCCAAGGGACGATGTATTATACTTTAAATATCTCTAAATATCCAGATCCACATTTTGTATTGTGCTTAACAAATTTTTTTAAGTCATTTACCATCCCAGTGGACAAGAAAGCCCCATAATCACTGAACTGTCAATAATAGAAATGTTCTAAAAAGAAAGTTCATTTTGTTTAAAATTGAAAAGGGTATGTAGTTACATGACAGGAAAACTGTTAATCAGAGGAGGAAGTATCTTGTTATTCTTTTTATTCACCCCAGAGCTTGATGGGGTGATGAAGCACAGAGAAAGTACATCAAATGTTTGACTGAATCTACTGATAAATTGAGAAGAGACAAAAAGTGATTTATAAAAAGCTAACAAAGGGACAAGAACGGTGTTTTATAGTAAGACATAATAATGATGAAATTTACAAAATGGAAATACTACCTAATTTTAAAATGTACAAATTGTAAATGGTAATACATGTAAAAATAATAACAACTATTACTAGAGAGAAGGAAATTTGAATTTTGTAACACATTTCTAAAAAAAAAAACCCAAAAGCTAACAAAGAATGTATTTATACTTATTTCATCAAAGCAATTAATTTGAAAAAGGCAGTGAGGACGGATAAATTGTACGAGTAAAATTGACCAAAGCGATTTTCTCATACAACACTGCCATAGCTGTAATTAAACTTTCCATTGATTTCCTGGGGTTCATTACATGGAATCATTTTGTAACAGCAAAATCTCATTAAAAGTGAATGCAATCTATTCCCTCATTAATAATACCTGAAATTATATTTTATTTGGTAATCTCGTATTCTGCCCTTTCACAAATAAACATAAAATCAATGTTGCCAATGAAGCATGACCCATCTAATATGGGCCCAGAGGCACTGCACTGCAGGCCCAGGAATGACTCTGGGAGCCCATGGGAGAGTAATATTCCCAAACCAACAGAGCTTGACTCATCCCCACTCCTGGGTGGAAAGCCAGGTAGAGAACCTCAAGCTTCTCCATGAAAAGAGATCCAGTAGCAGCCCTCACTAAAGATGGTCCTGACTACTAGGTCCAATCTGTTGTCCAGGATTCATTTGCTCCAGATGTTCTCTTATCTGCCTCTGCCTTCTCCAGGAATAAGTTCCCACTATGTTTCCCACAATTTAAAAAACAAAACAAAACAAAACAAAAAAATTTTTTTGCCAGATGCCATGGCACATGCCAGTAATCCCAACACTTTGGGAGGCTGAGGTGGGAGGATCCGTTGAAGTCAGGAGTTCAAGACCAGCCTGGACAACAAAGTGAGACCCTGTTCTACAAAAACTAAATTAGCCCAGCTCAGTGGCATGTGCCTTTAGTCATAGCTACTTGAGAGACTGAGGTGGGAGGATGACTTGAGCATGGGAGTTCAAGGCTGCAGTGAGCTATGATGGTGCCACTGCACTCCAGCCTGGGCAACAGAGCAAGGCCAGCTCAAAAAAAAAAAAAAAAGAAAAAAAAAAAAACACACCTACATTTAAAAATTTTGAAACAATCACAATGAGATATGCCCTGGGCTATGGTCTGAAAGTTGGTCCCCTCAGAAATTCATGTTGAAACTTAATCCCCAATGTGGCAGTACTAAGAAGTTGGGCCTATAAGAGGTGACTGGGTCATGGTGGCCCAGCCCTCATGAATGGATTAATGTATTAATGGGTTAATAGACTATCATAGGAGTGGGACTGGTGGCTTTATAAGAAGAGGAAGACAGACCTGGGCTAGCACACTCAACCTTCTCACCATGCCATGCCTTGTGCTGCCTGGGACTCTACAGAGTCCTCACTGTCAAGAAGACCCTCACCAGAGGCGGCCCTGGACCTTGGACTTCTCAGACTCCATAACTGTAAGAAATAAATGCCTTTTCTTTATAAATTACCTAGTTCCATAAGCAAAAGAAAACAGACTGAAACATCCTTGACTGGGTGAGAAGAAAGCAAACCTCCACAATGAGAACTGCTTATGAGGGCCATGTACTTACAAGGGCAAAGCAAGCACTACAGGCTGCTTCCAGGAGCTAAGAGCAAGCCATGCTGGCAGCTAGAAGGAATACAGGGACTTCAGTCCTAGAGTTGCAAAGAAATGAATT
This sequence comes from Homo sapiens, assembly GCF_000001405.40. Classification (NCBI taxonomy): domain Eukaryota; kingdom Metazoa; phylum Chordata; class Mammalia; order Primates; family Hominidae; genus Homo; species Homo sapiens. The sequence continues at coordinate 14,095,744 of NC_000017.11, read as the reverse complement.
CTACCAACAACCAGTGAGCCCGGAAGAAGACCCTAAGCCCCAGATGAGAACAGTCTCAACCAACACCTTGAATTCAGCCCGGTTAGACCCTGAGCAGGGTGTCTAGACACATCATGCCTGGACTTCTACCTGTTGAAACAGTGAAACAATAACTTTGTGTTGCTTTAAGCTGCTAAATTTGTGGTAATGTGCTTCACTGCAATAGAAAATTAATATGTACTGTAATGAGGGTAACATTTAAAAAGGACTAGTCTACCAGCAACACAGAGGACTGATTGGAGTGGAGGAAAATTTACTCAGGGAACCACTTAAAGGTTACTGCAGGGCGCTAGGTGGGAGGCGATGAGGGCCTGGGTAGGATGGCAACAGTGCAAACAGAGTTCGCTGTAAGTATTTTGAAGGTGGTGACAAAGGGCTTCATTACTTTTAAGCAGCTACTACAAAGGAGCTAAACATAATTCAGTACTTCAAATAATCAAATCCAAAAAGGTCAAAGAGGATTTAGGGTCAACTAGTCTAATTTCTCTCCTAATGTAAATCCTTTCTCCAACATCTCAGTGTATAGTCTCTCCAAATCTGGTGACAGGAAATTATTTCTCCTTGGGCAACCCCTTCTGCTACAGAAGAGCTCTAGCTGTTCGACAGTTCCTTCTCCAATTAAGTCAGAATCAACTTCCGTGAAATACTTACTTAAGATGCAATTTCTGTGTTCTGGAGCAGCAGTGAATTAACTTTTTTTTTTCTTAGCACAACCCTTCAATTATGCAAATCCCACTATTCCTACAGTTTCTGTCCCTCCAAGCTAAATGTCGCTAGTAACCAACTATACTTGACTTCCAGGCTCCTGTCCGTGCCAAGGGCACCTTCTACAGACACAACAGTTTCTGACTATATCAAATGCACTGAGCACAGTGTCTGGTAAATAATAAGGGCTTAATAAGCAGTGCTCTTGGAAATTATTTAAATGTGGTTCATAAAATTATAGGTGAAATATTTCTCTGGTCACTGCACTTGGACTTTACATTTCAAAGCAGTGCTAAAAGAATTTAGAGAAACAACAAAACACTTCACACCACACTCTGTATGCTTCTGTACTATAATCTAAGTTATCTCTCTGTCTCCTCCAGGGGAGTGAACAGATAGCAACCCTTTAATAAATGTAGACTAAAAATAATAATGATAAAAACAAAACTTACATTTGCAAAGCACTTCAGTGTGCCAAAATGCTTTTACATTTATTAAAATCTCAAAAATACTGCATTTCAAAGAAAGGTGTGGATACCACAGGGACATGGTAAGAAAACAGGAGAACTTTCACTTATGTTTAATTTTTTAACCCTTTCTTTTTAAACCCACATTTTGCATATCTTAAAATGAATATATCAGTGTAAGAATACATGAATTTTATTTATATGTAACTATCCATTTATATATATTTATATATAATAGCATAAATATTATAAATATACATAAGTACACTTAAAGTTCTTTTTACTGATAAAGTACAGGACTAATAAACTGGAGAAACTGGCTCTAAAATAAAAAGCAAAGCAAGCAATTGTAGGTACTAATGTCTGATTTTCTATATGGACAACCATGTGCAAATTACTGGTAGTAAAATCTACCAGGGTCTAATCAAGAGAATCATATGGTTTATGTCTAATATTTGGCTCTCCCTTTTTTTCAGAGGCAGGGTTTTGCTCTGTCACCCAGGCTGCAGTGCAGTGGCACAATCAGAGCTCACAGCAGCCTTCAACTCCTGGCCTCAAGTGATTCCTCCACCTCTGACTCTGCTTCCCAAAGCACTGGGATTACAGGCATGGGCCACCATGCCCAGCCAGAATATTCTTTAGTAAGTACTACAAAGACTCATTTTCAGAAAAAGAAAATTCCACTAACTGAAGGAATGAAGCACATACAAACACACAATCACCTAGCTGATCACAAAATCACAAACCAGGCAAGACAGGCTTTAACACTGTATCTCTGGCATAGGATCCATGATGACGCTTCTTCCTCTAGATTGTAAGGGGGAATTGGAAGGAGTCACAGAGGGAGTCCCATACTGGAGGTGGGCAGAAGCAGCCCTGCCATGCATGCTGTTACTTCTGCAACAGAAGGGGCTTTATCTGTCACCCATAAATGGAGGCTTTTACAGGACTCGCAGTACAAATTTAGCCAGGCCCCTAGTTCTAACCTCACAGTATACTTTGCAGGGCAGCAGAGAACCACTTGAAATGTTTTAGCTTTTCCAATATGCAAGAGGTTTTCTTGAAGAAGCAACTTTATCAAGAATTTGTTTTTTTTTAAGTCCCACTACTTTGGGAGTATTGGTCTCTAAGCATAAGCATAATGACTGTACTCAATTTTCTAAAATCATCAACTAAAAATAACTGTAAAGATTACGTTAAAAAATGGGTCAGCTACATCTTCCTTTTCTTATTTCTCTGTGTCTTAATGACTCACTATTTTTTAGCACTGGCCACAAAAGAACTAAGAGAAAAAACAAAAGTCCAAAAAATCAAGTTGGATAACTATCAATTCTGATAAAAGATCTGGGAGCAAGATTAAAGCCACTGGCTAAATGAAACTCTAAGATTTTCTATAGATTTCAAATTACCCTTGTAATCTATTATATCTCATTATCCTTGATAGCAGATACTATGCAACACTGTAATCCAAGTCCCATAAACTTGAGATATAATCTCTTTAAAGCTGTTTAACGTGGAAAGCTGACCAAGAGTAGGCAGTTAATGAATTTGTATGTGGTTTTGTTTATGTGTGTGCCCAAGCAATGGAATTAAGCTTTTGTTAGCAGATCTCAAAGTTCAAAATTGTATAACTTAATTCAGAGGAAGGAGTTAAGCTTTTGTTAGTAGATTTCAAAGGTCAAAATTATATAACTTAATTCAGAGGAAGGAGTTAAGTCTTTTTTGATTTTTAAATGAGAGTGTACTTTTTACTAAATAGCTGTACTTAATGATTTTCATCTCTTTTTTATTAGCACCTTAAGCTTCAAATAGTTGAATTTCTAACTTAAGTGAGTTTTTTAGGCTTCACAGCTTGGCAGCATTCTGTGAACCACATAATATAGTTGTCTTCTCAAGAGACATATCAGAGAAGGTGGTAATTCTCATGCTTATTGTTAAGTTCAGATGAAAAGTCAATTGATATGAGACGTGCTATTTTTTTCTCAGCCATATTAAAAGGTATCAATCAGGGGCCTAACTGATTACAAACTATAACCACTTCTGGTTAAAAGATAAGACTTTTAATACAGGTTTTTAACACCACAGCCACAAAGGTAAGAATTTATTAGGGCTTCCTGTTTTCCTTTCTTATTTTTCATACAATTAATGATGAAAGTTAGACTGAAAGTCCTAGGACCAAATTAAATCTCATACCTTCAAATTTACTAAGCAATACTGATTCCAAAATGAAGCATTTAAGTATGGTCACCAAGGCAGTTCACCAGGAAGCATTTGGTTGACATTTACAATTAGCATTCAGAAAAAGGAAAATGAAGTATCTATCGGGCTTGATAAATACATAAATAAAAGCTGTTATATTAAGCTAATTTTGTAACACTGAGTGAGATCCTAAGCTTGTTCTTTCAATTATCGCTTTTCCTTGAACCAAAGAGCTTTTCTACCTTATCATCCTGTTTTAGTTTGTTCTTCTCAATAAAGAAACTCAATTTACTTCATATACTCAATAACCAAAAATTTATAACCTTTTTAATTAACTTTAAAAAATTCCATAAAACTGGTGCCTATAAACTGTTGAACAAAACTGAAACTTTTAAGAAGCAGAAACATGTAGTTTCAAAACTGAGTTTGGCAAAAAAATTGTTAGTTGGACAGTGTTCACAAAAATAAAGCTTTATCTCAGTTTCATATCAAAATTACAACTGTGTTTATCCAGAGAGCAGATATTGTACAAGATAAACACTTAAAGAATTAAGTCTCCATTTCAAGTATCGTTCCGACTTTGATGGTATTTAGCGTTTAGCTACCTGTGCTTATTTTGCAGAACACATATAACAAATCAGTAAAATGCTTTTACATTTATTTAAATCTCGAAAATACTGCAGAAGAATCAACTTCCTTAGAATGCCTACTCAGGATGCAATTTCTGTGCAATTACTCACTCATGATTTACATCTGGACCTAACTGCATACATATATATTAATGTATCATTGTTTTCTTTTCCTTTGGGAATTTTCATTTATTCCTATTAATTGGTTAGGCAAGAATGTTGGTTATGTTATTCTAAGCATTCAAAAGAGCTTTCTAGCAAGAATCTTTTAGAAATACTTTTGAGATGATCAACAACTAAAAGACTTCCCTTATTGGTGTTGCTGTTCCTTTAAGCAAAACTGAAAATCAATAGTTTGTCAAACCTAATAGCAATTCACTGATAACAGGACAAAGCAAAGTCTTTGCAGATCCCTCTGAGCTCCCACTGGTACAGTTTTCACAAATTTGATGAACTTTAAGAAAAACACAGTGGGGCCATCTCCAATCCTCCACAATTATCCTGAATACAAAATCGCGTAACAGACTAAAAACTTCAAGACACAATGACAGCAGTTGAAAGAGACACTGAAAAGCAGACCAAGTAACTATAAATGCACAGCTGCCTAACAGTTTAGACACAATGCTTTCTGTCATCACTAACCACTAAACTACTACAGTACAGTAAAATAATTATTTGTAATTAAAAGGCTAAGCTGTTCAAAATTCTACAAATGGTGGCAAGCTAGTTCGCTACACTTCTTTTCTCCATTGAGCTACTATTTTTTGAGCACCTATTATTTGCAAGGCACCGCGCTGGGCAATGGAAATGTAATAGTCAACAAGACAGATGTGTTCCCGGCCCTCTTGGGGCTTTCACTCTGATAAAGATTCAGAAAAGTGAACAGGCATTAATTATTACACAAGGTAACAGTGATTCAGCAGGTGAGGAACTCTGAACATAGAAGGACCTCCAAACCCAGAAGACTTCCCAAAAGTGATGTCAAAGTTGAAGACTGAAGGATAAAAAGGAGTTAACCTGGCAAACACGTAAGATGGTGAGGTATACATGTTTGAGACAGAGAGAACAGAAAGCACAAAATCCACAGGCTGAGAGAATGCTCCAAGTAGTCACTCTCCATCTACAGATAAAATATCTCAGAGTAACTATGAACAAAAATGCATCTCTGCATCCTTGTAAAAGCTCACTGACATGCAGCATTCTTCTTTTCATTCTTAATTGTCAAGTTTACTATTCTTCCTTCTTATTTAATATATTTTTTAAAGCTACTAGTAAATTTAAAACTTTATATACATTTTGGAAAGGTTTTCCAAAATAAACAGTTAAGCAAAAACTTTCTTAGTATAAGAGACAATCTTGTAACATTCTTTTAAAATTCATTTATCTTAAGTGTTTCATTCCTTAATCTTAATAAATAAGATGCTACAATGCTTTGCTTTGAAGTAAAAACCAAGCCCTTCATAAAACCCAAAATGATTATTAAGCACCCAGGCAAGTCTGACCTGCAGGTTGAGAGGCAATCATTTGCTTCCCTCGAGTGATTCAGATAACATTCTCTCCACATAGTAGATAGAGGGAGATCTGCTTGGACTTGCAGAATCTAAGAGGACCCCAGGTGTCAGGCTGAAAGTGCCACCCACTGAAGGGGACAAGCGGGAGAACAGGCAGAGGAGAGAAGAAGCAAAAAAAGGTAAGAATTCAGATAGACTAGGTTAGCTGTAAGTTGCAGAGGTCTCCCTTAATGGGAAATAAACATATTCTTGTGAGTAATGGGAAGCAAGGCAGTGTGCTGACAGTAAAGAGCTAGGAGAGAGTGTTGAATCGGTTCTACAGATTAGAAGAGTGTGTCTCAAAGTATGCTATGGGGACCATTAAAATACACAATTCTAGACCCTACCCCAGACCCAGAGTGAAGGAATTTATGGAGGTGATGGCTACACATTTGCATTATAACAAGCATCTCAGAAGGCATATGAAGTTTGAGAACTCCTAGAAATAGTGAAGTTTTCTAGGTTGATGGTAGAATCTTGGATAAAGAAGAAAACTGAGCAAGAAGGCAAAGCCTTCAACAACTGTTGGAATGCAACAAGAAGTGAGAGAGAGGAAAGCTTACGGTGTTCTTCAACTTCTTCAACGTTCACTAACAGCTTTGCCACCTGGTTTGCTTTCTGGTTTAGCTGAAGTTCCATCAACCACCTACACTTTTTCATGAAGATGTACACTTGGGCTAGCTCTGTTGGACAGTCCAGTACTGACTACATATAACCCAACCCAAACCAGGAGTCTCCAAATGTGTATTTGATTATCAAGATGACAGGGAGAAACTGCTGCCAGATCAGTACACATCCACAACCACTAATGGAAAAGTAAATGCCAAGCTGGCAAGTCAGTCTTCATTTAAATATACTGCATTTAAAGCACACATATGTGGTGGTAGTCACAGAGCAGACTAAAGAGTGGTATTTTATTTTTCTTTGGAAAAACTGGGTAGAGAAGAGGCAGGCAGCTTCATGTCCTCCTCCAAGAAGGGGATGTACTGAATAATGAGAGAGCCCAGTGAGGGCTATCAGGACAGAGAAGTTGGCTACTGGCAGAGTTGACTAGGCTGAATTTAAGATATTTGGGCTTTTAAAATGATAGATGTAAGAATTATGCCATAATTTAAAACCTCCCTTGCAGCTGGAGGTAGCCACGTGGCACACTCCTGGCCAATGAGACATAATAAATTCCTATCAAGAACTTTCCCTCCCAAATTAAGAGGCAAAGTCTTATAAGGAGGTTTCTGCCTTTCCACATTTCCTTCTCATTTCTTCTTTCTGCCCAGAATACAATATGATGATGACGGTATGGAAGTCATCTCATGGTCTGAGGACAAAAACCACAAGCTAATGATAACAGACAAAGAAGGTACCAGGTATGTTGGCAACATCCTTAAGCACCATCTACAGACTCCTAACCTCAGAATCCTTGACACATGAAATTATAAACCCTTTACTTGTTTAAGTCATTGTTTTTCAAATTTTCACTTATGTGATGTTGAGCCAATTCTCAACTCAGTTTTTTTTCTTCTTTAAAGTTCTCAATATATTTTGAGAGTGATTATCATTCTTACAAAATTTATCTTTACCTTCCCCTGGCATCTACCATAGCATCTTATACTTACAATCAGTTCAATTAAAATCAAATTGAACTTAAGGCAATTAAATCCCATCTTAACAAATAAATCATAAGAAAACAGAGTAGCCTAGCTAAATTTTTTTTTTTCTGTCTAAATTGGAACTTTGGCTAAAGCATTTGTAGAGCCCCAGCCCCACAGAAACCAACTGAAATGATGGAATAAAAATGAAAATTGAAGAAAAATCTGCAGAAGCAATAAATTAGGTAAAGACAGGATACTAAAAACCTCAAGAAGCGTTTGTTAAATATAGCACAGATGAGACTAAACTGAAGACAGTTACTGAGGACTGGGTCACTACATTCATTATTTAAATAGCAAAAAAATACACTACATAAATAGCTACTAATAAGGAATGGATAAATATGGGAAATAAATATGGGAAATCAAGGCTATTCTAACCATACTCATTATTCCTTCCTGGTAAGGAGCAAGGACAGAAGCCAGGGTGAGCCATGGCCAGATGAGCCCACTCCCCAGAAAGTCCCTTTGTCACCACAGTGCAGGAGAGCTTAGAGGCAGCTATATCACAGCTAGAGGGACTGAAAGGGGTAGAGGGTCGTGCCAAAATGAGAAAGCAGGGCCTCAACTTGACATAATTCTCACTGAGACAAGGCAGAACACTTTTCTGATGGCTTCACACAGTGTAGCAAGCCACCCATTGCCACCATACTTTGGCACACTGTGGTATTCTTCCAACTCAGCAGGCCACAGCACCAGAGAAGAGGCTGGACACAGACATACCATATGCAGAGAGGAGAAGCAGACGACACTAAAAACCAGATTTGGGAAACAGGACATTGGCCCTGCGGTTTCAGAGACATGGTTTAAAAAAAAAAAAAAAACCTTTCGGAGAAAAAGTTCCCTCGTTTGTTGTGCCCTCCTTCCCTCCATCAGGCCACAGAACTGCTAAACCAGTAAATGCAAACTGATAGCCTTGGTTCCTCTTACTTAAAATGCGAGCGAACTCCAACAAGTGAAACTGTTAGGTGATGAATAAAAATCCAACCCTGCATCCGTTCAACCGATACACAATGAGCGCTTACTACGTGCCAGGCACTGCTGTAGGTATAGAAGACAGAACAGTGCAAACAGACAAAATGCCCCACCCCATGGAGCTTACATTCATTTGGGGTGTAACTACTGTCTGGATAGTGTTGTCTTCTTTCCGGAAGGGAGAAAGATACAGAGAGGTAAAATGAATCAATATGCGACTCATTAAAAAAGACTCTACGGTACAAAAGAAAAAAAAGTAGCATGGAAGAATAAGAGGCTGAATATATTTTGAAAAAGATTTACCACAGACCCACTAGACTATAAACTCCTCCTGAAGAGTAAGACCTATGAGGACAGAGACTGTCAGCCACCTGCACCTTATTCTGTCCACAACACTCAGAAGTGGATACTTGGAACATAATAGATGCTCAACAAACATCAGCTGAATGAACAGAAAAAGTAAATTTGTACACTCTAGAAAAAACCTAACCCCATGAAACAAAGTAGGTTAAGGAAAGTAGTACAAGAAACAAAAACTGCCACAGCAGAATGTTAAAAGTCATGAGATGTAATAAATAGATGGAACAAAATCAAGTCAGCACTCTACATAACACATTTCAGAAGACCCTTCAGAATGAAGCGGAAAATTATAATGAAGAAAGCTAGTAGAAAGAGTATCTCTATATATCTATACTATGGAATACTATCAATCTCTAAAAAAAGAAGGTAGATTTAATTGTATTGATGAGGAAGTATGAGGAAGATATACCAATTAGGGAAGAAAGCAAATAACTAAACAAAGAGGCAATTACCAGAAAATGAAATAATTAGCATAAACATGAAAAAGGAGATAAACTTAATCATTATTTGATGTATTCCTGAAAAACTCAAGAAATAATCAACTGAAAAGAAATTTTTAAATACTTCCAAAATCACTTATCAATACATGTACTGATCTATTTAAGTAAAACTATAGAACTCAAGAGGCGTAAAAGAAGACTTGTATAAATGAAGATGATGTAACAGTAAAGTTCTCAATTCATCCCCGAATAAACATTGAAATCCCAATTAAAACATTAGCAGAATTGAGGTATTTATTCCAGGCACAGAGCTTCACAAACTCTTTGTGAATAGAACATTCAAACACTGGTTAATGATTTATTAAAAACTGGCAATATCTCTATCTTATACCACTGACCAAACTACATTTCTTATCAATAATAAATTTTATTATACAATATAAAATCATAAAAATATAATATTAACAATGCAGATAAATACTGTATTTACAAAATCTTCATGTGGGAAAGTCTAAGCATAGTATAAAAACCAGAAACTCATAAGAAAATACCTTTGGTTACATAAAATTAACTTTTGCACATGAAAACAAAGATAAATGAAAACAAGACACAAACAACATAAGACATTTGTGACAGATATATATAATGAGATCAAATCTTGAATATATAAAGAATCCTTACAAACAATAAACAAAGACAAACACAGAAGAGAAGGCTGGGAGGCAAACATGCCATCAACAAAGCAATACAAATCACCACTCAGCGTATGACAAATATAAAACCTCATCAGAATTAAGTACAAAATTAAAAACTTAAGTGCTACTTTCACACATTGAATTGACAGAGTTATTCAGAAGAATACATTATCATCAAGCATTCATTGGTGAAGATATGGTGAGGTGGCTAGCACAAATTGGTGCAACTTTTCTTGAGGGGAATCTGTTAATGAAAACTGAAAGCTTTAAAACCATGCGTACCTGTTGCTCTAACAAGACCACTTCTATACATTTATCCTCAGAAAATCATTATAGATTTAGCTTATTTATTATAGTACTATGTATAATAAGGATAATAAAATAAAAAACACTTAAAACAGGAGAAATAAATAAATTATGGTATAACTACGCAATGGCATGCTATATACCCAACAAAAATAAAGGTATACTTCTATACAGCTAACTTTGAGAAAAAAATATGTAAAAGGATATATGTTAAATGATATTACAAATCTTTATTTTTAATAGCAAGAAGTAAGAGACTACTTAAATGTCCATTAACAAGGAAATGGTTCAATAAACTAAATATATCTATACTATGGAATACTATCAACCTTTAAAAAAAGAAGGTAGATTTAATTGTATTGATGAGGAAGTATGAGGAAGATATACCAATTAGGGAAGAAAGCAAATAACTAAACAAAACATGTAATATAACCCCATTTTTATAAAACAAAATAGAAACTATCTATGCACTAACGTAATAATAACTAACCTTTCTTGAACATTTACTGAATATGGCAGTGAATCATTTGCTTACATTATTGCTTATAATCATCACAATAATCCTTTCAGGGAGGATTATCCCCATTTTACAGACAAGTAAACCAAGGCTTAGAGACTTGAAAAAAAATATGCCTGTAACCACAAAGCCAATAAAATTGTAGACCAGGGATTCCAACCCAGCCAGTCTGACTCCAGAGGCTGTACTGCTAACATTAAAACACAGACTATGAACAGATAAAGGCTGAAAAACTGTATGCAAAAAGCCTGGTTATTGGCCGGGTGCAGTGACTCACGCCTGTAATCCCAGCACTTTGGGAGGCTGAGGCAGGTGGATCACCTGAGGTCAGGAGTTCAAGACCAGCCTGGCCAACATGGCGAAACCCCGTCTCTACTAAAAATACAAAAATTAGCTGGCGTGGTGGCAGGCACCTATAATCCCAACTACTCAGAAGGCTGAGGCAAGAGAATGGCTTGAACCCGGGAGGCGGAGGTTGCAGTGAGCCGAGATCATGCCATTGCACTCCAGACTGGGTGACAAGAGCGAAATTTTTCTCAAAAAAAATAAAAAGCCTGGTTATTGCATGGCCTGAAGGGACTTTCTGTATATTATGTGTTTGCGTTTTAAGAAAACATTACTTTTAAATTTTAAAAGTCACTAAAAACAGGGTAAACATGTTGATACACAAAAAGACATAAGCAGAATATTAATTTTTTTCAGTCACAGAAGGCATTTACGCTACGATCGTATATTTCTTTATAAAGCAAAAATATATGAGATGCATAGAAAAAATTTCTGGAAGAGAATATATCAAAATATTCAAAATGGTTTTATTTTAAGATGGTGAAATTACAGGAGGATTTCAATCTTCTCTTTTTGCTTATCTGTATTTTCTATTTTTTCTAAAAATAAATATTTACTAGTCATATAATTAAAAATAATACTATAACATTTAGTAAATATATCAAGGCACTTATTTCAAAAAATAAAGTAAAATTCAAGAAATCATAGTAATTCACTCAATTCATATTCAGTGAATGCTAAAACCCCCTTAATACAAATATTTAATAACTGAAGATTACAGTAAGTTGACTTCTTAAACTATACAAGTGATCTAAAATGAACGTGTATCCTCCATTTCTGCTTTTTTCTTTTAATAAAAAACAGCATTCTAGGCTCTAGGAGAAAAAAATTTATACATTGATAGATCATACTTCATATCAGTTCCATCAACAGCATAATCTATTGGTTCCAATAAATAATCTATTTCAGTGTTCTGGTCTCAAAAAACGTGTTGCAGCTTTTCAGCACAGATGTTACTCAGGAAAAAAGTTCTGCTTTTTACTGACCTATATTAAGTATAAACTCAGTTGAGTCACCAAAGCCTCTTATGATCCTAATCCAAATAAAATTTCTTTACCCCAGTGTGGTCCATGCAACAAACTCCAAAAACATATTGTAAATAGCTCAGTTGGCAAGAGAAACTCAAGGGAGACACATTATTCCTTTTTTATAATCTCAGTCTTACTTCCCTTCATTTAAAAAAATAAAAATCTTTAAATGGCATTAGCACCAGCAAACGTTTGGCTCATATCCTGGCCTAAATGCCAAGGCATCAGGCTGCTGCTACCCACTAACCCACAGATGAAATATAAGTATGAGCACTATCTGGCCCTTCACTTATTCCACAGTTAATTATCCTCCGTATATTACAGCTATAAACAAAAGGAGGGAAAGAAAGAAAGGCTAGTTCTATGAAAGTGATCACTGACTCCCAGATATTTCTGCCTCGGCTATCATTAGCTATAAATGAATCGTGTGAGATGTTAAGAGTCCAAAAGAAATCAATGGACAGATATCAGGTATTTTCTTAAATAAAAAATCCTGCTGACTCCAAAACACATGTGACTTCAAGTAATAAACTAAATAGAGAGGTAAAAGGTCAGATAAAAGGGTAGGGGTCACCCAAAGGGTGCTGCTTCTTTAAATGGAATAAGCAGAAGGAAAGGACTTTAATTCAATTAGTTCATCCAGAAACCTGGGGCGTGGAATATATAAAATAATACAAGGGAAATTTACTGCCCTGGGACCTTTCCATCTGTGTGTGTAGGTGAGGCTGCTCCCCTTTTCTGTGGTGCATCCGTCTTGCTTTGCATGCCTCTCTTCTGTGGTCCAGATTTTGCCCAGTCGGCTTTTCCTGCTGCCAGTGGTAGTGACCGGCTCCGCTGGCTCTCACTAGGTGAGTTCTCTCCACATCCAGTCAGACCACTCGGTCTGGGACTAGTACTCGCTGCCTACCTAACACCTACTTTGCTTTCTCGAAGTGTGGTCTAGGACCACCTGCATCAGAATCATCTGGTGTCCTCATCAAACATGCAGATCTCTGAGTCCTGTCCCAGCCCTAGGGGAACTGAATCACTGGAAACAGTGGCCAGGAATCACTGTTTTAACAAGCACACCATGACGGCACATTACCATGCTGACATTTGGAAGCCAATGAGTTCATGTACACTATACATCACAGTATGCACTATTAAATAATTAATTAATTAATTTCTTGAGATTTCAGATACTATGTTTTAGATATCAAACCCTGCATCTGGAATGACAATTCAGATATATAACCATATAAGCTACATAAAGGGAGAAATAATACAACAATAGCCAGTATGAAGGAATGGAAGATGTGGCCAAGAAAAAAGTTCATCTTAAACTAGTTATCCTATTTTCCTGTGTTCCTAATGAAACAAGCATTATAATAAACTTAAAATTATTTTAAAATAGATTATTTAAAGCAGCTCATTTAAGAGTCTAAGAAGACACAGCAATCACTATTCCCTGATTTAGCAACCAGTCAACACTGACTTCCTAACTGGCAAATAAAATGACTCTCACGAGCCAGGCTTCTCAGGAGACCTCCAGCATTTGACATCCGGCCCAGATCACTTCCCTTTATGAACAGGTTCTATTCTTTTGGCTTCTGTGACAGGGTCTTTTCCGGTCTTCCTCCCTCTGACCATTTATTTCCTTGCCGGGTCCATTATATACCTTACCCAATCCTTAAAAGGTGATATACCCCAAAGTTCTGGTGACCATCAGCATGGTCACTGTACACACTGATCCTTGGTAACATCATTTACTACCGTGACCTCACTGCCAGCTCCATGCTGAAGACCCCTGGTTCTTCCAGCCTAACATTCTCTCTGAGCTCTTGCCTTTCACAGCCCCCTGCCCCACTGGGTCTCTCCACCTGGATATGCCAGTAGCAACTCAAATTCCACTTATCCAAAATTGAACTCATCATGTTTTCTTTAAACCTTTTCTTTCTTCCATATTTACACTCTTAAGTCTCAACACCACCATTCATCTAGTTTTTCATTCCAGAAGCCCGTAATTGTGTCTAGAGCAGGGGCAGCAAATCCAAATGCCAGTGGGGGCAGCCAGGTATTAAATTTATTTTTTAAGAAATATGTGTATAGTTTTTGACATGTACTAGGCACTTGTATGTCATTTGCAAATGTTAACTCACCTATTACTCAGAACAACCCTATGAAGGAAGTACTATTATTATCCCTAGTTTACAGATGGGTAAACTGAGGCCGGTGAGATTATAAAACTTGCACAAGGTCAGTCAGCTAGCCAAAGCCAGGATTTGAATGCAGGGAATCTGACTTTAGAATCTGACTCTCACAGAACAGGATAGAGCCTAGAATAATAAATGACAAAAGGGCCCACAGAGCTGGAAAATACCTGCTTCACCTCAAGGTATTCAAACTCTCTGCAGCTCCGCGCTCTCAGCTCTTATTTTATGTCTCCTTAGCAATCCACTTCATCTAGCTAAGGTCCTACTCATTCGATTTCCTTAATGTTTCTCTCTATCTATCTCTCTTTCTCTCTCTCTCCCTTGTTCTCTTTCCCCACCACAGCCTCAGTTCAGGCCCAAGTCGTTTCTCAGTTGACCACCACTATTTGTCTGCCATCATTCTTGGCTCTCACTAGTCTGTGCTCTCCGACAGAAGGTCAGCAAACTTTTTCTGTAAACGCCAGACAGTAAGCATTTCAGGCTTCCCAGGCCACAAGGTTTCTGTTGCAATTAACTCTGTCACTGCGGCATGATATATGCTCAGAACAAGTGGGCGTGGTTGTGTTCCAATAAAACTTCATTTACAAAAACAGGTGATCCTTGCTCTATAGTACTACCACAGCAGTTTTCTTAATCAAGCCTATTCCTTCCACTGAAATATAATCCAGATGGCTTCAAAGCATTAGAGAATATGCAAAAACATAAAAGCATCAGAGGAAAACATGAGTGAATGTTTTTGTAACCACAGGGTGATGAAACCTTTCTAGGCATGAAAAAAACAAATACATAAAAGTCAAAAATCTCCATGGGGCAAAATAAAACAAAACAAAACAACAAAATACCATAAAAAAAGAAAAGGACAAAATGAGAAAAAATATTTGTAATGAATATGATGTATAAAATGCTAATTTATTTACAAAGAATTCTAAAAAGTCAATAAGGAATGACCAAGAATATAAGAGCTAAATAACAGAAGAAAAACCACAAATGATCAAAATAGAAAAAAGATGCTAAACCTTACCAAAATGTAAATAATGAAAACGCATACAAAACCTTTTTCAATGATCAAATTGGCGAAACTGGTAAAGACTGCTTATGCAGGAGTGGACTCTACAGAGAAAGTCTAATTCCCAAATGCTGGCCGGGTGCGGTGGCTCACGCCTGTAATCCCAGCACTTTGGGAGGCCGAGGCGGGTGGATCACGAGGTCAGGAGATTGAGACCATCCTGGCTAACATGGTGAAACCCCGTCTCTACTAAAAATACAAAAAATTAGCCAGGCGTGGTGGCAGGTGCCTGTGGTCCCAGCTACAAGGAAGGAGAATGATGTGAACCCGGGAGGCGGAGCTTGCAGTGAGCTGAGATCTCGCCACTGGACTCCAGCCTGGGTGACAGAGCAAGACTCCGTCTCAAAAAAAAAAAAAAAAAAAAAAGAAAGTCTAATTCCCAAATGCTGTTGAGGGGAAGGGTAAATTATACTATCTTTTTAGAAACAAATTTGTTGTTTCATCAAAGATTTAAATGTTTAAAGCTAGCTATTACATTTCTAAGTACTGATCCTAAAGGCAGACTCACGTGAGTACAAAGACGTATACGTAAAAGTAACAGAGTTGCTTTTAATAGTAAAAAATCTGGAAATATCACAAATGTTTACCTGCAGAAGACTAGTTAATAATGGCAGATCCATACAATGGAATAGTATGCAGTGAATATTGTCAGTGAAAACTATACTGTCATAAGAAAATGGCATGTTGCAAAACTGTGTGTGTGTGTATACATACATACATACATACATATATATATATATATAAAATGATCCTATTTCTTTTGAAGAAAATGTACAACCATAGCTCTATCTGCATATGTGTCTATATAGAGAAGGCGACATTTCACACAGGGGTTTTTATCTAGAATGGTGGGAAAGGATACTTTCTTAGTTTAAAATATATGCTTCTGTATTATTTGAATTCTTTTTTATAATAAGCCTATACTAATTTAATGGAAATTTTAAAATACGTAAAAGGTAAATAAGACAAAACACAAAGTGATCATATCCCTCCAAAGAAGCTTCCAGAACTTTCCATGGCTATGATCTAACACTTTAGCCTGATATACATGCCAATATGACAACATGACCACTGCCTAACTCTTCGATCTTAATAAGCACCTCTCCTATATGATACTCAGGTCATACTATTGCTACTCATAGTCCCAGTGCAGCTTTTTGAATGTGCCAGGATAACTGAGACTCCTTTGCTTTTGCAAAGACTCTTCCCTCTACTTAAAATTCTCCTTCTCATCTTCCCTGCCGAGTAAATATTCATTCACTTCAAGTCCCTCCACAGGCAAAAACAACCTTAGGGGAAATATAATACACATTAAGCAGACAATCAAATGTTCACCTATACTTATTTGGAAACTTGCAGTGTCTCCCATGTGTCCAGCATGCTGTTGTATGCTTTATATGCATTAATTATTTAATTCTTAAATGATCTATTATTATTCCTACTTTATAGATGTGGATATCATCTCAATAAAGTTAAGGAACTGCCCAAAGTCTCACTGGCTAGTAAATGTCAGAGCCAAGATCTGAACTCAAGTGTGCTTGACTTCAAAGCCATATTCCAAGTTTTGAAAAGGGAGACTGGGGCCAAGAGCAGGATTAACAGAGGCCTTGAAAGGATCTGACTGGATATAAGACAGGCAGACCAGTTTCCCATGGAGGCGGGGGAACAAATATGGTGGGGTGAAAGGACTGGCCTCAATGGTAGGGTGGAGGGACAGGGAAAGGGAAAAAAGGTTGATTCTGAGGAACAGTTTGATCATTCCAGGTTACAGTGTTCCTTTAACACTAAGCAGGGTTGAGACAGAAGCTAATATGGAGAAACTATAGACTCGTATAAGTTAGGAAAATCGAAAGCAATATTTTGGGTAAGTTAGTTTGGCAACGCTGGGCAGCATGAACGGCAGGGTAAGCGGGGCGGAGGACAAAAGAAAGAACAGTTAGAAGCTGCTGCAAAAACCAACAGCCTCCCGTGTTTCCAATGTAAACTAGGATGGCAGCTTCAGAAATGAGGATGGGAAAGCAAATGTCACAGGGCTTACAAAAGATTCTGCTGGTGACAGAAATTAGACTCAAGATGAAGGGGAGAGCGGAGAGCAAAAAGTGAAGAAGACTGGTTCTAAGGTTTCTCCTCTGAAGGAAGCGAAGAATGCTGTAACTGACAGAAATGGGACAACAAGAGACGAGAGCTAATCTGCAGGGTGGATGTGCTAAGTGATGGCACACATGAAGCTCCTGCTGTTGACAGAGGCCACATCTGATGCCTACGGGCTGAGAGGCCTCATTTTTGGGGTGGCAGCATTATAAGCATAACTTATCTATAGTCATTCTTAACTTGTCAGCAGCATGACACTCAGGCCACTTGTGTAAATGACAAAAGAGAGTTTCTTTAGAAACATGCTGATTCGTTGCTTAGTGACCATAAACCACTGAGACATGTTTTCAAGCTTATCACACAGAATTCATCTCACTGTTTTAGAGTTACATTACACAAGTCTTACTAAGACTTTTTAGCTCCTTCACCAAAGCCCCTGTGTCTATTCATCATTTCTTCAAAAACAACTTTCTTTAAGTAAAGCTGGTCACTAAGGAGAGAAGTTGTCTAGTTACCTCCTTTTGCCTTGAATTTCAGGCTCAAGTCTCTTTAAAAAAAAAAAAAAAAAAAAATCACTCTTTCCCTGATCCTTCTCTGCTCTCAAAAGCCTCCCTGTCTCATCTTTTCATCTGACTCTAACATTATTTACCACTTTCTGTCCTCAAAGAGGCCTGGCTTACTCTTACTATTCATACATTATATTCAGTCTCTTTATTCTCATTTAAGAAGAATAAACCAGGTCTCCCTCAAGTTGCAGCATGACCCAGAACATACCTTCTAAACAGGGTTAGCCCAGAATAAGCTAAGTCAAAGCTTGGCTATATGATGGGATAATAATAATGCTCTGTCTGACTTACAGGGTGACTGTGACAACCAAATCACTTAATTATGGCAATACAATTTGGCACAGGATGCTAGAATTAGGTTAAAAAACAAAATCTGGTTCCAAATCTCCTTTCAGGAAAAATGCACCCTACATCCCCACAGACCTGTGACAACCCCAGAGGCTCTACAAGAAGCAAAACACAGAAGTGAACTGGGAGACTCAGTGGCCACTGTGGATTCATATCAAGCCCAGTAGTGCAATTCTTCCCATTCCAGAACTCAAGTTGACAAAACCTATTATCTTATGCATTTTTACAGCAGGTGTAAAAACACTAAAGACAAGGAAATAAGCAGGATAAACATTCAACTTTAATTGCAAAGGAAAGGGTGACTATTTTTAATACAATACTTACAATGCAATACTATTTACAATTCTGTGTAAATAGAATTCAGAAAATTTAATTTCAAATCCCAGTTAAATTGAAGAGAGGAAAAATACTAAGACAGGACCTGCAGTTCCAAATTATTCTTTTCAGGTGGTAAATAAAATTAGCTTTTTGTTTCACTAAAGATAGAGTTTCAAATAAGTAAGTATATCAGAAAAACAAAGTACCTGTGAGTTTGATTTTGGATAGTCGAGCCAAAATTCCTGGCAAATCATACACTTGCAGCTTCATCTCTTTCCACCGCTTTTCCTCTTTTGTCTCTTTCCCTACATCTATTGAGTCTTCAATTACTGAGTCTGGCTCTAGTTCTATCAATTCCTTTTCATTTGGCTTTCTGGACAAAGATAGGCTGGGCGGTGAGAGAGGTCTCATCTCATATATTTCTGCTTTGGCTTGACCTGAAGATGTTTTTTCAAGGAAAGGAGATGCTACTGGTTCTGGCTTGGGTCTTACTTGCTGGTTGTGGCTTCTGTTCAGCTGTGTGACATACTAAACAAAAAAGCACACATTACTATAAAACCAAGGCCCCAAATGCTCTCAAATGGTTATTTAGCAACATCTTCAATCAGACCAGCTTTTACATTATTTGAAAGCTTTTCCCACAGCTTTAATATCTGTTAATTCGGCATGTATTTATAGAGTGCTATATGGAAATCACTATACTAAGAGATATGGAGAATAAAATTTAGGCCTCAGTAATGGTTTTCAATTTCTGTAGTTTAGAAAAGCCTAGAAATATATGTTCCTTGAAAGAAAAATAAATTTACTTGTTATTCATCTCCTCCAGAATTTTCCCTGGAGGCTTAACATTCCAAATACAATAAAAAAGTTTTCAATAATCAAGGGCCCAGCCAGGCACAGTGGCTCATGACTGTAATCCCAGGATCCTCGAGCCTAGGAGTATGAGACCAGCCTGGGCAACATAGGGAATGTCTCTACAAAAACAAACAAAAAATTAGTGGGTCATGGTGGCATACGCCCACAGTCCCAGCTACTCGGGAGGCTAAGGCAGGATTGTTTGAGCCTAGGAGATTGAGCTGTGATTGCACCGTTGTACTCCAGCCTGAACGACACAGTGAGACCCTGTCTCACAAAAAAAAAAAAAAAAAAAAGACAAAAAAGAGCCCAAGTCAACCTGTTGACTTTCCATGTTCTCAGGCAAACAGCATAGGGAGGGGCTCAGTGGTAAGGCATAATCCAGGGCTGAATGATTTTTTTTTTTTTTTTTTTTTGAGATGGAGCCTCGCTCTGTTGCCCAGGATGGAGTCCAGTGGCAGGATCTCGGCTCACTGCAAGCTCTGCCTCCCAGGTTCACGCCATTCTCCTGCCTCAGCCTCCCAAGTAGTTGGGACTACAGGCACCCGCCACCAAGCCTGGCTAATTTTTTTTTACTTTTTAGTAGAGACAGGGTTTCACCGTGTTAGCCAGGATGGTCTCGATCTCCTGACCTCATGATCCGCCCGCCTCGGCCTCCCAAAGTGCTGGGATTACAGGTGTGAGCCACAGCGCCTGGCCGGCTGAATGATTTTATAGCAGGGCAGGATGAAGACAGAATGTGGGCTGTAGAGTCAGTCTCTACCACTTACTAGCAAAATTAATAACTACTGCTAATATTTGTGAAGTACTTTACAGTTTTATATAATATATATCTCATTTAATCTTCTAAACAGTTGTCAAAGAAGATAGATCATTATTAGTATCTCCTCTCTTTCTCTCTCTTTAACTTACAGATAAGGAAACTAAGCCTCAGAAATAAACTGATATATCAACAGCCAACAACCAGCTATAGGCAGGCATGGGAGTGGAGCCACCTATGCTGATAACTAGTTAAGTGCCTTTTCCATCACATCACAAAGATTTGAAATTACATACATTAGTCTTAATAAAGAATTATAAACTCATGAATGAAGAGTTCCATTTACATAAAAAAGGGCATTACACATATTTGAATTTCTCCTCTAAATATCCACCATTATCCTTGACCCCCAACTTAAAAAGCCTGAACATTTCTAGAAATTTAAATCTCTTATCAACATATCGAGTTTTATTAAGATTTTAATTTAAAGTTTTAAGTTAAAGATGAGAGAAATGTAAAATAGGACTTTAAATTATAAGTCTGCCGTTCTTTCAGGCTGGCACTATGAGTTTTCAGCTATCATTTTGCCATTCTATGACCCTTTTCCATCTGAGAAAATGCAAATGGCCTTCCTGGCAATTAATAGTAAGTTCCATATTGCCCACAAATTCATGGAGTCAACCTGGATTGACTTATGTTATCAATGTCTATTATAAAATGCTAGAAAATTATAAAAACTGTCGAATTGTTTGAATTTACTCAGAAGTGCAACTGTTAAAAAAGACTTTTAAATGTACTGCTGATTTAAGAAAATGAGAGGGTCACACTGTTAAAGCAATTATTTCTCTATTACTGATATAGTCACAGAACTCCAAAGAATTTTAAAAGATGTATCACAACAGTTCAGCTTTTCCCAATTTTGGCCAGGTCGAAATATGCCACAAGTTTTCAGTCTTTCTCTAAACTTAATCAATAAGTTCAGGATCATACTTTTAACCTCAAACACCAGAATTATTCTGGTTTCGGTTAAGAATAATCAAAACAAGACATTTGGATAAATTTAAGGACACTAAATAAAAGTTCTTTTCAAACAGTATTTCTTAAAACTTTAATTAAATAGGAATTTCTGAAATTCTCTCAACAGAGAAAAAGGCAGAAAGTAACAGAGTAAGAATGGTCTTCTAAACATACCATGCGTTTGAGGAAGCTAAAGTGCTGAAATGTAATCCACTGCTTATTGACATTCCTGAGAAGATGTAAGAACTTGTGAGGGGAGTCCTGTATAGTTCTTCTTTCAAGATACCAGACAGAGCCTCCTACGCAACCTATAATAGAGAGAGAAGTGGAAGAAAGGTTAAATGATTCGTACTTCTTATCAAATGATGACTACACCTCCCCAGAAGCAAAGCCAGCCACTAAGGTAAGCGCTACACTGTGTGATGGGTCAGAGCTTTGAAATAATCTAATCCAGATTTG
This sequence comes from Homo sapiens, assembly GCF_000001405.40. Lineage (NCBI taxonomy): Eukaryota > Metazoa > Chordata > Mammalia > Primates > Hominidae > Homo > Homo sapiens. The sequence continues at coordinate 14,074,171 of NC_000017.11, read as the reverse complement.
TGAATAAATGCAATTTACCAGCCCTACTCATTGTTTAAGTCCGTGTAGGTCTTCAGAAGGGCCAGGGAAAATTTTCATTTCAGGATCACTATGCTTTACTACATTTAATGCTGAAATGACCACGCTACATATCTTCTTAAGAAAATATAAAACAACCCGTTCAGTCAATTTTTCAAAAGTAGAAAATAAAAAGCACAATTTTTCTTAATAAATGACAATAAATTGAAATATATAGATTTCAGGTTAATATTTTAACTAAGTAGGGTAAGACAACAAAAGGGAAGAAGAAACAGTTCTCAATAGAGTATGACTCTATCAGTCTAGTTAGGAATAAACTATTTTTATTGTATCTAAATTTGGCTTTTAGTCATTCTACTGAAACTTCTCTCAAGTATCAACAAATCCAATGCTTCTCTGCCTTGGTCCTCCTCCTACTCAAGCCTCCGACAAGCCATAGAACACTACAGATTCTCCCGAAGGCTTCCATGACACTAAGTGTTCCTGGTTCTCTGCATTCTATTTCTCAGTTGCAGATGGTGTCTATTCTTGCTATGTATGCCACCTTAAGGTATCCATGTTCCCTCTTTCTGAACATTAAATATTGTCCCTGAGCAAATGTAATTATAGGATAATTTCTGATCTTCAAACCATTTCTAGAGTCATCAGGTCTATTTCCATCTCCTCTCTTGGTATCTCTATATGGATGGATTGCAAAATGTCTTTAAGAGTGTTTTATTCTCAACCAATCTCTACTCTGTTCCCTATTGTACATAAAACCATTACTTAAGACTTCAGGAACATCTGAAGACTTCAGGAACATCCTGAACTCTCCTGTTATCAATTAACAATCATCAAGTCCAATCTACTCTGAAATATAGGTCAGATCTGTCCACTTCTTCCCATTTTTACTGATCATCTTACATTCATCATCTTACATTTGGACTATGGTAACGATAGCAGCATTCAAGCCAGTCCTCCTGCCTTCAATACTTCCTTTCCTCTCCAATCCACGTTCCCAGAGGCAACAGTTTTCTTCCTGTTACATATTACTAAATACATATTACTCACACAACCCACCAAAGCAACATCGCCCATGACCCTCCACTGAAAACACCACACGTTTCACAATTTGTTCATCTGTTTCTATCGTTTCCTTATTTGCACACCACTCTGTCAAATTTTCTGTCTTTGTCAACTACTCTATCACTTTATGCCATGTTGCATGACACTTCTTCATGCAAATTGTTCCCATCATCTAATTTTTTAGTTCCTTGATGGCAAGAATTCTCCTTTACTCACCACCTTTGTACAACAGCTAGCAGAGCACTTTTATATAATAAGGAAATGATGTTTGATGACTAGATAGCCCACACAGCACACCTGGACTATGGGAAGGAGAACTATCACAACCCCAAGAAATACATCACAATTTTCTTAGACTGGAGATAAATCACTTCTTCACTGAAATTATGGTCTCAAACCTGAGTTAATTATGACATGCTTGTTTTCCATAAACATGAAAATGTGTTTGTCTTGGAACCACCTTGGAAAATAACTCTCATGATTAAGTGGGTGGATTACCTGAGGTTAGGAGTTCGAGACCAGCCTGACCAACATGGTGAAACCCCATCTCTACTAAATACAAAAAACTAGACAGGCATGGTGGTGCATGCCTGTAATTCCAGCTACTTGGGAGGCCAAGGTTGGGGGATCACCTGAGGTCAGGAGTTCGAGACCATCCTGGCCAACACAGTGAAACCCCGTCTCTACTAAAAATACAAAACTTAGCCGGCCGTGGTGGTGGGCGTCTGTAATCCCAGCTACTCAGGAGGCTGAGGCAGGAGAATTGCTTGAACCTGGGAGGTGGAGGTTGCAGTGAGCCAAGATTGTGCCATTGCACTCCAGCCTGGACAACAAGAGTAAAACTCCATCTCAACAACAACAAAAAAAAGATTACGTGGGTCAAACTGAGATTTTACAGAATGGTAGTAAGAAGAAAAAACAGCTATGAAACTGACATTTCATTTCGTTGAAACATGTCACATTTTTATGAATCAGTGCCTAGAAACTGAAAGACATTTCAGCCTTGTGTAAACAAATGTAAGTTTAGAGATACACAAAGATTATAATAGATACATTAAAATTCTGGAAGCATAAGACCATATCTATTATTCACCATCAACACTGGCTCCTGATTTTAGGACGTTTAAAATTAGGTAAGGAGACAAACAGCTAAAAAATGCTGACATTTTTAATTTTTTTTTTATTTTTTGAGATGGAGTCTCACTCTGTCACCCAGGCTGGAGTGCAGTGGCACGATCTTGGCTCACTACAACCTCTGCCTCCTGGATTCAAGCGATTCACCTGCCTCAGCCTCCCAAGTAACTGGGATTTCAGGTGCACACCATTGCGCTTGGCTAATTTTTTTTTTTTTTTTTTTTGGTATTTTTAGTAGAGAAGGCATTTCACCATGTTGACCAGGCTGGTGTTGAACTCCTGACCTCAAGTGGTCCACCTGCCTTGGCCTCCCAAAGTTCTGGGATTACAGGTGTAAGCTACTGCGCCCGGCCAGTGATGACAGTTTTTAAATGGCTGTAAAATACTTAGAACTTTTAGAAGCAAAATCAGGCATGATACTACTCGATCACTAACACTGTCCCAGTTTACCTTCTCTGCCACCTTGTCCCACCATGCTGCTTCCCCATCAAGCTCTCTTAGTAGATCTTCCAAATGGATCACAGGGAGTTATACAGACCACTTACTAGCAGAGTTTTTGGCAATTATGTTCACAGCTTCAGGGAGTAAGCTGTCTATTAATTCCTTCCATACCACCACTGCAAAGACTGATGCAGCAACAAACCATATGGGCCACATGCAGCCCACCTACTGGAACTGGGCAATTCACAGTAGTCAAGCAGAATTGTCCTATAGCTGACAATATAGAATGGAAAGGCAGAAAAACAGCTAATCTGAAGGATGCATGCTGGAAAAACCTCCATACAGAGAAGATATTTGAAGCAACATAAAAGGATGAGTTCTCTGAGAATGAGTGCCCAGGATCAGGATCAAAGAACATTCACAGTCAGGTATGGTAGAATGTAACAAAGAAGTGATTCAAAAAAGAATCACAGGACTTTAAAAAACAACAAACAACAACTTTTCATTATGGAAAATCACAGCCATGTGTAAAAGCAGAAGAGTACCATGAGCCCCCATTACTTATCCCCAAGCTTCAACAATTACCAGACCCTAGCCAATCTATTCTACCTCTCCACTTTACAAACCAAACAGGACCTTTGAGATCACCTACTTCAATTACGTCATTTTATAGATGAGTAAACTCAATTCCAGAAAAGTCAAATGAATTGCCCTGGAATCACACAGACCAGAAGACAGCCATAAAATAACATTATGAAAAAGAACGAAGAACGCAATTTCATGGAGTCACAGTGTCAACATCACCAGATGGTGCAGAGAGCTTGTGTGTGGTAGGTGACAAGTGAAAAAAGTTTCTGGGATGTGATCAAAAGGCAGTCCCTGGCTTCTCTTATCTGGCCTCTAATATGCACCACCGGCATCACATTCCTCACACAACCATTAGTTAATCATCTAACGTCCTCTTTAAGATCTCCATGGGGACAAATTGCATCCATCCACAAATAACTATTGGGAGCAAACAATGTACACTAAGTACTGTTCTGGGCACTGGAAACACAGAGGTAAACCAGAGATGGACACTGTCCCTGCCATCACAAGGTTTATATTCTAGTTGGGAAAAACAAATAATAAACGAGTATATAAATAAACAAGTATAGACTGTGCTAACCATAATGAAAGAAATAAATGGAATGATGTGAAAAGAAAGAAGTAGGGGGCCCTAGTTTATATAGGGTGGTCTCTATAAAGGCCTCTCTGAAAAGGTGACATTTGAGATGAGCCATTACCAAGAGTCAAGGAAGAACATTCCAGCTCCAATATACATTTGTCACTAGTTTCTTCGAGTGAAAGGATATTAAAGACCACTCTGGCGGTACAGAGACAAAAGTCTGATGGGGACTACACTCCGCTGTCTGCAACTGTCATTATCATCAACGTTGTCATCATGACCCTTTATATTGGAACAAGGCTTCTGAGTGGAAGCAAAGCACCTTCCTTGTCATTGCAAGCCAGTGGCTAGAAGCCGAGGCTCTGATAAGGAGGACTGTGGAACCCCAAGGTTCTGCTCTGCCCTCTCCTCCAGCTTCCACTATCTGAAAACCTAAAGAAGCAGGAAGACACCGCTCTTCCGCAGAAGCCGGATGGAGGAGGCTGTGTGGACCACTAAAGCCACAGTGCAAGACTGGACCCTAGCTCCGTGACCTCTTCACTCCAAGCTACTCCAGAGGTCATTTCCCCCACCACACCGGTGGCCGGCCAACCTCGCCAAGGGCTCCCCAAGGTTGCAGCCAGCCGGAACCACGGCCTCGCACGTGGTAATAAGAGAAGAATTTCCCCCAAGGTCGTGCCCAAGGCGGGTACAGTACCTGTCAGGAGGCGTGAGGAGAGAGTGTGCGGAGATGCGGCCATAATTTACGAGTCTGGGGCCGCTCCCCGGGATCCCTGTGTCCTCTCTCCTCACGGGACGCTGGGCGCCGCCATCTTCCTTCCCCGCCCCCCTGTGGGAGTAGTTCCGGGCCGCCACTTCCGGCGGGCGGGCTCCGAAAGGAGAGCGTGGTGTCTGGAGGTGATCGGAAGGGACTGGCTGGAGTGTGGCGGGCTGACAGGTCTGAGGCCTGAAGGACTTCCGGGAACCGCAAAGCACGGTGTGCCTCCGCTGTCCTGAAGAAAAAGCCGCGCGCGGACGACTGGCCGGCCCGCGCTTGCAGCTCCCAGAAGTTGACAGGCATCCTCCGGTGACCGGGTGAGGTGGGCAGGGTTGGGCTGCAGAGTCCTCCCGGGCAATTTAAAGTTACAGCGGCCGGGCGCTGTGGCTCACGCCTGCAATCCCAGTGCTTAGGGAGACCGAGGCGGGAGGATCGCTTGATCCTGGGAACTCGAGACCAGCCTGGGCAACAAAGCGAGACCCCGCCTCTACAAAAAATGTAAAATTAGCCAGGTGTGGTGGCGCGTGCCTGTGGTCTCAGCTACTCAGGAGGCTGAGGCGGGAGGATCGCTTGAGCCTGGGAGGTCGAGGTTGCGGTGATTGCGCCACTGCACTGCAGTCTGGGCGACACAGTGAGACCCTGTCTCTAAAAATAAATTTTAAAATAAAAATAAAGTTAAAATTAGAACACTTCCCGGTGACAGGAGCATCATGAGGAAATGGTTCTCGTGGGGATGCTTCCACCTCCACGTCTAATCAATTACACTTTACCGTAGTCTCTATCAAATGGGAGCCCAGAGGAACTCCGGGTTACTTGTTTCTGAGCCACACTAAAGGAACTGAATCATCCAGATATCTCCAGATTGCATGTAGAGGTTCAGATTTGGTGGTCTGGAGTGAAATCCGTATTCTAGTTCTGGCCTTTTGACCTTGTTGGAGCAAATTACCTAAGTCCTCTGAACCTCAGTTATCTAGCAATACAATGGAGTAGTAATGGTACATCTTTTATAAGAGGTTGAGAGAATTAGATAAATGTGTTTCATGGGTAGCCAGACACCTACTAGGTACAGGCACTAATAGATTATTACCTGTGTTATCATAAGTGTTGTGATTACCAGGGTAGATCTCAGCATCCCCCAACCCCTCGATCTTCTTTTCAGATTGGGGTTCCACAAGTAAAAAGTAGATTGAAGAAAAGATTCCGCTTTTGAAAAAGAAGAGAAAAAATAGGTAATTGGGTTCTAAAAAGGCCATTTTTTTCTGTGTTTTCAATGATGAGAGGATAGCCGTTTTGGTTCACCTCAACTAACATTGCTAGGCACAGGGGACGCTGAAGAGATTAAGACACCCCCCCCACCCGATTCTGTAGGAGCTTAACACTAGACCAATGAGGGGACAAGAGGTTGTCGATTGTCACTATCAGTGTGATAGGGGTAGTATACAAAGTGCTGCAGAAACCCTGATGAGGTAACATTTCTGTGCAGTTGGTTTAAGGAAAGCTTCAGAGATCTAAACTTGGTGCTCTGGAAGGAACAGTAAGATTTTTACAGCATACACAATGAGAACACTTGGACACAGGAAGGGGAACATCACACACACTGGGGCCTGTCGTGGGATGGGGGGAGGGGGGAGGGATAGCATTAGGAGATATACCTAATGTAAATGACGAGTTAATGGGTACAGCACACCAACATGGCACATGTATACATATGTAACAAACCTGCACGTTGTGCCCATGTACCCTAGATCTGAAAGTAAAAAAAAAAAAAAAAAAAAAAGATTTTTACAGCATAAAAGAAAGGGAAAGGACACTCCATAAAGAGGAAAATAGCATTAAGTACTACGTTAAAAGTTTTTGAACTCTTTATAATTTTCCATGTGCTTTTATAAACACTTGTTGTTTAAACCTAGAGCAAAAGTTATCCTCTCTAAGTCTGGCACATTAAGGCCCAGAGAGTTTTAAGTAATCTGATCAAAGTTACCTAGCTGTTGAGTGCCAGAACCAAGACCTGAGTCCCTGAAACCTGTGAGGGTGTTATTTTCACCATGCCATAAGGCATTACTCACCTAAGCATCTTGAAGAGTCATAGCTTCTGTGATTTATAAAACTTAGTGTTTTTCACCTTGGCAGCCTATCAGAATCAAATGTAGGACTTTAAAAAATTATAGATGTCTAAGCCACCTCTAGACCCATTGAATCTGAGGAGGTGTATGATAGATGTAGAGAGACCTATAATTTTCTCTTTAAAGCACCGCTGGTGATAATGATATACAGAACTGAGAATACTGGATTCCAGCTTTTACTTCACAACACAACCATGTCTAAAAGGTTGATTAACATGAATGTTATATTTCACTAACTCCCAAGTTCTCTAGGCTTATGATAGGCAAGGGGTTTAATAGACATGCACCTTCTTGACCAACAGATACTTCCTTTGTTTTAAATTTTTTTCCAAAAATGGGCACAAGGTAAGGCCAAGTACACAAATGAATGCATAGGTTTTTATTTATTTGTAGAAATTAGAGGCCAGGCGTGGTGGCTCATGCCTGTAATCCCAGCACTTGGGGAGGCCAATGTGGGCAGATCACCTGAGATCAGGGGTTTGAGACCATCCTGGCCAACACGGTGAAACGCTGTCTCTGCTGAAAATACAAAACTTAGCTGGCCGTGGTGGTGAGCGCCTGTAATCCCAGCTACTCTGGAGGCTGAGGCAGGAGAATTGCTTGAACCTGGGAGGCGGAGGTTGCAGTGAGCTGAGATCGCGCCCCTGCACTCTAGCCTGGGTGACAAAGCAAGACTCCGTCTCAAAAAAAAAAAAAATTAGAGTAAATGTTTTATGGAAGAAATGCCTCAGAGATAACACATTCTGGCTTTACTGGCCAGGAAATGCACTTATCTATCTACTATTTATAGTAAAGTTAGCCTAGGCCATCATACTCTCCAGAAAAGTAATCCTTTGGAGATACTTCTGGAATGAAGAGGGTTCCATGGCCATATACATTGACTTGGCCATGAGTAGCTGCAAGGGAAGCAAGGAAAGCTGAAAACAGGGTTGCAATGATTTCGTTAGGCCAGTCTCAATTCATCACTGTGGACCTAGCCATATTGCTGTCTCAAATCAAATTAACGTTAAACCAAGGAAGAAGTGGGGAATAGATTTTGGATGAGTAACTGAAAGAGTATCATAACTGTTTGACCCACAGCTTTCCAAACATTTTGAACACAACCCATTTTATGAAATACCATTAAAACGGGAAATAGGACTTTTAGAGATAGGCCTCAGAAATCCATATAGCTCTCTACCTTTTCATTTCTAGATTTGTAAATACAGGTCCAGAGAGGTTAAGTGATTTACTCTGTGATAGAACATTGACGCTAGACATCCAAGTCAGCATTTTTTCCATTTCATTATATTGTCTTTTTTTTTTGTCCCTCAGTCTACCTGTAGCATCTTCGTTAATGAAATAGTATAGGGCTCCACAATTAGATATGGTATTTATTTGACTTTGTATTTCACATTTCAAGCAAAATATATTTCACAAGCTATGTTTAGTATCACTTGTGGAAAGAGATATAAGTAATCAAAAGCATTATTTTTTAACTAAAATATTAAATAGATGTAAATAACTGAAATCATTATTTTTAGCTAAAAGCATTATATATATTATTCCATAATTACAGAAAGTTGAGTTATATCATTCAATTGTGTGTTAATATGGTCGTTACCACTTACTTATGTTTTTTCTTTTTTTGTTTTTGTTTTTGAGACAGGGTCTCACTCTGTCACCTGTGTGGGAGTGCAGTGGTGTGATCATAGCTCACTGCAGCCTTAACCTCCCAGGCTCAGTTAATCCTCCTGCTTCAGCCTCCTAAGTAACTGGGACTATAAGCACATACCAGCATGCCTGGCTAAGTTTTAAATTTTTTGTAGAGACAGGGGTCTCACTGTGTTGCCGAGGCTGATCTTGAACTCCTGGGCTTAAGCTATCCTTCTGCCTCAGCCTTTCAAAGTGCTGTGATTATAGGCGTGAGCCACTGTGCTCAGCCTACTTATATATTTTTAAATAGTGTTCGTAAAGCTTTGTACCTTGTTTCTTAAAATTAATATTTAAAAAGCTTGAGAACCTAGAAAATGGAAACTAACCTATACTCTAGTTCCATCTTGTCCTGTAGGTTGTCTGCTCCTTTGCTTTCAAATAGGATTTCTTCTCAGAAAGTCTACATGTACTGAATAAAATCTGCAATTTATACCATATCACATGACTTTGAAGTAAATGCTAACTTTTTCTGAGCCTTGCTGAATTCCCACAATAGATAAAGACCCAGCTTTCTCTAGGAGCTAAAAGGAGAAAAAAATCCCAACCTAGTATGCAGGATGTAACCAGTTGACCCAGAGCTGTGTATTTGAAAACAATAGATTTCAAAACCTAAGGGTAGGCTAATGATTTGAATAGACTTTCTCCCAAGCAGACTTACAAATGCCAAGAAGCATGAGGGGAAAAAAACCTTAACATCATTAGTCATTAGGGAAATGCAAAGCAAACCTATAATGAGATATCATTTCACATCCACTTCAATGGCTGTAATCAGAGAGTCAAATATTAACAAGTGTTGACGAGGATATGGAGAAACTGGAACCCTCATAGATTGCTGATGGGGATATAAAATGATGTAGTCACTTTAGAAAACAGTTTAGCTGTTCCTTAATAAGTTAAACGTGGACCTGTATGATCCAGCAGTTTCTCTCCCAGGAATAGACTCAAGACAAATAAAAGCATACATCCACACAAAAATTTATATGTGAATATTCATAGCAGTATTATTCATAATTGCCAAAAAGTGGCTACAACCCAAGTGTCCATCAACTGATTAATGTATAAATAAAATGTTGTATCTCCATACAGTGGAATATTTGGCCATAAAATGAAAATGAAGTACCAATACATGCCATGATATGTATGAACCACAAAAACATACCAAGTATAAGAAGCCGGTCACCAAAGACCACATATTGGATGGTTTCATTTATATGAAATGTCCAAAGTAGTCAAATCCATAGAGACAGAAAATAGGTTAGTGGTTGCCTATGGCTGGGAAAGTGGGTAGAGGTAAAAGAGAAGTGGCTGCTAATGGGTACAGGGTTTATTTAGGATGGAGGAGGATGAAAATGTTCTAAAATTGATTTTAGTGATAGTTGCACAACTCTGAATATGTTAAAAATCATTTAATTGTACACTTTAAATAGGCAAATTGTGTAGAATGTGGATTATCTACCAATAAACCTGTTTTTAAATTAGGAAGAGCTACTCAAGGAGATCAAAGGTCCTTGTGTTGGACAGACTGCTCATCATCTACCAATAGCTCTTCCCTCCTCATGTAGAGTGGAAGATGTAACTGTCCAGAATAAAGGCATTTCCCAGCCTCCCTTGCAGCTGGGTGTGACTTTGCAACTGATTCTCAACAGTAGGATGCAAGCGTAGGCAATGTGTTTAAGTTCCGAGAATCCTTAATAATGAGATACCAGCCACATGTTGAAGACAGCAGAGCAATAAAATAGGCGGAGCTTGGGTCTCTACTGCTTGTGGAACTGCTGTATCAGTCCTAGACTGGTTTCATGAGAGACAAATAAACTTCTAACTTGTTAACATGGTGTTTGGGTTTTCTGCCCCCTGTGGTACTGCTTAATTCAAACAATATACCATTAATGTGAATATAGATTAATAGTAAAGTTAATGAGCTACTGTGCCTAGCTCATAGTCAGGTCAAAAGCGATAGCTGTTTCTATTAAATGACTCTCCATATGCTTTAATAAGCAAGCAATGACAAGAAAATGTTAATAGTTTTTTAAATATGTGTTTTCAAAAGGAAAATTTAGGGGTAATAATATTCAAAAATTTATTGTAATAAAGCAATTTGATGAAGTTTATTCATCAAAATGAAGCAATTTGATGAATCTAGAGAAAGCAAAATTTAAAAATAAATAAGAATTTTTATGTGCCTCCTATGCTATTTAGGAATGAGGGTACCATGAGCTAGACAATTGATCCCAATTTATCAGACCTAAGATCTGTGATGTGGAAAATGGGAACTTCCTTATTTCATGGAAATATTCCTAAAGACCAACTTACCTTGTTCTTGTTCACCATGCTAGCATCTCAAAATTTGTTCACCAGACTCTACTTAGAGTTCTCCAGGATAAGGGTGCCCCTCATCCCCAGAAAGGAATGCTAATATGGATAGGTTAAGAACAAGGATATTAGTGAGCATGCTCCTGAGAGTCAGGCTTTTGGAGAGATGATGAAAAGGGATGAACATCTGGGTTTTCACTTGACATCCTCTCTTTGGAGTCAGTCTCTTGATTTTCCTGACCTTTCGGTTTTTCTCTCTCAAAATAAACCCCCGCCCCTACCCATCATCCTTGATTGTTCTTCCCCTAGTCCCATCACATTGGGAAGGTGATGACAAGACGAGTCTGAATATGTCTCTTGCTTGAGATGGGTCTTCTGCTTTGAAAGAGGCCCAGGGAAAAGGAGGGTGCTCAGGCCCCTCCTTGTCAGACCCACCAGATCTAACCCTGCTCACCAAAGTTAGGGCTTCCACATAAGCATATGGGGCCAGAACCTTAATGTGGTAATAAACAGTGGCCTCTCTCTGGCCTTGTCTTCCATTGGAGGCTTTGTGAAGGTCCTGTAACTACAGTAAGTAACCCCAGTGTGGGAAAGCATAGGGTATTTTAAGATTTCTTCATTTGACTATCTCTTCATGACATAACACTACTGAATTAGCTAGGGTCCAGTCAGGAGACAGAAATCACACCAATTATTTGAAAGAATTTAACCTAAAGAAAGGTTAATGTGCTATAAAGTTGTTAACTAGGTAATCCAAAGGGCAAAAATAAAGTTAGGGTGCTGGTAACTAAGAAGCAGCTACCACCTCTATGGCTGGGGAAACAAAAAGAAGTTGGAATTATTACAACTTAGAAACTTAGAGGAGTGGAAACTCAGGCTGTTAAGGAGGGACACTGCACCCCTGGTGCTCTTGTCACGGAGCAGGAGCTGGTAGAGCTGGTTCTTTATGTGTTGGGAAAGCTGCAAATGGGGCTCAGCTGCTGCTGGGAATTCTAGAAGCTTTGGAGTGGTGCTCATAGGAATTGCAGGCGGACAGGAAGCAATAGGAGGAGCGAGTCCTCCTTGGCCCAGTCTTGTAGCATTACTAAGGCCTCATTGGCAGAGATTGTGGTTTGCAGGAATGTGGCTTGCAGTCTGCCAGCTCTCGGCACAATATGGAAGGGTAGCTTTGGAGCCAGGGCAGATAACTGATGGGAGTTATCTGAGTAGATGTTCCACTCTAAGTGTACAGATTAGAGTTTACAGTCAGTCGCCTCTGAGACTGAGTAACTTAAATCAGTTCCTAAGATCTCTTAATAGTTCCTCTGCAGTGACTGATAACATCAGGCTAGGATCCTAGTCCAAGGTCACTTCAATCAGATATTACACCTCAGCTAAAACCTGCCAGCCACCCTTTTCCATCTTTACTCCCCAGGGCTCGATTCCATGCATGAGTTTTGGGATACCAAAACTGAAAAGTGCAGTACTGGACTCAGAAAAAGGAAAAAGCAGGAGGGAAATGCACTATAACAAATTCTATTCACTGCCATGGTGTTCTCCCTTTTAAATAAACAGACCTTGATTTTGTTAAGGAAAGCAATATGCCAGGAGATGAATCATGATTGCTTTAAGTTTATCAGAGTATTCTCGGTCACATTTCCGGAGTTTCTTACAGCCAGTGATGGCTATGTTTCTCAGTTCTGGCTAAAGAGATATAAGGAGAGACTGGCTGGTAAGGTTTTGGTGGATAATTTTGTTTACCATTGAAAGAGCTGGGCACGCGAAGGGAGGTGCTCTTTCTGCCTTTTTTCTTTTATACTCAGGAGGCAAGACTGTGGATGTAATTGCTGGAACTGAGGCAGCTATCTTGCAATGATGAGGTGACAAGCATGAGGACAAGTAGACATGCCAAGGAAGGAAAAGCAGAAAAAAATAGAGCCCAGCTTCTTGAGGAAATTGTTGAGCCGCTACACCAAGTCAGGAACATCTGTCTGCAGACTGATGGCTACAGGTGTATTATGATGCTTAAGCTACTGTTTAGTTGTCTGTTCATTTCATCCTGGTTGATGCATTCAGTGAGTGAGGCAAGGAGTGAGCAACCTGACATCAAAGCTTGCTGAGGACAGGTGACATGGACAGACAACTAGAATCATGTCAGCTATCCAAAAAAGGATATCACATTTAACAAAAAACAGATTCGAATATGGTGGCTGTTTCTAATATGACTTAAATCCACAATGGTTTAAATAATGCAAAAATAAAAGAAATTTTGTGCAGGTTCCTGCCTTGTTTCTTGCCATTTGCTGTGTGTCCAACTCCTCTGATGAGGTCAGAATGTCTGATTTCCCACACCAAGGAAAGCATTTCTTGCCTTATTCCCTTCTTGACATCTTAGAGCTTCATGAAGAATACGGTGAAATGTTCTAAGAATAGCAGGAAACTAACCTTATTGGGCACTACTGATTGAGGAAATCATAACCAGTCAGAACATTCTCACAGATACATTTTCTCTTAGTTATGAGGTACTCTTAAAAATGAGTCTTATGTATTCTGGTAGATGACTTGTCAGTCAGTATGACCTGTCAATCAAATGACCTGTCAATTTTTATAGTCAATATTATAAAAATAGAGAATAACATCTTACAAGGAGAATCACTAAGGGCATATTAATAAGTAGAATCCCAGGTAAGTTATTATCAGAACAATAACCATTAACAAGCCACTAGGAGGGGAAAGCATGAAGAGCATTCTTTTCTAAAATCAGCCACTATTTCTAATCTATGATCCTTCTTTCTCCCTGCATTTGTATCTTTTTTTTTTTTTTTTTTTCCCGAGACTGAGTCTCGCTCTGTCGCCCAGGCTGGAGTGCAGTGGCTTGATCTCAGCTCACTGCAAGCTCCACCTCCCGGGTTCACACCATTCTCCTGCCTCAGCCTCGTGAGTAACTGGGACAACAGGCGCCCACCACCACGCCTGGCTAATTTTTTGTACCCTTAGTAGAGACGGGGTTTCACTATGTTAGCCAGGATGGTCTCAATCTCCTGACCTTGTGATCCACCCGCCTCGGCCTACCAAAGGCATTTGTACCTTTAAGACAGTCAATAGCAGATGAAACTGCTGATTTCTTTTTTTGAAATAAATGTCAATGTACGTTGCAAAAATGCACTATTTACTTAGCACTTACTGTGCTAACAATAATACTAATAATGCTTAATCATGACATCTCATTCACTTTTTCAAAAGAACCCAGATACATGGTATTCTCATGTTCAGATGAAAAGCTAAGACCTGGGCTGAGCACGGTGGCTCATGCCTGTAATCCCAGCACTTTGGGAGGCCAAGGTGGGCGGATCCTGGGTGACAAGGCAAAACTCCATCTCAAAAAAAAAAAAGAAAAAAGAAAAGAAAAGCTAAGATCTTAAAAGGTTAAATAATTTCCCCAAGTTCTCATAGCTAGAAAGTAAGTGCCGCAGCTAGAATTTAAACCTTTCTGATTCCAAAACATGTGTTCTTAATCCTCCTAATGGACCATCTCCCATATTTTATATATTATGGAGGTATTGTTGAGGTATTACAATGCCTCATTATCTGGAAGTTTAGGGCCTAGACTCATTTCATCAAACTGGTGAAGTTATTGAAGTTCACCTTGAAAAAGTTACTCAAGTTTACATTTTCTGACTTGGTTCAATTTTCTTTTATTTCAGTTTCCATATTTATAGAACAGGAATACTAATGCGAGGTCTACACTTAAATGACATTGCACTTTCAATACTTAATGAGAGTTCATATCTGGATACCTTCAAACAATACCCATTCCACCAAGACCCACTGAATCAAAGATTTTTTGTGGTGGGCCTGAGAATCCACAGTTTAAAAAAAATGACTATTGTGTTATAAAAATCATACAAGTTTTGTATAAAAATTTCAAGAGTATAGAAAAACTGTTTCCAGGAGAGAGGACTATCCAAGGAAGGGGGTGGTGGTGATGGTAATGGTGGTGTTCAGGATGATGACAACAAACAACCCATTTTATTTATTAGCTAAAATGTGCCAGAATTTATATATCTTGTCTCATTTAATCACATTTAATCTTCTCAGCAATCTTATAATCTTACAACTTTAAACACATTATCATCTACATTTCATGAAGTCATTGAAGCCCAAAGTGTTTGAGAAATCAGTTGCTTTAATTTCCTGGGGCTGCTGTAATGTACTGGGTAACTGTAAACAACAGATGCCTATTGTCTCACTCTTACCAGGCTGGAAGTGTCCAAGGGGCCATGCTTCCTCAGAAACCTCCAGCAAGGATCCTTTCTTACCTCTTCTAGCTTCTCGTAGCCCCTGGCATTCTTTGGCTTGTGGCAGCAAAACTCAAGTCTCTGCCTCCAACTTCACATGGCTGTCTTTCCTTGGGTCTGTCTTCCCATGGCATTCTCCTCCCTAGGTGTCTGGGTCCAAATTTCTCTCTTCTTAAAAGGACACCAGTCTTATTAGATTAGGGTCCACCCTAATAACCTCACCTTAATTTGATTACACCAACTAAGATCACATTCAGGCCGGGTGTGTGGCTCACACCTGCAATCTCAGCACTTTGGGAGGCCAAGGTGGGAGGATTCCCCGAACTCAGGGGTTTGAGACCAGCATGGGTAACATAGTGAGACTCTATCTCTACAAAAAATTTTTAAAATTAGCTGGGCATCATTGTGAGTGCCAGTAGTCCCTTCTACTTGGGAGGTTGGGGCTGGAGCGTCCCTTGAGCCCAGGAGATAGAGGCTGCAGTGAGCCATGATCCCACCACTGCACTCCAGCCTAGGTGATAGAGTGAGACCCTCTCTCAAAAAAAAAAAAACAAAAACAAAAACAAAAATGACATTCACAGATACGGGGGGTTAGAACATCAACATATCTTTTGGGTAGATACAATTCAACCCATAACTTTGCCCAAGGATACAGTGGCTAGTAAAGTATGGAAATTCGATTTTAACTTAGGAGATGCTAGAATCTAGCCACTTGGCCGTCAGCCACCACATATTCCATCTCAGTGGCATGTGGTTGGTGAAAATGTGTACTATGCCTTGAGAAAGGGAGAAAGTATAATAAATGAAAGAAATCTTTCAGCTATTCAGTAAAAATTTATTTACAGGAGAACAGAACTTTGGGTTGGTTTCAGATGTTTCCTCTGCAACAGTTAGATGCCAAACGACTCCACTGTTTTTGAGGAGGGAAAAGTTATGAGCTAAGAATGTTATAACCAGCAATTTGTCTTTCACTAGGACAGGCGAGCATTCTCAAAAATGCAAGGGCTCAGAAAATATTCCACTTGTTGAAAAACTATTCAAAGATACATTCCAGTGGTTCATAGGGTTTGGAATTATATAGACAAGAAAAAAAGTCAAAAATAATTTTGAAACCAACATAGTATTGCCAACTTTTAACATTGTAAGGGTGTTTAAAACATGTCAAACTACCATCTAGTGTTAGAATCATTTCATAAAAGACAGATTATTTTAATGCCAAAAAAATTTAAAAGATACATAAGCTGATGGCTATTTAAATAGAATAATTTAGCTTTATGAAAAAAATCCTTCAATATTTTGCCCCAGAGTAGTGAAGAACTTTTTCCATAGATAAGATCTCTTCTATGAATGGGTGTTTGAAAACCAGGAACTGACAGGAACACAAAAAGAACATGATCTGAAAATGAGCTCTGGCTAGCACTCTGATTTATGCAACTGAGGGAAAAATGTTATCTGAAACTGACTCTAATCATTTCCATTTTCTAAGGAAAGTTGCAGTGGGAAAATCAATCCTTGCAGTACTATTCCCTTCCATGTACAGAGGGTGGTGGAAGGTCCAGAGAAGATAACCATTTCCCTCAACAGACATCTGGGTTTCCACTTAGCGTTTTCCAAATTCTCTTGGAAAGATCTATGAAAGGACCACTTATTTAAAATAATGGTTTGAACCCACACATTTAGTCAGTTCTCCCTCCCAAAGTCTCTATATTTAAAAACAAACAAACAACAAAACAAAACAAAACAAAAACCTGTGCATTTGAATCCAGGTAGCGTCCCCTTGGCTATAATTTCTAAGAATTTCTGCAAATTAGAGTATAGATGAGGTTAGATTGGGAAAATGGCCCATTGATTTGTGATTCATGACATATATAAGGTGAGACTCATCTAGGGAGAAAGAAGAAGGGCCACTAAGCAAAATTTAACCAATACCTCCCTCCCCAAACTTGGAGCAAGAGGACAGTTAAAATCTGGGGGTAAGTGCATCTGGAACAAACACAGAAGCTACTTGAAGCATTCAATTGCAGTTTACACTTGGAATGAATTCCCAGGCTGAATAAAGCAGGGCAGTTGCAAAACTGCCTTAAAACTAAGGAAGTGGGTGGTTGTTGGGGAGAATTGCTCTGAAACATTGCCCTAGAGCTCTAGGTAACTGAGCTAGAACTACAAACAGGAATAGAGTATCTCAGGCAGAGGAGTGACATTCCTACCCCATATATCTGTTCCCTCCCTGACCTCCTAGGCAAATGGGCCTCCTATCTGGTATAGGGTAATACTATGGTAAATCAAAGCATGATGGCCTCCATTTAAGAGCATGGGCTCTGAACTCTGCCTACGTTTAAATACAAGCTCCTGTATGTACTAGGTCTTTAACTATTGGCAAGATATTTAACTTCTGTGCCTCAACTCATCTTTAAATGGAGACAATAGTAGTACCTAGATCAAGGGTTTGTTTTTGAGTGTTGGTGAGTTAGTGGAAAAGTTATGAGCTAAGAATGTTATACCCAGTATGTAGATTACTTGGCTCTGTAACCAGAATTTAGCGTTCAGCAAATGCAGCCACTATTATTGATATTACCACTATTATTATTACCAGCATTACCAATATCTACTCTGAAGTAGATATTATTATACACATTTTATATGCAATGAAACAAAGATTTAGAATGGTTTTTCAAAAGGTGTTTAATTTCAAATAATTAATGATTGATGGGTTTGAGCATTGAATCTAGATCTGACTCAAAGCTAGTATTTGGTTCCTATTGCTCCTATAACAAGCACCACAAACTTGGTGCTTGAAACAACACAAATATATTTTCTTGCAGTTCTGATGATCAGAAGTCCTAAATGAGTCTCACTGAGCTAAAAATCAAGGTATTGGCAGGGCTTTGTTCCTTCTGGAGGCTCTAGGGAAGAACTCATTTGCTTGTCTTTTCCAGTTTTGAAGGCTGTCACATGCATTCCTTGGCTTGCAGCCCCTTCCCTCTTCAAAGCCAGTAATGGCTGATCAAATCCATCTCCTGCTGCATCACCCTGACACTGACTCATCTTTCGCCTTCTTCTTTTACATTTAAGGACCCTTCTGATTACACTGGGCCCAGCTGGATAATCCAGGATAATCTCTCTATTTTAAGGTCGGATGATTAGCAGTATTAATTCCATCTGCAAGCTTAATTCCCCTTTGCCATTTAGCCTAACACATTCACTGGTTCCTGGGATTAGGATGTGGACATCTTTGAGGGGCCGTTATTCTGCCTACCACAAAGCCTATGTCACTATGTTATTTAAATCTCCCTATCCCTCCATCTGAGCTAGAAAGATAAGACTTAATCTTTGAAGGAACTTATTCCAACACTCCCAGTGTGATAAACCTAGATCCTCCCCCTTTTCCCTATGCAGGCAAGATAGGCAAACACAAAAAATTCAATACTTCAAAAGAAGAGGACCAATCTGAGGAATCGACATATTCTTTATTTGTCACAGAATTTCTACCATAAATGGAAGGAAATAAGTGCAGAGGTATATCATTTCTATATTCAAAAGTGCTCTTCTCATATTAGCAATAGTTACTTAGAACTATTGAAAAATTTCCCTGTCACAATAATAACTCCACATTTGGAAATAAACTGAATAAGCAATTTGCAACTTTTACTAAGGGACTACTCTATGGTAACAAATAAGTCCCCAAATCTCAATGTCTTAACACAAACAAAAGGTTTATTTCCCACTCACTTCAAGCCTGATGCAGGCTGAGTGACTTCAAGATTGCCATCCTTCAAGTGGAAACTCAAAGATCCAAGAGGCTTTCACTTTGCAGCTTCACCATTCTTAATATGTGGCCTCGGTGGTTACCAACCTTGGAGAATAGTGTGAGGGACTCACTCTTGATTCCTTCTGACCATAAGTGGCAAATGCCTTTTATACTCACAGCCCATTGGTTAGAACTAATCACATAGCCCCAGTGTAACTGCAATGCAAGGGCATCTATGTAGGTGAGCCATGGAATATACAGTGAGTGCACCTCTGCTCCAGGAACATAAAATATTTGAATAAAATGAAAGGTATACCATGTTTCTGTGTTAGGAGAGGTAATATTGTAACGATGTTAATTCTCTCCAATATAATCTGTTGCTGTGACATGATCCCAGACACAGTAAGTAATAAAATGATTCCAGAGTTTTCTGGGAAGAATAAATAAACAAGTATAGCCAAGAAAAGTTAGAAAATAAAATGGGATAAGCCAAGGTTCTCCACTAATATATTAAATTTACTGCAAAGCTTCGATAGCTAAAATAGCTTGGTGGTACTTGCCCAAGAATGGATAACAAGATCATTGGAACAGAATGAAAAGTGTAAGAACAGACCAACAAATATATAAGCATGGTGCATATACTACTGGCATGTTAAATCAGTATGGAAGAAAGTGCTTATATGAAAAACAATGGAGGGACCTCAGAACCATTGCTTAGGAGGAAAAATGTTATGTCCATACCTTATGCCCTACTCCAAAATTTATTTCAGGTCCATTAAAATTTTTAAAAGAGTTAATAGGAGAAAATATAGGTTTTGGAAAGACAGTCTAAGCATGATTTAAGTGAGAGAATTCATGAAGATAAAAATGCATGCATTTTTTAACCTAAAAATTCCATGTCCCAAATAACAAATCAAATTAAAAAGCAATAAAAAATGAGGAAAGAGCTGGGCATGGTGGTGTGTGCCTGCAGTCCCAGCTACAGGGGAGGCTGAGGAGGCAGGACCACTTGAGCCCAGGGGTTTGAGAAAGCCTGGGCGAAATAGTGAGACCCTGTCTCTTAAAAAAAAAAAAGAATTGAGGAAAGAAATTGTATCCTATATGACAAATGGATACCACCATTAAAATGTAAACAGTCTTAGAGATAAATAATAAACACACAACATTACATGAACAGAAATGTAGTTATACTTTCAATAAACACAATAAAAACTTAAATATCATTAGTAATAAGAGAAATACAAATTCCAATAAAATGATATAGTCTTCTACCTGTTGAATCAGCAAAGATGGAAATAATCACTCAGCACAGTTAGGGTGCAGGATGATGAGGTGTGTAAATCTGTATACTCTTTCTGAAAGGTCGTTTGTATTAGAGGTCTCAAAATGTTCATCTTCTTGCATTCTACTTGTAAAATTTATCCTAAGGAAATAATAATAGATTTGTAGA
Organism: Homo sapiens; assembly: GCF_000001405.40. NCBI lineage: Eukaryota > Metazoa > Chordata > Mammalia > Primates > Hominidae > Homo > Homo sapiens. Next base: position 14,053,985 of record NC_000017.11, on the reverse strand, counting down.
AATAATTATCTATAAAAATATTCATCCAAGCTCAGTTTCAGAAGCAAAAATTTGAAAAACAACCTAAATGTTCAATAATCATTCTTAGTAAATATTCAATAACACCATATGTTTTGATTGAATAAATTGTTTTATATCCATATGTGGAAACGTTGTAAATATTTTTATAGATGTTGTTTATAGGCATTAAAATGTACATGGGCTATATTTGAATAAACAAGGCAAGTTATATACAGTATGATTCTATTTTGATTTTGAAGAGTTTATATATGCATTAAAATCTAGAAGCATCTATTTAAAATTCACAGTAGTTACCTCTACATAGTAGAAATAAGGCAATTTTAAATCTTTTTTATTGTATTTTTACAAATGTTACACCATCAGCATGTCTTACTTGATTAAAAACTGGAGCGGGTGGAGGAAAAAAGTGTGGGATTCCTGGAATAACCACTGCCAAGATCTGAGGCATGGATCAAAAAAGCAAACGGCTGTTTTGCCCTATGGCTGCCTGAAAACACACACATATTTCAGAGTTGGCCACATATTTTGTGGTAGCTTTGTATTCCAAGGGCTGAGTTTTGCAAACAAACTGAGCAAAGTACAGCGTGTGCCCCTTCAGGTGGTTTTTGGAGCTCATCAGGTATGAGTAACACTAACTCATTTATCTTTGGATGAATTTGCACGGAGCACTGAGGTGTTGACAGAACCTAAGCTGAGAACAATTTTTATTTATATCTGCAAAAAATAATTCATGTCTCTGTAAATCTAGGATTTTCTCCTAATTTGCTCACCGTTTGCAAACATTTGCAGTTCTCCCCACTGGTGATCCCTGGTTTGGCTTGGCTGGGCTTGAGCAAATGAAAAGGAACATAAGACAGTGAATGGAGCTGAATGCTGTGATTCACACATGCTGACATGTTGGAAATGCTGAAATCTGTAGAGTTCTGTTTTGCATCTTCATGACAAATTGATATCTGCATTGTTTATGTTACAAGGTGTCTCAAACTGTGTAACTCTGTGTGTGTGTTTGTGTTTGTGGGCCAACTGGGTTGAGGCGGGAACTTCCTAATGTCCTGGCTAGGTGCTGAGCCATCTGTAACTATTGAATGTCTTTATGGAACATATAAAACTTTCCACCAGCCTCTGTTTATTATGGAAAATTTCAAATACAGAGGCAGAGAGATTAGTATAATGACCCCCTGCTCACTGTCCTAATTTGAGTAGGTGCAACAGGCAGGCATAATTGCTTCAGCAATTATCAACTCGTGACCAATCTTATTTTCTTTATAATCCCTACACTCTCCCATGACAACTATTAGGTGGTACTAATGCCAGCAGATGTGGAGTTCAACATATGTAACAAACCTGCACGTTGTGCACATGTACCCTAAAACTTAAAGTATAATAATAATAAAATTAAAAAAAAAAAAGCCTTAGACCCTGACATCTTATTGTAAATTGTGGGATGAGAAAGAATTAAGCAAAAGATTAGGGAGTCAGGTAGACATAAACTGAATCAGGCTCTACCATTACTATTTGCTAGTTAATTGATTTTGGGCCACTTAACTTTTCTGAGCTTCGTCTGTAAAATATAATTACAGAATGTAATTTATAGAACAACTAAATTAAACCTATGGTATAATTAAAGTACCAACAAATACCACTCTTTGGATCTAGCAGGTACTTGGTCACTGTTATTTTATTACTGTTACTGCTTCTTTGTCTAGAGTAGAAAATCAAAGTATAGAAAGACAAAGTTAACCAGAGTATGAAAATTTCCTGATCGGCTGATAAATATGAGTTACACATTGGCTGAGGTCAATAGTCAGCAAATGAGTGCCTTTTGAGAGTAAAAGCTGCGCCTGGACATTATTTATACTGTGAGGTGATGTTTTCTCAGTATAAAGGGTAAACGCATATCTCTTTGCCCCAAATTTCACCAACCTTGGCCTGTACAGATGTGTGTTTTTTTTTTTAAATTCCCCTACTAACCAGCCATTTATTTGGGTTAAATTCTGTAGACACAAATCAGGTGATCATTTAGCTCTTATCAGTGGGTGTCATTTAGCGTTTCAGCCTAAGTAGTCATCCATCTATCAAAGAAATAGAAAACAGATGGGAAGCAAGGATGCTGGGGAAGATAGGAAGACTGAGCAGCTGCTTCTCAGGGTGGTTTGACCTACAGAGTGCATGAGGTGCGGTAGGGGTACCAAGGGGGTGAGGCTCTGGGTAGCCATTTGGAAATGTGATTCTCCTGGATGGTGTGTGCGGAATAGAAAAAGTCACAGAGCCTGAGATCAAGGAACACTGTGGATAAATGTCAACATGTGTTCCTGTTTGGTTTGGGGTCTCTGTGAACTCAGAGATGCCTTCCAACTCAGAAACAAAAGAGTTATATATTTTTAAAGAGGTCAATTAATTTCTTTTTTTCTTATTTTATTTCATTGAGATGGAGTCTCGCTCTGTTGCCCAGGCTGGAGTGCAGTTGTGCGATCTCAGCTTACTACAACCTCTATCTCCCGGATCCAAGCGATTCTCCTGCCTCAGCCTCCTGAGTAGCTGGGATTACAGGTGCCCGCCACCATGCTCGGCTAATTTTTTTGTATTTTTAGTAGAGACAGTGTTTCACCATGTTGGCCAGGCTGGTCTCGAACTACTAACCTCAAGTGATCTGCCCGCCTGAGCCTCCCAAGCTGCTGGGATTACAGGCATGAGCCACCATGCCCAGCCTTTATTTCTTATTTTTTAAGCTGACAAATAAAATTGTATATATTTATGGTGTACACTACAGCATGATGTTTTGAAACATACATACATTGTGGAATGGCTAAACCAAGCTAACTAATGTATGCATTAGCTCACGTATTTATATTTGTGGTGAGAACACTTAAAATCTACTCTTTTAGCAATTTTCAAGCACACAATGCATGGTTATTCATTGCAGTCACCATATTGTATAGTAGATCTTTAAACTTATTCCTCCTGTCTAACTGAAATGTTGTATCCTTTGACCAACATCTTCCCAATCCCCCCCACCGCCAATTACTTTCTCAGTGACTCTTTCTAATTAATTTCTAAAAGGTTATACCTCTTAGTAACTGTGCTTACTTCAGTCACTGAAGCACAGTGAAGCGTGCTGCTCAGTTCTTCGTGGGAGAACCCGCCTCTGCTTCATCTGCAAGGAGTGCAGTCAGCTAATAGCCTCCAGCTCCTGCACCTTTGGATCCAATTCAGCTTTTGAGCTGAGGCCATGCTCTTTGAAGAAAGGCACCAGTCAGTGACTGAGCATGACACAAATCCTAGGGCCTGGCCATTTCTGCCCAATGTGAGGCTCCTCTAATGGGTCATCTTTGGTCTGAGGCTCCCGATCAGACTAGCCTAAACTTTGACAGCCCAGCATCAAAATCAGAGGCTCTCCCTGCTAAATCCTGCTTCTTTCCCTCCCTTTTTCATGAGCGTCAGATCAGCATCATGGTCTGAAAGCTTTCTATGTAAATCTATATTAGGAAAAAACAGAGTCTTGCTCTGTCACCCAGGCTGCAGTGCAATGGCGCTATCTCCGCTCACTGCAACCTCCGCCTCCTGGGTGGCAGTGATTCTCCCGTCTCAGCCTCCTGAATAGCTGGGATTACAGGCACCCACCACCATGCCCGGCTAATTTTTTGTATTTTTAGTAGAGACAAAGTTTCACCTTGTTGGCCAGGCTGGTCTTGAACGCCTGACATCAAGTGATCCTCCCCCCTCGGCCTCCTAAAGTGCTGGGATTACAGGCATGAGCCACCACGCCCGGCCAAAAGTATATCTTAATTAGGAAATAAACTTTATAACCCGTCCCAGCCTGTCTTCATCACCATCCTCTTCAAGTAATAACTAGGGAAATTTTGGTGTAAATACTGGTGAGCCAAAGAGAGTCTAGAAAGGGAGTCAAATAGGAAAATTACTGCCTCAATTTTTTTTTTCATTCATCTCTCCTGGCCATTGCTTCATAGAGAAGATAACCAGAGATCTTTATTTACCATGCCTGTATTTATTCACTGGGCTGCTGCTTTTAAAAAGGGTGGATCAAGATATCTTATTTTGTTTCAAACATTTTTTCATACAGTTTCACCTTATCTTCTCATTTGGACCCCAAAACAATGTGTTCCTTAAAAGTGGGAAAGCAAACACATCGAGTTTAGATCACTTAAGGTATTTTAAGCACTGAAAGAATAATCAGCACTAAATATTGATTATTGTTTTACCAAGGAGTTATAGAATATTTGTCCTATTAGAAAACTTTATCTGCTGAAAATGTAAGCCTTAGTGGTATCTCCACTATTATCAGAAAAATTTGAATTTGCTTATGAACTCCTTAAAGCCTGATTGTGAGAATCATGCCACTAAAAATAAAGAAATAAACAAGAAATAAACCAAAAGAAAATAACCCTTTTTCAAATGAACGCATCATTTGCCAAGTTAAGCAAAGGAAAAAAAAGAACATAGTGCTGATTTACAGTGTGATGTTAAGTGGTATTAGAAATCTCTTTCTCAAAAATAAACAGTGGCACAACCAGGGCAGAAGGAAGTGTTAATAGGTACGATTCTCAGGCTAGAGATGCAAGGAAGCGAGAAAAGTGTCTTATTTCCCCCTGTGACAGCTTATATTCTGTTCCAAGCTTCTAGTCTACCATGTTGGAGGAAACAAACTTAGTCAACTCCAGGTCCACTTCCCTTTCCATTGGTCTCTGTCCCTGTCAGTCCGGGTGAACTTAGATAATAGGAAGATGTGCATTTGTCAGGAGAGTGGAGTGGAAGTCAGGTCAGGGGGCAATATGTGCTGATTATATGGATGTGGGTTATGATTCTCTTCCCCCTGATCACCCCCCGCCAGCTATTCTCTTCATGTTTCCTCCATGACCTTAAAGGTCCCTGCTGAGTTGTCCCTCTGTCCTTCTGTAAGGCCCCTCAGATGCAGTGGTTTCTTTGCTACTCCTGCTCCCTTCTTGGGCACAGGAAACTGCACAAGGTGGAGGCCCCTTTTGCCTAGAAGTGCCCCATAGAGTTGCTTCTGAAGGATCTTCATGGCTTCCCAGGAATCTGTGTGGGGAATGCAGATCATGTCATATAAATCTACCTCCTCTCCTTAATTCCCTTGGCCTAAATTGAGGTCAAGAAACAGAGCCCTTTCTTAGGAATCCTGCATAGGTCTCCACAAACACATATGGTGCCTTTGTGGCAATTAGAAAAAAGCACCAGGGCTGGGCGCGGTGGCTCATGCCTGTAATCCCGCCGAGGCGGGCGGATCACGAGGTCAAGAGATCGAGACCATCCTGGCCAACATGTCTCTACTAAAAATAGAGAAATTAGCTGGGCATGGTGGTGTGGGCCTGTAATCCCAGCTACTCGGGAGGCTGAGGCAGGAGAATCGCTTGAATCTGGGAGGCAAAAGCTGCAGTGAGCCAAGATCACATCAGTGCATTCCAGCCTGGTGACAGAGCAAGACTGTCTCAAAAGCAGAAAAAAAAAAAAGAAAAAGGAAAAAAAAGAAAGAGAGAGAGAGAGAAAGGAAGGAAGGAAGGAAGGAAGGAAGGTAGGAAGGAAGGAAGGAAGGAAGGAAGGAAGGAAGGAAGGAAGGAAGGAAAAAAGGGACACCAGAGCTGGATGGTCCCAGCAGAAAATAATGCCCCCTGTGGATGCATATGGCTATGCAGGCTGGTTGGTGAGCAGAAGGACCTTGTGCCAAGAGAATGGCCTCCTTTTCTTGCTGGTGGTGGTTGTTGCAGGAAAGTTGAGAGTTGGAGCCTTGGGGGTGGGAATTGCCATCCCTCACCTAAAATCTCATTGCTTCTCTAATCACAAGGAAGGACATTTTCTCCAAAATCTATGTTTGGGGAATATAGGCATTAGAAGCCCAATACCTAGAAAGAGATGCCTTTTTTCTTTCTTTTTTGCTAATACATCACTTCTCTGAGACCAACAGCCCAGAGTCACCTGGCTGTTGCCTTAATGTGTGTATGTTGTAGGGGGAAGGGGAGATCACTGCTCACATCCTAGGCCTTAGAGGCAGTTGGAATTCTAATCAGGCAAAGAAAAAGGACACAAATATAAACTCTTCCCTTTTCCCTTCATCTGGATCTGAACAGTTTGAAAGGGAATGCAAACAATCTCGGCAGAACCCATCTCAACTTTCAATGCCGGACAAACACAGATTATCCCTGTGATAGGAGGAGCAAACAAGACAAATCAGCACTCACGCAGTCAATAGTTCAAAATAAGGGGACCAGATTAAGCAATTGGCATAGAAGTGTCCTCATGGAGATGGGTAGCTGCGAGAAATGAGACACACCTGGAAACCTAAGCCATTCTAGCAGCTTCTAGGAATTGTTTATAAAATTGTAGCATATTTCATTTGTTTTTCATATATTTTATTGTAAACATAATTAACAATCTTGATCTTCTCAGGAATTACAATTAGCTCCAGCGAGAAAGAAGTGAGTACCTGGCTGTGATTATACCAGATTTTGAGGGAGACTAGGCAGATTCTGCCAAACGTTTATCCCTGTAACTAACTCAGCAGCATATATGGCTTTTTATAAATTCTGGTTGGCACTGGATTAGGTTCAAAGGAGTATGTAGATATCCCAATCTTTTATATATAATATAATAGTTTGTATTTTGAAAGATTAAGAAAATAAAGCTTTCAAACCACTACCTATAAATTATCACTCCCTACTTGTTGAGAGTACCTGTTCATAATGACATTTATACGTTAACAAGCATGTTTTTACACAGACAATGGATGTTTGCCTGTTCTTTGGCTACAATCCTGCACAATCCTATAAAAATCATGCCCAGCTCAAACTTCCGGTAGCATATTTAAGAATTTGTATTAGTGTTGCTCATTCTTTAAGGTGCGTATGAGTCCTTGGGGAACGTATTAAATGCAGATTTTAACTCAGTAGGTCAGAGGTGGGGCTAAGTTTTTGCATTTCTAACAAACATCTGGGTGATATCAAGTCTCCCGGTCCGTGGACCACACTTTTAGTAGCAGGGTTTTATATGGCTGGAAAAAGGACAAAGGTACGGTGCTGGAGACTCCAGGTCATCTCAAATTGGCCTCCTTCCCAATCTTCCCCACTCTAGCTCCAGTGGGCAAGATCTCTTATGGTGCCGGGAAGCAGTCTGTGGGTCTCGGGTTGTCAACATGAACTAGATGGCTAGCGGGTCTGAGATGGTGGTGTGTCAACACTGCTCTGAGTATACGAAGTAGATCCTGCGTCAGGCCTGTTGTGTGTTTGGGAGATTCCGTGTGTTCAGGGCTTAGTTAATTTTGCTCATCACTGGGTCTAAAATAAGCATGGGCTGGGCCAATCTCTGGTTACGTTCGTGTATCTGGGGTGTGGCCATTGTATCCAGTCTCTCAGTCTATTGAGTGTTTAACAAGTCCGGGAGATCAGTGTGTCCAGTGTGTTCCATCTCTCCAGCTTGGTCGAGGCTTTGGGCTTTGCGTTTTTCCTGCACCATGTCATAGTCCTAAAAATGTCGGCAGCTCTCAAAGTCAGGATTTCAGCTAATGAGTAGGCTTTGTAGGTAGCTTCACTAGGCTGGTAGGTCTCTAGCTTGGCTGCTCTGTCTATAGAAGGAGTCACCCTCAGCCTCTTTTGTGTGTGTGTGTGTGTGTGTGTGTGTGTGTGTGTGTGTGTGAGAGAGAGAGAGAGAGAGAGAGAGAGAGAGAGAGGTCTCTCTCTGTTCCCCAGGCTGGAGTGCAATGGCACAATCATGGCTCACTGCAGACTTGACTTCCCAGGCTAAGTGATCCTCCCGCCTCAGCCTCCCAGGTAGCTGAGACCACAGGTGTGTGCCATCATGCCTGCCTATTTTTTTTTTTTTAATTTTTTGTAGAGACAGGGTTTCACCATATGCCCAGGCTAGTCTCAAACTCCAGGGCTCAAGCAATCCACCCGCCTTGGCATCCCAAAATGCTGGGATTATAGGCATGAACCACTGCGCCTGGCCCTCAGCCTCTTAAAAAGAGGAATCCGCCTCTGCTGTCACTCATTATCTACCCCACTGCCACCCCAGATATTCCACAGATGGGGAGCCAGATGCCGGCGTGGGCCAAAGGCCTTTCCCTTTGACCCCCAGCCCCCATCCCACCCACCCAATAAAACAAAGAAGCAAAGAGAAAGAAACAACGCTTTCCTACCTCCAGGCTCATGCATAGTAATGAAAGAGGAAAAGCACAGAACTCTCCCCTAACCTCATTCTCAAACTCTGGGCATCAGTTTTTGCATCAGTGAAATGGGGATAATGATAATTCTCACTTGTAGAGTTGTCGTGAGGGTTAAATAAACAGCATGTTTGTAAGGAATTGAGCTGTGTGTGTAGGGCACAGAGAAAAACAACAAAGAATAATTATCAATTTCTTTTATCTATAAAAACTTTGTAGGGACACATATAAGAACAAGGCCCAGCTGAACCATACAGAAAAATAATTCAGTTTTATCATTTTATAGAGATTGATTATATAATTTCTTCTCCAAACTGGAATACCTTTGAACATTAAATATCATATATTTTACTATTAATATGTGTGGCAGAACAACAGAGGTAAACAGACTATTTCACCAGAATTAATGTCCATTTAATTTATGTATAAATGTTTAAATTCAAAACCCTTTTGTTCATATTTTCGAAACATATTGGAGAGGTCATTGCTTATTCATCAAAACAATCTGAGCTAAGGAAACAATCAGGTAAAAAGCTAATAATGAATTAGAAGCTATCAATAAAATGTCAATAGAATCAGGGAACATAGAACTAGAGAATATAGAAAGTCAAATCAGTGACTGGGAGGAAAAGTTCAACAAGTTCTTTCAGATCTGAGAGACAGGATAACTGGAGAAAATTATTCTAAAAATATAAGAAATGGTGCTAGAACAACTGGACATCCACATGCAAAAAAGTGAATCTAGACACAGATCTTACACTTTTCACAAAAATTGACTCAAAAGGGATCATAGACTTAAGTGTAGAATACAAAACTATAAAACTCTGAGAATAAAACAGGAGAAAATGCAGGTGACCTTAAGTTTCAGAATGACTTTTTAGATACAACACCGGAAACATGATTCATAAAAGAAAACAAAAGATAAGTTGGACCTCATTAAAATTAAAAGCTTCTTCCCTGCAAAAGACAGTTAAAAGGATGGAAAGATAAGCCACACAACAGGAAAAAATCTTTGCAAAACACAAATCAGACAAAGACTGGTATTGAATATATATAAAGAGCTCTTCAAACTCAACAATCAGAAAACAATCCAATTTAAAAAGTGGACAAAAGATTTGAACAAACACCTCACCTAAGAAAATATACAGATGGTAAATGAGCATATAAAAAGATCCACACTATATGTCACTGTGGAATTGCACATTGAAACAACAATGCAACACCACTACACATCTATTAGAATGACCAAATCCAAAACACTGACAACACCAAATGCTGGTGAGAATGTGGAGCAACAGGAGCTCTCATTCGTTGCTGGTGGGAAAGCCAAAATGGTACAATCACTTTGGAAGAAAATTTGACAGTTTCCAACAAAACTAAACATACATTTTACCATATGATCCAGCAATCATGCTCCTTAATATTTACCCAAATGTGTTAAAAACTTACATCCACACAAAAACCTGTACACAAATGTTTACAGCGACTTTATCCACAATTGCCGTTATTTGGGAGCAACCAAGATGTCCTTAAATAGATGAATGGATAAACAAACTGTGATATATCCATAAAATGGAATACCATTGAGCAATAAAAAGACATAATTAATCAAGCTATGAAAAGACATAGAGGAAATAAATCCATATTGCTAAGTGAAAGAAGTGAACCTTACAAAGTCACCAACCTGATACCAAGTATATGACATTCTAGAAAAAGTAAAATTATGGAGACAGTAAGAAGATCAGTGGTTGCTTGGGGTTTGAGGTAGAAGAGAGGAAAGAAGAAATACAGCACAGAGAATTTTTAAGACATTGAAACTCTTATTCTGTAGGTTACTGTAATGATGGATATGTCCTTATACATTTAAGACTCATAGAAAATATAACACAGAGTGAACCCTAAGGTAAACTATAAACTTTAGTTGATAATATTAATGTATTGATATTGCTTTATTGATTGTAACAAATGTGCCATACTAACACCAGATGTTAATATTAGGGAAAATTGAAAGGGGGAAAAGGGGGACATAGGGGAACTCTCTGCCCTTTTCACTCCTTTTTTTCCTGTAAATCTAAAATGGCTAAAAATGAAAAGAAAAGTCTATTAGTTTAAATACACACACACACACATATACATATATATGAAAAAGGGATTGCCTGAAGAGAAAATCAGGAGACCTCATATACACACAAAAAAAGTATTTCCAGGTGGAAAAACCAAGAGGGCAAAGAGAAGCAATAATGAAAGAACTTAAAACATAATTTTCTTTTAATAGGAGAAGGACTTAGATATTTAAATAAAAGAAAAATTAACTTCAGAAAAACAATAAAAATAACTGAATTTGAAGATAAAGAAAAAAATATACTTTTTTTTCACCACAAAAATAAATGCCTGAAAAAGGAAACAATTTCAATATAATTTTGCTGGAAAGAATATGATGCAAGTATTTTATATTAAGTCAGTATTGTTCAATGTGCAAATGTAACAGAGACATTCCTAGATACACTTTGGGACTCAGAAAATGCGCCCATATATGTCAATTGTGAAAAAAAATTATCTGAAAACTTCCTCCTCACTAGAAATATAGCTAAGAATTCAATACTATAAAAACACTGCATAAAAGAAATGGTGATGGATCTTGTAAGCAGTAAAAAATACGTAGGATTTAAATAATCATTGTTACCATGGTCAAGAAGCAACATAAACTAATTCTTGAAAGAGACTACATATAATAAAACATTTACACGTATTCATATTAGTAGTTATAAAAATTTCAATAAAATCCTAAACTAAGAAATTATGCCAGCAAAAAATGCAATAAAACTTGAAAGTTTTGACACAAGTGTACAAATATAAAAATTAAGCCTACTTGGCAATTCAAAATTTCCCTAAATAACCCAGGGCAAAGATTAAAAAGTAATGGCAATTTCAAAATTATGTGTCATAATTAATAGGATGTGGATTAAGCTGTACTCCAAGGTAAATTTATTACCTTAGGTACAATGAGAATCATTGAATTAAGATTTCAACCCAACTCATATTTTAGAAACCTCTACTCTTTATTTGGCTATGACTAATTAATGAGAACAAGCTTGCTTTACGTTTTCTTATTTGCTGTGTAGGTTTTTCCCAATGATGCTAGACTTTGCTCAGCTGCTTGTAGCTATTCTTGTTATTGCTCAAGCTGAGAATCTGGAAGAACCTTGCTTAGATGTTGGTTTTCAAGTGCTGACTCTCCAGTACACGTTGAGGGCCTCTGATATCCTTAATAGAATTGCTTATGGATACGCTCTCAGAAACTGGGGCTTAATGGAGAGTTTGCAGCTTTGCTTCTCCTAGTTCTCCCGATAGTAATTTTATGGAACATGCATTTTAGGTAAGTAAAAGGGGATGAGCTGGCAGGGAGCTAGTGAAGGATGCTTTTCCTTGATGGGACTTAATAACCTGCATAATTCTTTGATGTTTATTCCTTGGAACTGAGTTTGAAAAATCACACCATCATCTCACTTTCTTGTATCATGATGATGTAATGTTGTTTTCTGAGGTCTGCAGACCATGCTGGTCTCTCCCTTATATTACATTGAGCCACAGAGAAGCCACAATGCAGGGGAGGGGTCATGGTAGGGGCTGGTGGGAAGACTCTTACTTTAGGGATGTCAACAAAGGCAACTAGAATTTCTTTGTCGCATTATTGACAAATCAAAAGAGGACCCAAGTCCGTCTGTTAAAGGAGAACAGTATAAATATTAGCAGTATGGACTTGTTTTAGGACTAAATTTTCTTTTTTTTTTGAGACAGGATCTTGCAGTGTCACCCAGGCTGGAGTGCAATGGCATGATCATAGCTCACTGCAGCCTTGACCTCTCACACTCAACTGATCCTCCCAACTCAGCCTCCCAAGTAGCTGGGATGACAGGTGTGTGCCACCATGCCTGGTTAAATGCAACCTAGTCTATTCAAACCTAGGTTGAATTTACATTGATCGATTCATTTATTTGTTCATTTATTCATTTACTCCTTGTATTAGCCTGGGTTCTCCAGAGAAACAGAACCAATAGAATATATATAGAGAGAGAGATATATATAAGAAGAAATTTATTAGGGAATTTTTTTATAGAGATGTAGTTTTGCCATGTTGCCCAATCTGCTCTCGAACTCCAGGGCTCAAGAAATCTGCCCAGTCGGGTGCGGTGGTTCATATCTGTAATCCCAGCACGTTGGGAGGCTGAGGCGGGCGGATCACCTGAGGTGAGGAGTTCAAGACCAGCCTAACCAACATGGAGAAACCCTGACTCTACTAAAAATACAAAATTAGCCGGGCATGGTGGCACATGCCTGTAATCCCAGCTAGGGAGGCTGAGGCAGGAGGATCACTTCATCCCAGGAGGTGGAGGTTGCAGTGAGCCGAGATTGTGCCATTGCACTCCTGCCTGGGCAACAAGAGCAAAACTCCATCTCAAAAAAAAAAAAAAAAAAAAGAGACCTGCCCAACCTGGCATCCCAAAGTGCTATGATTACAGGTTTGAGCCATCATGCCTGGCATAAATTTTTTTAAATGTGTACCAACTAATAGTTTCAAAAAGAGTCATAGCAGGTTTTCTTTGATACAGAGATATATGTCATAAACAGTCATGGAAGCTTCATATTAGTGGTATATCTTACAAAGAAGGGGGACTATTCTACACTTTGGTATTTTGAAAGAAAAATATGTAATATTGTATCTAACTTTTTACTGAAATTGTTTCCAGAATGTCTTCAAAAATATTTATCTCCTGTATTTACAAAGGAGTTATTAAATATGAGAAGCCTGTTAACCAATAGCTTTATCACAAAGTTTTATGTGCTGTATTATAACTTCATCATTTTTATGTGGGAAATGCTTTGAATATAAATTTGTTTTGCCACATTTAAGAAAGCCCTGTCAAGCAAAATTAAGTGAATAATGGATTTGTTACTGAATGAATCTGAGTAATTTATATTAAAAGACAAAAGGACTTCTGCTGATAAAAGTTTTTTAGTTTGTTTATTTGTTTGTTTTAAGACAGAGATTCACTCTTGTCCCCCAGGGTGGAGTGCAATGGTGCAATCTGGGCTCACTGCAACCTCTGCCTCCCGGGTTCAAGTGATTCTCCTGCCTCAGCCTTCCGAGTAGCTGGGATTACAGGCATGCACTACCACACGTGGCTAATTTTTGTATTTTTAATAGAGCGTTTCACCATGTTGGCCGGGCTGGTCTCGAACTCCTGACCTCAGGTGATCAGCCCGCTTCGGCCTCCCAAAGTGCTGGGATGACAGGCGTGAGCCACCGTGCCCGGCTTGATAAAAGTTTTTGAAAATCAGAATTATTATCTTGTTTACCTTCAATCTATTCAGACCTAGGTTGCATTTACATGAGCATTTTTACTCATTGGTTAATTGATTGAATCATTCATTTATTCCTTGTATTAGTCTGGTTTCTCCAGAGAAACAGAACCAATAGGATATATATGTAGAGAGATATATAAGAAGAGATTTATTAGGGAAATTGGTTCATAAGATTATGGAAGCCAAGAAGTCCCATGATACATCATCTGCAAGTTGGAGAATCAGGAAAGCCAATTATGTAAATGAGTGTTGAGTTCAAAGCCCAGAGAACCAGGGAAGCCAATTCTGTAATTTTCAGTCTGAGGTCAAAAGCCTGAGAAGGAGGTGGGGGGCACTGTAAGTTCCAGAGTCCAAAGTTCCAAGAACTTGGAGCTCTGATGTCCACGGGCAGGAGAAGATAGATGTCCCAGCTCTAGAAGAGAAAGCAAATGCATTGCTCCTCCACTGTATTATTCTATCCAGGCCCTTAATGGGTTGAACGATGCCCACCCACATTGGTGAGTGCAATCTTTACTCAGTCCAAGGATTCAAATGCTAATGTCTTCTAGAAACAACCTCACAGACACACCCAGGAATAATATTTTTACTAGTTATCTAGGTATCCCTAACCCAGTCAAGTTGACACATAAAATCAACCATCACATTTCCTTATCAATTCAGCCAATTCATTAATTAAATGCTACACAGTAATCTCCTTAAGAGTTGGAAGCACGTTGTGTTCTTTGCATATACTCAGGTCCTAACCAAAGCTTAGCACACAGTAGGCACTGCTACATACACATACAAGCAGTGGGATACAAGCAGTGCTATGATTAGGGCTAAATCCAGGTGTGTGAGAACATACTGGAGGAATAACTAAAACAGTCCTTGGGTGGTTACACTGAGGGGATCCGAAGGCACATAACAGAAGAAGTCCACACACAAGTAGTAAGGTTTAAGCAAGTGAGGGGGGAAAGGAATGAGGGCAATGGAGAAAGGCATGAGAGCTTGGAGGCACATTTGGAGATACAGGAGAAGTCTCTGATGACTGGGGTGCAGGATAGAAAGTAGGGGGAAAGGAGGGGAGAAATGAATTTGGAAAAGTAAGCAGGGTTCAGATCCTAAAGGGCTTTCTGTGTTTAACAATTTAGCTTTTATTCTCAGAGCAATAGAGAGCCATTGAATATTCTAAATAGGAGAGCAACATGATCAGATTTATTTTCTTTCTTTTTTTTTTTTTGAAATGGAGTCTGACTTTGTTGCCCAGGCTGGAGTGCAATGGCACAATCTCAGCTCACTGCAACCTCCACCTCCTGGGTTCAAGTGATTCTCCTGCCTCAGCCTCCTGAGTAGCTGGACTACCCGTGCCCACCACCACGCCTGGCTAATTTTTGTATTTTTAGTAGACAAGGGGTTTCACCATGTTGGCCAGACTGGTCTTGACCTCCTGACCTCAGGTGATCCACTTGCCTCACCCTCCCAAAGTGCTGGAATTACAGATATGAGCCACCACGCCCGGCCCAATCAGGTTTATTTTCAAGAGACCATTCTACATGCAGAATGAAAAAATAATTTCAAATAACGCAGGAATTGTGACGGGAAAACTAGTTAGGATGCTGCTAAAACAATCCAGGATTAGAGATACTAGTGGCATCAACAAGATTGCTGGCCTTGGACATGGAGAGAAGTGGACAGGTTAGATGGTTCTGGGAGAATTAACAGGGATTGGAATGGATTGGATGTAGGGGGTGCAGAAGAAAAAGGTGTCAGAGATGGAGCCCATGTTCCTGGCATGGACCTTGGTGCAGAATGTGGTTCCGTTCCCTGAGGAGAAGGAACACTGGAGGGATGAAGTCTTGGTAGATGAAGGGAGAGAAGACAGTGCCCTCTGTTTTAGACAGACTTTTTGAAATTGGAGGTGACTGTGGGCTACTTAAATGGTGGTTTCTACCCAGCAATTGGGTGTGCATATCTCAAGTGGGCTGGAATAAAGCCGTGGCAGTGAATGAGGTCACCACTGGTGCCAAAACAGAGACCAGCATGGAAAAGAATGTTTACAGAACAGTCAGCAGAAGAAAAGCCTAGAGACAGAAGAATGTGTTAAATGATACCACAAGGACCTAATCAGCAAAACCCAGAAACTGGAAAGCTCTGCAGAATGAACAAACCATCCCAAAAGGCAGGACCTTTAGATTATATGACAATTAAGAGATATAAAAACCAAAAACAAGGCATGGATCTTGTTTAAACAAACTATAAAAAAAAAACCTTATGAGTAACTATGGAAATTTAAATTTGATGAGGCACTATTTTTCATTTTTTAAGGTATGATAAGGATATTGTGGTTATGTTTTTTACAAAAATGATATCACTTAAAGAAATATTTACAGATAAAATGATGTAATGTCTGGGATTTACTGCAAAATAATCACGTGAAAGCTGTTGCTGGGGGAGTGATTATGGTATAGATGAAACAAGAATGGACACGAGTTGATCATTATTGAAGCTGGTTGATCAGTACATGAGGATTCACTGAACTATTTTCTCTATTTTTTGTTGATATTTGACATTTTCCATATGAATAGTTTAAAAATACAAAGAGAACCTCTGAACACCCCCATGGACAAACCCATGCAATACAACATTTTAACCAAATGAAATCCTATGCAGAAAATATCTCCAAAGTATAGGTTGAAGGATAGCTGTTACGTACACAAGGCTGGAAACCCAAGATCCACACTCTCACTTCCCAGTAACCTCCTTGGCCTGCCTCTTAACTTCCTAGAACTCTAGTTCTTTCTCAGAACACAGCTGGTAAACAAACTGACAAGTGGGTAATGAGTAGCAGACTTGCCAGTGTATACTTTAACCTTTTTCTCACTTCCATAAATCTCACCTGAGAAAATGAGCTATGTCCACATAGCCTATATAGTGATCATTATATTTACCTTGAAATAAAGTCAAGCAACCTGCATGAATTTCTTCAAAGTAGGGTCTATACCCAATAATCACTCTGCAAACATCATCAGTTTCTCTGGAGAAAAACACATTGTATCTTCTGTCACACAGAAGATAATTTATTAAAAGTGTTTTACTTTTAAAAAGTTTAATTTAGGCTGATGTGGTAAATTTAAATGTCTAAAAAAAATAAAAATTTACTGTAAAGATATTCAGAGTGTTTTTGTATGCTCTGCATCCTACGGTTGCGTCTTAGGTAGCCATGATACATTAATCCAAACTAAGAAATTAACATGGTGTAATACTATGAACTGAACTGCAGAATTTATTTGGGGTTTCTCAGTCTTTCCATTAATGTCCTTTTTCTACTCTAGGATTCAATCCAGGATACACCACATTGCACTAAGTTATCACACCTCTTCAGTCACCTCCAATATGGGACAGCTTCATTTCTTGTCTTTCATGACCTTGACACTAAAACAGGCTCATTTAACAATCAATGGAGTAATGCTCTCCTCCAAGATTGCAGGATTCCATGAGAAGTGGAGGGCAGAGACCCCTTACAGTGATATGGTTTGGATCCGTGTCCCCACCCAAATCTCATGTTCAATTGTAACCTCAACCTTGGAGGTGGGGCCTGATGGGAGGTGGTTGGATCATGGGGGCAGTTTCTCATGAATGGTTTAGCACAGGCCCCTCAGTGCAGTTCTCATTGACAGTGAGTGAGTGAGCTATCCTGAGTTCTGGTTGTTTAAAAGTGTGTGGCATCTTCCCACTCTCTCTCTTCCTCCTTCTCCAGCCCTGTGAAGTGCCTCACTCCCACTTTCCCTTCTGCCATGATTGGAAACTTCCTGAGTGCCCCCTCCCTAGAAGCAGAAACTGCTATGCTTCCTGTACAGCTTGAAGAACCGTGAGCCAGTGAAACCTCTTTTCTTTATAAATTACCCAGTCTCAGTTATTTCTTTTTTTTCTTTTCTTTTTTTTTTCTTTTTTTTGCTGGAGTGCAATGGTGCCATCTCTGCTCACTGCAACCTCCACCTCCCGAGTTCAAGTGATTCTCCTGCTTCAGCCTCCTGAGTAGCTGGGACTACAGGTGCCCGCCACCATGCCCAGCTAATTTTTGTGTTTTTAGTAGAGACGGGGTTTCACCATGTTGGCCAGGATGATCTCGATCTCTTGACCTCATGATCCATCCGCCTTGGCCTCCCAAAGTGCTGGGATTACAGGTGTGAGCCACCGCTCCCGGCCCAGTCTCACGTATTTCTATATAGCAATGCAAGAATGGACTAATAGAGATAGTAGTCATTCTAATGAAGAGAATGTTTTAGAAATTGAAACACCCTCTCATCCCTTGATGCTGGAGAGTGGGAGAAATGGGGAGATGCTCAAAGAGTACAAACTTTCAGTTATAAGACAAGTAAGCTCTGGGGATCTAATGTACAGCATGGTGATTATAGTTAATAATACTGTATTGTTTACATGAAGATTGTAAGCGAGCAGATTTTAAGCGACCTCGTCTCTCTCTTTTTCTCTCATACACACACACGTAACTATGGGTGGTAATGGATGTGTTAACTAATTTGTGGTAGTCAGCACACAATGTATATGCATACCAAATCATCACATTGTACACCTTGAATATATATAATATTTTGTCAATTAAATATTTTAAAATTAAAATAAAGCCAGGGCTGCTAAATCACTCACACTACAACCAAAGTTTATTTAGAAGTCACTACAACAAAATACGAAACAAACCTGACTTAGCTAATGAGAGCTACTGCTTTATTTATTGATGCATCTGCTTTATGGTCTAGAATGGAATTTTGATAAATATATGCTCTGGTAGACATATTCAGAACTCAAGTATTTCATATCTGGGTTGCTGCCTTCCTGCCAAGGCTTAGCACTCTTCATCTCCTTCAGGGTCCCCAGGAAGGCAGAATGCACCCATCACTACTTAGAGTCTTTCTTGCCTTGGGCACTTTCTCCACAAATACCAAAACGTATACATCAAGTGTGAGCAGGTCAGCCTGCTCTCTGCCATCTCTGTTAGTTTTATTTTCATCCACAAATTTAAAGATAAACCATCAAATTGGAAATCACCATACTCAAATGCAAATACAGTGAAGTCTCATTAATTTAGACTCTACTAAATGAATGAGTCTATGATTGTTCATAAATGGTAAAATGCCTCAGTGAAAAATTGGACATATGTCTTATGAATTTTCAGTTTGCTTAGGGGTAAAGTAAATCTATTCAGATGTCAGCAGCTGTTTCTTTTTTCTTTTTTTTTTTTTTTGAGACAGAGTCTCACTCTGTCGCCCAGGCTGGAGTGCAGTGGCAGGATCTCGGCTCACTGCAAGCTCCACCTCCCGGGTTCACGCCATTCTCCTGCCTCAGCCTCCCGAGTAGCTGGGACTACAGGTGCCCACCACCACGCCCAGCTAATTTTTTGTATTTTTAGTAGAGATGGGTTTTCACCATGTTAGCCAGGATGGTCTCAATCTCCTGACCTCGTGATCCACCCGTCTTGGCCTCCCAAAGTGCTGGGATTACAGCTGTCAGCAGCTATTTCAAAAGAAGGACCGATCTAACGAATTTAAAGATTTGTCTTGTATACTTTAGGACCCAGTGATTTTTGTGTGGTGAAGGATTCTAACATTTGATGCATTATGATATGATAGAACAATTTGTTACTTGGTTGATAATAGGTGCCATCCTTGAAAATAGTAGGATTACCTTAAAACTGATGTGTCATTTAGGATTTTTACTGTCAATGTTCTCCTCAACTGTATTACAAACTTCTTATATTTAAGGATCATGCATTTTGTACGTTTTTGTATCCCTATGCCCTCTCAGTCTCTGTCTCATCATGGGGCACAGAAAAGTCCTATACATAGAACACCTTTAATAAAAGGTTTTCTTTAAATATTGTGGGACTTGATTATTCTGAACATGTGGATTCAACCAGTTTAAAGCAGCCAGATGTGTTTCTGTTAGCTCCTTATCTAGATTTTTAAAATCTCTCACTAAATTTCTTGCTTTATACATTTCAGTGTGAGTATGGCATCAGGATGATTTGACTGCAAGCAACAGAAAAATCAAACAAAAATGGCCTAAGCCAAGAAGAGAAATGATTATTTCACATTCCAAGAAGTTTGGGAGTCGAGTGGTTAAACGGCTAATTAATCTAGAGCTCAACAGTATCACCCAGGACCCATTTTCACTATGGTGGCTAAAGCTCTGCACCCTTCAGGCTTGCACCATGGCAGCAGCAGTGACAGTAAAGACACCCTTACACCACAATGCTCCATGACCAGGGAGAGGGTCTCCTCTCTCCTGCCCCTTTCTGGAGGCTCCACCGAAGATTTCTCTTCACATTCCGTTTCTCATTCCTGAAGCAGTTGCTGGCAACAGGGATGGACTTACCGCAATGGGTACAGAGCAACTAAGATTCACCACTAGGTGAGTCCTTTGGAAAACACTTGGCCATCCAATATATAAACAAATCTGGTACTCCTGTCAGGAAAGAGGTAGGTAATTCCCAACAGCCAATAGTGTCTGCCACAAGTGAAATATCTCATCAGAGAAAACTGAGTAGGTAATACATGATTCTGTGTTTTCTCTGTTTTCTGCCTTTGCTTTTTCCATTTGGTAAGACTCACCTGTGTTCCTCTTTGTGGCTCTTTCTCCTTGATAATACAACCCTGGTTTAGTTCAGATACAGGTGGCAATAGGCCAGAATTTGTCCTAGGAGACAAATTCGTGATGAGCCTCGCAAAGTCATGACAATCCCAATTCCATTTGCCAGTGAACCATTTAGGGATGGCCACGTGACTCAGTTCTGGTCACCAAGGTGGTGGAAGAGAAGTTCTCTTGAGGGGCATCTGGGAAAGATTCTTCTGCCTGATAAAACAGGAGGTAAGCAAGGGTTCTGCTCCCCCATTTGTTTCTGCCTTTGAACGTGGCTGTGGGAAGACATGATGCTTAGTGTTGCTGCAGCTATCTCATGACCTTGGGCAAAACATCCCAACACACAGGAGGGCCAAACAAGCAGTCAGAAGAAGCCTGAGTCTTGTGGGTGTTGTTGAGCAGCTGAACAAACCCTAGGATGGCTTCCTTCCAGACTTCTTAGGATTGCGAACAATGAAGCTCTATTGTTTAAGCAAGGTATCGATGGCTATTTTCACTTGCCACTGAAAGCACCAGGACAGAGAATCGTCTTTCTAGGAATACAGCCACAAAAGCCTTCATTATGGTATATGCACATAAAGAATATAAAAGTTTCCTTTATGTTTCTCTTTAAAATATAGCTGAAGTCTGCCTCAGGCAAAAAGACAAACAGAAAACATAAATGCATACATAATTCAAGAACAATAAATATTTATTTTAAAATGAATAAATGTTCTGCAGGATATTGTAATAGTTTTCTCAGGGAATATATTTTTCTAATACTTATATCAACTAACAGTATTTCTGTGGCATCTCCAGGTCCTCTGTGTTTAAGTCCTCCCTAGAAACTGCATTTCTCTCCTTTTTCCTGCTACTTTGGATCTCAAATGTGCCTAAAAAGAAATACTTTTAACTTCTCTGGTTTTTCTTTTTTCAAATATTAACTTGTAACTTGCAGTTGTAACATGGTTGTTGCTAGCTAGCTGTCAAGTATTTGTCCAAAAATGTGTTCCTAGAATACCTTCATCTTACAGTCACTCAATCCATAATAGAGTTTAAACATTTTTCCATAATATTTCACAGAATATTCATGTTTTTACATAAAAAACACTTTTAATATATGAACTATCTGCAACACACAGCAAAATCCCAGTTATATGACATCAATAGCCATATACTAAAATACACCTAACAATATTCATATTAAACTCAAATTTAATATATGTTAATATGTAGGCATATTTACTTATACATAAAGCTGTAGATTTCTCTCTATCCTTCCCCCGTACTTCCCAGAGGTAACCATTGTATTGATGATGATGTTGATGACAGCAACAATGATGATGATAATGATGGTAATAAAAACCGCAAATTTGCTGTATGCCAGGCAGTATTCTAAGCACTTTACATACATTAACTCCTTAAATGTCCACCGCAGACATATGACATAGATACTATTATTATCCTTCATTTTATAGATGAGAGGTTGAGAAAAAAATTGGTTAAGCAGCTTGTCCAAGGCCACACAGCTGGTGTGCCAGGATTCCAACACAGGCAATCTGGCCCTGGAGCCCTTTGCCGTATCCCATTGCTATATGGATATTGCTGTGTATCATTATATACTTTCTCTAAACATGTATGCAACCATAAAAAGCTATACATAGGATTTCTCTCCTTTTTAAAAAGTATATAATCTTATAACATTTATGGGGTCTTTTTCCAGTTATTTTGCTATTATGAAAAATGTTGCAATGAATAGTCTTGAATATACATCCTTGTGCATTTACTCTCTGGTAAACATCTAGAAGCCAAATTTCTGCTTGGTAGATTACTCATATTAACATTTTTTTTTTAGTTATTCCAAAATTGCTCTTCAAAGTAATTGTACCAATTTGCAGTTCTGCCAGCACTGTATAAGTTTTCCATTTCTCGCTAACTCCATCAATTCTTTGTATCATTGAGTTCGCTGATTTTTGCTAATCTGACTGATGTGAGGTGGTATTTCATTATTCTCATTTGCACTCTTCTTTGATTGCTAGAGAGGTAAGAGCATCTTTTCATATGCTTGTTATCTATTTATGCTTATTTTTTTCTTGGATTTTCATTTTGTCTGATTTTAAACGAATTCTATGACATTCTGCTGAATAAAGTGAGTTACATAGGTTGTAAACACCTTCCCATGGTAGCTATTGACCTTCTTTTTGTTGTCATCTTGATACATGGAAGTATTTAGTTTAATGTAGTTACATTCTCAATACTTTCTTTTCTCAATATGGTTTATGCTTTTAGCATTATAAGTAATATGGCAGTACTCAGATGTCATCAAGATATTCTTCTATATATTCTTTTTAAATTTAGCTTTTCACATTTAGGCAACTTTGAGTATGCTATGAAGTAGTACCCAATTTTACCGTCTTTCATATAAATACTTGAATCTATCTTTTTCTATATGGTGATGTCTCAGCATCATTTAATGAAGACTCTCATTCTTTGCCCAGTGATTTGTGATGTTATCTCTGTCATATTCCACATTTACATATCTAAGTGGTTTTATTCGTACGCTCTCTATTCCCTGTGGCAATATCACATTGTTTAGTATAGTTTTACATGATAATGTAGTATCAATATTCAAAAGGATAACCACCCTGCTTTTTTCTTTTCCTCCTTCTCTGCCTCCTTCTCCTCCTTCTTCTTTGCAATTGTCTAGCCTATTCTTGAATTTTTATTCTTTCATATGCATTTAAGAATCATCTTGTCAAGTTCTTCGAAAAACCCTACTGAAATTTTTATTGAAATTGTATTGAATTTATATGTGAATTTGGGAAAAATTGTCTTTTTTTTTTTTTTGACGGAGTCTCGCTCTGTCACCCAGGCTGGAGTGCAGTGGTACAATCTCAGCTCACGGCAAACTCGGCCTTCTAGATTCACGCCATTCTCCTGCCTCAGCCTCCCAAGTAGCTGGGACTACAGGCACCCACCACCTGGCCTGGCTAATTTTTTTTGTATTTTTAGTAGAGACGGGGTTTCACCATGTTAGCCAGGATGCTCTCGATCTCCTGACGTCGTGATCCGCCAGCCTCGGCCTCCCAAAGTGCTGGGATTACAGGCGTGAGCCACAGCGCCCGGCCAATTTCACAAATAGATTTTTTTTCTTACTGTAAATCTTAGCAAGCTCAGCATACGAATTTTTTTTTCCTTAAATTGAAAGCTTTTACCCTTTCACTTAAAGGCAGCACTTTATGGCTTCTCTTGGGCATATCCAAATTGCTACCATCACTACTCGTATTAGTCCATTTTCACGCTGCTGATAAAGACATACCTGAGACTGAGAAATTTACCAAATAAAGAGGTGTACTGGACTTACAGTTCCACATGGCTGGGGAGGCCTCACAATCATGGTGGAAGGCAAGAAGGAGCAAGTCATGTCTTACATGGATGGCAGCTGGCAAAGAGAAAGCTTGTACAGGGAGACTCCCGTTTTGAAAACCATCAGATCTTGTGAGACTCATTCACTATTACAAGAACAGTGCAGGAAAGATGCACCCCTGTACTTCAATCACCTCCCAGCAGGTTCCTCCCACGACATGTGGGAATTGTGGGAGTTACAATTCAAGATGAGATTTGGTTGGGGACACAGCCAAACCATATCACTACTCTTGTGCTTTGGGGCCATTATGAAGTAAAACAAGCATTATTTGAACACAAGAACTGCAATACCACCACAGTAGATCTGATAACTGTTGGCTACTAAGTGACTAAGGGGCAGGTGAAGTATACAGCTTGGATGCGATGGACAAAGAGGAAGATCTACCTCCCAGCTGGGATGGAGCAGGACGATGCAAGATTTCATCACACTACTCAGAAAGGCATGCAGTTTAAAGCTCGTAAATTATTTCAGGAATTTTCCATTTAATATTTTCAGGCTGTGGCTGACCGTGAGTAACAAACCCAGGAAAGCGAAACTGCAGAACAGTGGATGGGAGAAAGGGTGAATTACTGTATATTCATGAGGGATATTAGTCCATAGTTTCTTTTTTCCCTTTTAACAAATTTTTGGGTTTTGTATATAGTTTGTCTGGTTTTGGTATCAGGGTAATACTAGCTTCATAAAATGAATTGGAAAGCGTTTCTTCTGTTTTCCTAAAAAGATTATATGGAATTAGCATTCATTCTTTAAACACTTGGTAGAAATCTTAAGTAAAACCATCTGAGCTCGGAGATTTTTTTGTGTGTGTTATAAAATTACATATTCAGTTTCCTTAATATTTATAAGATCATTTTAATTATCTGTGTTTTTCAGTGAAACGGGTCAATTTTCTGTATGTTGTCAAATTAATATTTGTAGAATTGTATTAGTATTCTTCATTATCCTTTTGATGTCTGCAGAATCTGTAATGGTATCCCTGTTTTATTTCTGATATTAATTTGTGCCATTATGTCTTTTTTTCTTTGTTGATCTTGTCAGAAGTTTGTCAATTTTATCAATTTGTTCCAAGAACCAGCTCATTGATTTGGTTTCAGTTTCATTGATTTCTACTTTTATCTTTATTATTTCCTTCTTTTTCTTGCTTTTGGTATATTTTGTGCTTCTTTTTCTAGGTTCTAGAGGTGGAAGCATACGTTATTGATTTGAGACCTTTCCTCTTTTCTAATGTGAGCATTTTAGTTACATTTAGTTCCCTCCTAGGACTACTTTAATTGGATTATTGAGAGGTGTTGAAGTCTCCAACTGTATTTGTGGATTTATTTATTTTTCCTTTCAGTTCTATTAGTTTTAGCTTCACATTATTTTGCAGCTCTGATGTTTAAAGGTGCATGAACATTTAGGCTCACTATGTCTCAGTGAATTGACCCTTTTATCATTACGTAATATTCCTCTCAGTCTCTGGTCATTTTCTTTGTGCTGAAATATACTTTATCTGATAATATAATGACTGTTCCCTGTAGATTAATATTTTCAGGATGTATCATTTTTATTTTTTTATTTTCAACCTGCCTGTAATCATTATATTTGCAGTGAATTTTTTCTAGACACTGTATAGTTGAATCATTTAAAAAAGTCTGCTCTGGCAATGTGTCTTTTAATTGGTGTATTTAGATCATTACATTTAATATATTTACTGATATGTTAGGGCATAATAATTTTTTGTTTTCTGTTTGTGTCTCTGCTTATTATTTCTGTTTTCTTTTTCCTGCTTCCTTTGGGTTGTTTGGACATTTCCTTTAGAATTATATTTCAATTTATATATAGTTTTTTTTTTAAAAGAGTATCTCTTCATATAGATTTTTTTAGTGGTTATAACCAGCTGATGCTGCTGGTTCGAGAGCCCTTTGGCTGAGAAAGCAGATAGCTCACCAGCCCGGCAGCCTGGGTCTCCAGGTAGTATCAGGTCAGGCCAACGACACTGAGACATTTGTCCACCCTGAGAGGACTCTGAGCACCTGTGGCTGAGGCCAAAGGACCACAGGGCTAAGGATGGGGAGAGTCCAACTCCAGTCGATATGCATACCTTGGCAAGCTTCTCACTACAGCCCACTGTTCATGGAGAAGCTGGGCCTTGCAGATCGACCAGAAACCCCCACGATATGCCACTTTCTGCCCCTATGTCCTGCGTGTCCTGGGCATTGGCCCTGTCTCCCTTGGCAAACACAGAACACTGTTCCATCTCAGAGATTGCTTCACCAGAGAAACAGATGCATTTATGGTACTGTAAGTACTATAGTATATGTGTTGCCAATTACTGTAAAGTCGTAAGTATTTATAATTCTGGTTCTGATTTGATGGGCACTTGAGGTAGCTGTGGGTGGGAGGGTATGCTTATTGTCTGAGGAGACTCACAACCATTTCTCAGGTTTCCCTTGCAGAGTGTGTGCCGTTACCAGTGGGATAGTGGGTGTGCCAAGGAGAAAAATGGCCAGTTAGAAAAAAATCCCAAGACTAGTCTATGCAGAATCTCTCGCCTACAGACAGGGCATTAATAGCCCAGTGGTGGGTGAGCGGCAGAGGCCAGGACTGGACTCAGACTTTTGCCTCACAAAGCTGTGAGGACTCTGAAGGTCCTGCCCCTGCCTCACACAGCCTCGCCAGGAGTCTGCTGAGCACCTTTGAAACAAGAGCAGGGAAAAGATGAAGGTCTGGGAAGCCACTGAGCTCACAATATTCATCTACACTGGTCACCTTTGTGTTAGAGAGTGTGTGTATCTGTATGACTGAGTACATGTGTCTATGTGCATAGATATATCTGCGCGTGCCTGTCTGTATGTGCACATTATACGTTGATGTGTACGTATGTCAGTTCTATGGCTGTGTACCTGGGTGGATATGTGCACACTGGAATGTGGGTCCCTGTGTGAGGTTGTAACATTTGCTTGCATGTGAGGATGCATATCTATGTGTAAATGCTCTCATGTCTTGCATGTTTAGTGTGTGTGTATCTGGGCACACATGAGTGCATGTGTAGAGATACGTGTCTGTGTGTATGCTTGCTCTCCATGCATCTGTGTTTTTATATGTGTAACTGAGTATATTTCTACATGTGGGGGTGACTGCGTGTTCTTCTTTGAGGATCTGCATGAATGTGTCCTTTTTGCGAGATTTCTCTTCCCATTCATCTTACATCTCTCTCACTAGTTAAATGTTCCCCATCTCTGTGCCTCCTCTATTCATTCTCTCTCACCAAATGAGCTTCTAAGCACCAGTCTCCCTCTGCCATCAAGATTGGCTGTTTTCACTGCACAGTTCTCTTCTCACCCCGTACTTGCTTTCTTCCCCTGCCTTTCTCTGCCTGCTTTTGTCACAGTCTCATTGCTTGCTGACTTGGAGGCTAGGGCTGGTCTTCACTTAGCCTCTCCCTTCCTAATTTCTAGCCCCAGTGGGCAACCCTGTCTTAGCCCTGGCTGACCTCCACAGTGAATCATCATGTTCCTGCTACTTTCCTGACCCCTATACTCAGCCTGGAATTATTGTAGGAGATAGCAAGAGCATTCAGAAGAGTCAGTTGGTTACCAGTGCCTTGGTGTTTACTCTTTTATGTCTTAGTTCCTTAGCTGGGGGTGGGGTTTGATAGGGAAGGGGTGGTATAGCTAGAATGCAAACTAAGAACTTCTCCATCTGCTTTCCTTTTTCTTTCGTTGACAAAATGTCACCTTTTCTACTCCAAACTGACCAAGAAGTTGTATTTGCCGTTTGTGGCTACTCACGTCCTACTGCCCAGCCAAGGGACCCTATAACATCTCAGTCCAATGAGTTGGTTGAAAAGAAGAGAGGGAGAGAGGTCACTCTCATTTTCGTATCACAATTGCCCTTCTTTTTAGCAAGTGTATGAACTCACAGTGCTTTTCTATGAATAAACCATGGATCACATGAAAAATCATTTTTCTTAAAGAAAAAAAATTCCCTAAACCCAGAGGGGACCAGCAAATACTTAACAGGAGATTAGAGATTTCCTGTGAGTGCATATGGTGCGGGGTGACCTGATTCTGTGAAGCAAATGTTATTGTCCTCCTTAAATTCATGTGTTGAATTCTAATTCTATGTGATGGTATTTGGAGGTGGGGCCTTGGCAGGTGATTCAGTTCATGAAGGCAGGGACCTCATGAATGGAATTGGTGCCCCTTCAAAGGGACTGCAGAGAGCTCCCTCATCCCTTCTGTCATGTAAAGACACAGTAAAAAAGGTGGCTGTCTATGAACCAGGAAGTCAGCCCCACGGAATCCGCTGACAATTTGACCTTGGATTTTACCATCTCCAGAACTGTGAGAAATCAATTTTCTACGCTACCTAGTCTATGGCATTCTGTTTTGACACCCAGATTAGCTAAAGTAGCAGCATATCAACTTGCACACATAATTCTTGGAAACTCTGATGCCAAATCCTTGATGGCAAAAGGTGAATGATCTGCCGGAGACATGAGCCTACATCATCCCTCTTTCCACAGTAAACCAGAGAGTCAAAACAGGCAAGAGTAGGTCAAGGTCTTCTAAAAGCCATACCTGAAAGGTTTCCAATAACAGATGACTCGATGGTAATTCAGCCACACAAACAACCACAACAAAAGACACAACTATCAGAGATTTTCAGGATAGCCTCAAAAACACCATCTAACATTAGGGAGTTCAAAAAGGCATGAAGTTTCAGAAATCAAACTTTATTGTAATCTCGTTTCATCAACTTGTAATTCTAACACTATTAATAAATGGTAGGGCAGGTGGTGGCATGGAGAGCCTGGGGCACAACGGCTGTCGTTAAAAGCTTTGTTTGCTTTACCCTTTGGAGCCACCTCCTGGTCCCCTCACCCACTGCCCGCCTGTTAAGGGCCTGTCCCGGGCAGCACATTAGGGGCAAACAGCCTGGATGCCCAGCTGTGGACCCGCATCCATGCCTGGAGGAGGAGGTTGCCTCTGGGAGCAGGCGTAGCTGCTGGAACTCTTCCTCCCAGCCTTCTTTTAATGCTCTCCGGCACCTCCTGCACACAGATAAACCAAGATCAGGAGAATAAACGGACCTGCAGCAGCAGGACTGTGGTTCTAGTGAATGAGAGAAGCCTCTCTGCAGCGAGGTACAGGAGGCCAGGCCAAATGCCCTGCTCTCTGCCTGCATGTTTGCCACCGTGCCCAGGACTAGGGGCAGCATGGGAGCTGCTGGCTGGGGCTGTGCTGGTCACCCCCTCCCTCCCACTTTTCTCTCCAGCCACGCTTTCAGTTCCAGGGTTAGGGCCAGTGGCTACAGTACGTGCCGTGATTTCAGGCAGCTCCTCATTGGTCTGGTCCTTGGCTGGAGCTCCCTCCAGCTCCAGTGCTCTCTCTGGAGGGGCCTCTTCCCATGCTGGCTCTGGCTCCGCCGCTGGTGCTGGCAGTGCTCTTACTTCTGCACATGGACCAGGAGCTGAGAAAGGAGAAAGGGTCACCAGCATCAGTCACTTTCCACTGGAATTTCCAAACACAGAAACGACCTCACTGAATTTAAGGGAATTCCAGCCCAAAAGCACCGCCCCTGCAAAGTCTTCCAGGCTGCAGGCCACCTCACCACGTGTCTGTGCCTCAATGAGCTCCTGAATCTCCTGGACAAGGACAGTGTGCAGCTGCAGCCCCAATGGGATCTCTGGTGTGGCCTGGCCTGCTAGGGCCTGCCCCAGGCTGTCCTGTGGTACCTGGATGCGCCTTATTACAACGGGCGACAGGCGTCTGGGGTGAGGGATGAGCCTTCTTCGGCATCGTCAGAAAAGGCTCTCACTCCCTCCGTTCCTGAAGCAGCAACCTCTCAAAGTGGAGAAGCAACACGAGAACATCTTGCTCTCTTGAGCGTCTCCCACCAAGTGAGCTGTTTACGGCGCTGACTCTAGGATATGGGTGCCTGGTTACCAGAGTTCTAAGTTCTGTTCGTGTGGTCATCATCCAGGAAGTGACGTCGCTTCTTTACGGTTCTGTTCCCTAGACCCCTTCCTTCCATAAGACCTACTCCAGGACTCCACTGGGCTGCTGACTACTCACCCTCCCCCCACGTCAACTCCTTACCTGTACACTGTTATGTCCACCCAAGGTCTGCTTGGACACCTGTGCCTGATGTTCACCAGGGGCCGGATGTCCTCAGGCCTGATGTCCACCTAGGGCCTGATGTCTGCGTTGGGCCTATGTCCCTCTGGGGGCCTTGTGTTCACCTGGGGACTGTATCCAACTGAGGCCTGATGGCCTACTGGGTCTTGTTGTTCACCTAAGGCCTTGTGTCCACCTGGGGCCTGGGTGTCCACCTGAGGCCGGATGTGCACCTAAGGCCTGAGTTTTCACCTGGGCCTGATGATCACCTGGGGACTTGGGTCTAATGTCTACCTGGAGCCTTGGGTCTAATGTCTACCTGGAGCCTTGGGTCTAATGTCCACCCGGAGCCTACGTATCTACCTAAGGCATGATGTCTACCTGCGGCCTGATGTCCTCATGAGTCTGGTGTTCAACATGGGCCTGCTGTCCACCTAGGGCCTTGGTGTCCATCTGGGGCCTGGTTGTCAACTTGGGGCCTGGTATACACTTTGAGTCCAGGGTCCACCTGGGGACTGACGTCTGCCTGGAGGACTGACGTCCTCCTGAGTGAGGTGGGAGGATCTCTGGAGCTCAAGAGGTTGAGACCACAGTGAGCTGTGATTGTGCCACTGCCCTCCAGTCTGGGTGACAGAGTGAGACCCTGTCTCAAACAAATAAACAAAAAAGCCACACAAATTATATAGCTATACAAAAATATTTTGTTTCTTTTTAACCTTATTCTATGAGCTTTTTTCATTATTTATTTATTTTACTTTTAAACCGTTTGTTGTTAAAAAACAAGACACAACCAGACACTTTCGCCTAAGGCTAAGCAGGGTCAGGATCATCAATTTCACTGTCCTCTACCTCCACATCTTGTCCCACCGGAAGGTCTTCAGGGGCAGTAACAGGCATGGAGCTGTCATCTCCTTGATAAGAATGCCTTCTTCTGGAAACCTCCTGAAGAAACTGCCTGAGGCTGCTTCACAGTTACCTTAAAAAAAAGTAGTAAGCATATACTCTAAAATAACAATAAAAAATATAGGATATTAAATACATAAAACAATAACATCAGCATCTATTATTTTCATCAAGCATTATGCACTGTCGATAATCGTATGTTCACACCCACATCACCACAAACATGTAAGCTCTGTGGTGTCCAATGAATCTGCCTTTCTTTACCTACAACTGTCTTGGTAAATTCTTTTACCACCCATCCCACTGTCCCAGAGAGTCGCTGCTCCCCTACGACACTGAGTAAGGAGGAGATACAGCTGACACCACCCGGAAATATTCCCTGAGGCCAAGCTCAGGCCACAGATTATGGTGAAGCCTCCAACTTCCACACTGTAAGCCACCAGGGGCCTGGTGACCCCTGTGACGAGGCCACAGGGAGCATCTATGGATCAGGCACCTACAGAGGCCCCAGGGTATACCCCAGCACACTGGAGGCCCCTCCCCACACCCACAACCCCAGGCATGTATACAGGATCCACACTCCTGCCCACAAACACCAGGTAATGCATGAGGGGAAGGGAGGCTGCCTTGAGACTAAGCACTGCCTCACTACCTAAAAGCACTCTGTCATCATGAGGGTGAACCAGAGATTGCCTGGACTGGCCGTTTAATCCATCACTTTGGCCCTTGAGTTACTAACATTGTTGCAACTGTCCAAAGTTACTAACTTTGGGTTTTCTGCCCACCTAACTGCCGGAAGCTAAGATGGCAACATCAGTATCAGTCAAATAAAGCAACACGCGTTAACTTAGTGACCACTACACAAGCTCACCAGTACATCCTTCTGGTGCCACCAGGATGCCACTTACTCCTCTACATAAGAGAAAGGATTTTTAAAGTAGAATATGAATTATTGCTTTTTATGGAGATGCCATTATTAAATTTTATAATTGTCCTGCTTTTTCCCAAGTGTGACATATAAACAGTTAAAATTGATTCCAGATCATTAAATCATATGCAATAATTTTTATATACATTATCTGCTGAGTTGAATATTACATAAGTCTTCTCCAACCCATAGGTAATCTTACAAAGACAGAGGCATATTTTTTAAATGACTGAGCTTGATATCAAACAATATAAAGGCTGTTAAGAATGCTGAGATGGATTTGTTTAATAGATGTCAAACCGGCCTTCTTTCACAGGAAGCGCATACGGCAGCTGCACTTGCACCGGACAGTTTATTTGTGTGTCCATGGACAAGATGTAAAGAAAAACAATGAATAACATCCAAAGCAGTGAAAACATTGCATCTGGGCTCTGGAATTCTTAGTAGAAACCATGAAAAGGCAATGAAAACACTTAGAGCAATTGCAGGTTAGAAACTGGGATTCACAGGAGCTTAATGGAGCACATGATGTTAAGTGAAGTGAGCCAGGCACAAAAAGACAACTACCACGTGATCTGACTTATGTGGAATGTAAAACAATTGAACTCATGGAAGCAGAGAGTAGAATGGAGGATACCAGGGGCTGGGAGGCAGGGGTTTGGGGAGACGGTGAAAGCGTTCTAAAGTGTAGTTAGACAGGACAAGATTGCGCCACTGCATTCCAGCCTGGGCGACAGAATGAGACTCCATCTCAAAAAAAAAGAAAATATTCTTGGTCAGGTGTGGTAGCTCGGCACCTGTAATCCCAGCTACTCAGGAGGCTGAGGGATGAGAACCCCTTGAACCCGGGAAGTGGAGGTTACAGTGAGCCGAGATCATCCCACTGCACTCCAGCCTGGGCAACAGAGGGAGACTCTGCATCAAAAATAAAAAAAAAATCATTCTTGAATAAAAACACAACACCTTTAATTCCATGCTATTGTCCTTTATATATTAACTTGTAGAAAACGAAAACATTTATATAATGAAATTTATTATTCTACTTTTGATTAATATGTTCCCCTTATATCATGCAGTTTACTTCTTAATCAGTCTCCATAATCAACTGCATTTTTTTTTTTTTTTTGAGATGGAGTCTTGCTCTTGTTGCCCAGGCATGAGTGCAATGGCATGATCTCGGCTCACCTCTGCCTCCGGGGTTCAAGCTGTTCTCCTGTCTCAACCTCCTGAGTAGCTAGGATTATAGGCATGCGCCACCACGCCTGGCTAATTTTGTACTTTTAGTAGAGATGGGGTTTCTCCATGTTGGTCAGGCTGGTCTCGAACTCCCGACTTCAGGTGATTCACCCGCCTCGGCTTCCCAAAGTGCTGGGATTACAGGTGTGAGCCACCGCACCCAGCCATATTTCCTTACAGATATTAAATTTGAAGCATTTGTCTTTTAAGATATCCTTTTGTCAGTTTCACTTACTGATGGCAACTTTCTACGTTGAGTAACATGATTCATCTCTGCTGTCTCGATCTGATCTCGTGATCCACCCACCTCAGCCTCCCAAAGTGCTGGGATTACAGGCATGAGCCACCGCACCCAGCCAATTTAATTTTTCTTAAACTGTAATTTCTATAATTTTATTCCTGTCAACATTTTATAGGGAAGTTTTAAAACACACAGAAAAGTTGAAATTGTTAACATCCAGATACATACCCGCTAGATATGTACCGACTAGATTCTGCAATTGCCAGTGTTTTTCTCATCACATTTCTCTCCATATGCATCAATTCGCCTTATTTTTAGATGCTTTGCAAAGTAAGCAGCAGGCATCAGTACATTTCGCCACTAATACTTCAACATGCATGTCAAGCATTAGCTAGGGCTCAATATTTGTTTACAGCTCTATTTTAGAGGTCAAGTTTACATACAGTGAAGCCCACCAGAATAGATCTCGTGTACAATTTGATGAGCTTTAAAAATACAGTCACGTAGTCCAAACCCTCATCAAAATACAAAATATTTCCATTACCTCTGAATTCTTCTCTCATGGCCCTTCCCACCAGCCCCACACCCATGGGCCGTCCGTTCCCTCATTTCTAGCAACCATTGTTCTCATTTTTTTCACGGCTCTTCCAGCGCGTCATATGAATGGGGTCATTGAGTCCAGTACTCCAGTGTTTTTCACACAGCACAGCCCTTCTTTTTTTTTTTTTTTTGAGACGGAGTCTCGCTCTGTCACCCAGGCTGGAGTGCAGTGGCACGATCTCGGCTCACTGCAAGATCCGCCTCCCGGGTTTACGCCATTCTGCCGCCTCAGCGTCCCGAGTAGCTGGAACTACAGGTGCCCCCCACCACGCCTGGCTAATTTTTTGTATTTTTAGTAGAGACGGGGTTTCACCATGTTGGCCAGGATGGTCTCGATCTCCTGACCTCGTGATCCGCCAGCCTCGGCCTCCCAAAGTGCTGGGATTACAGGCATGAGCCCCCGCACCCAGCCTCAGCACTGCCCTTCTAAGACTCATCCATGTTGCTGCTTTCATCAGTAGTTCCTTCTCTTTAATCCAGTGGGCGGTGTTTTTGGCCACAGACTGAAGATAACTTTGACTTTAGTGATTCATGATCTGACACTTCCTGCCAGGCCACTCTTGTTATTTCCAGCAGTGTTAGCTTTGTCTAAACACCAGCAAACTATCTGCCAGCAGAGTTCATTCAATCACATTACCTGAAAGGTAGATGAGAGGTTGTTGGAACTGGTGTCTATCGGGACAGGGCAGGCTGGTGGCTGTGGCCGCAGCAGTGGCATCACCTCCACACAGTTGTCATCGGTGACTCAGGCCCATCAAGAACACTGCTCTCTTCTACTGCCTGCAAGCCAGAAGGCTGGGCTGGATCCTTGACTTCCACAACGCTTTTTTTTTCTTTAATTGTAGAAAATATATGCAACATAAAATTTAACGTTTTAACCATTTTTAAGTGCATTAAGTGTATTCACAGTGTTGTGCCTCTATCACCACCCTCCATCTGTAAAACTCTTTTCATCTTCCAAAACTGAAACCCTATGTTCGTTAAACTCTAACTCCCCATTCCCCCCACCCATTAGCACCTGGCACCCATCATTCTGCTTTTTGTCTCTATGAAGTGACTCCTCTAAATACCTCATATAAGTGAAATCAGAGTATTTGTCCTTTTTTTGAGTGGCTTTTTTTTTTTTTTTTTCTGAGAAGGATCTCGGTTCACTACAACCTCTGCCTCCCGGGGTTCAAACAATTCTCCTGCCTCAGCCTCCTGAGTAGCTGGGATTACAGGCATGCACCACCACGCCTGACTAATTTTTGTATTTTTAGTAGAGACAGCGTTTCACTATGTTGGCCAGGCTGGTCTCGAACTCCTGACCTCGTGATCCGTCAGCCGCATCCTCCCAAAGTGCTGAAATTACAGCCGTGAACCACCATGCTTGGCCTTGACTGGCTTATTTCACTTAGGATAATGTCTTGAAGGTTAACCCATGTTGTAGCATGTGTGTCAGAATCTCCTTCTATTTAAGGCTGAATAATATTCCATTGTATAGATATGCCCCATTTTGTTTATCCATTCTTCTGCCAGTGAACTCTTGGATTGCTTCCACCTGTTGGTTAACTATGAATAATGCTGCTGTAAACATGGATGTGCAAATATCCATTCAAGGGTCTGCTTTCAGCTCTTTTTGGATATATAATCAGAAGTGGAATTGCCACATATAAGGTAGTTCTGTGTTTCATTTTTCGAGGAAACACCATACTGTCTTCCACAGCAGCTGCACAATTTTATATTCCCATCAACGGTGCATGAGGCTCTCAATTTCTCCACCTCCTTAATACACTTGTTATTTTCTGTTTTCTTTGGTCTCAGCCATCCTAATGGGTGTGATACACCCTGATGAGTGTACCTTATTGCAGTTTCGATCTGCATTTCCTTCATGATTGGTGAGGTTGAGCATCGTTTTTGGTGCGGCCCATCCGGATTTCACATGAAGGATGTTCTAAGAAGGAACTGGAAGACTGGTGTGGCCCACTCAGCAGGAAGACCAGCTTGGTGGCAACAGAGATTGGTGAGAGTGGCAGGGTAAGGGCTGAGGGGGCAGCCAGAATGATCACGTTGGACTTTTGGGCCACGGTAAGGAGTTTGAGTTTGATTCTGCATGAGATGGCAACCCCCAGAGGGCTTTGCGCAGGGACATAGCAGGATCTGACTTAGGTTTTCAAAGGATTTCACTCTGGCTTTCTGACCACAACAATTTTTTTTCCCCAATGGGGCATCATCTGGGACTAATTATCCACTGATCACACTTAGCAATAATAGTTATCATCATCATCAAAACACACAGTGGGGGTAAAAAGATTTATGGGTTACAAAATGCCTCCACATACATCATCTCACTCAATTCTTGGGGCAGTTTCTGTAGCCTCCAGTCTCCTTGGCGGAGTGCCTCTTCTGAGCTGTCTCCTAGGACTGGCCCCCTTGGTGGCTTGGCATGCCATGAGAGGAGGCTAGGTGTGCCTCTCATGATCACAAAGTGGTTTGGACGTCTTTGGCGGAGAACACAGCTCTGGCAATAATGTACTGATTTTGGAGTTTTCTTGAGATTAGTCCATCTGTTTATAGCTAAGCCATGGGTGCCTGTGCAGAAGTCACCTAGGAGCCATCCCATGTTTCTCTTTAAATGCCATTGGTCCTTTGGCCTTTGACACTATAATTTTTTCTTAGTTGGCTATTCATTGTCACTGTTTCTTTATAGAGGGCTCCTGAAGATTCTGCTCAGTCCTAATGAGTTTCAGGACCCTTCTAAGGAGTTTTAGTGGCTCTTCCCCAGGAAGAAGTGAAATTCATGCATACATGTATTTTTCCCCCATTGTGTATTTATGGTGTCCAATGTGTACCATTAACTATGACAAACATTGCAGGCGCAATGATGAACAGACATAATTTCTGGTGCCCTGGATCCAGGGAGATTAGACAGATGGACCAAGTATAGGAGTGTCGACAAGGAGTGAGGGTGGGTGACACACAACACTGCACATGCACTCCAAACCTGTGGGCAATGCACACGCACATACAAGCACATGTATGGTGAGATCCCTGCATTCATACAGAAGGCTGCGCAGGAAGACTGGCTTCCTTCAAATGCCTGCTGGCAGTCACCTAATCAACACCTTCATTCTTTGATTGAGGAATGAGACCCCAGATCCAGTTAACCACAGAGAAAATCCTGCAGGGCAAAAGATGGTCCCTGAGACAAACATGCTTTTTTTTTTTTTTTTTTTTTTTAAGAAATGAACATGTTACGTTTTACGCAAGAGTCCAAAGTTCCAATAGTTACATTGATCCAAAATTGTATCCTTATCATAACATCTAAGTGCCCTTTCTGTTTAGGTCTCAGCTGCAAGACTGGGTGATCAGGGCTGGTAGACTCTGGGTGCCTCCGTGACTGCAGTATGATATCAGAGGCACTGGAAACAACTTTCCTTTCTTCCTCCCCTCCAGGGGCTTGAGATTCCTTTAGTGGGGTTGGGGGAGTGCCAGAGGCATGGGGAAGCTTTGCAGGATGCCTTGAGCCTCAAATTGGAAATACTATTGAAAGACGAAACAGTGACTTAAAATCATAGGATGCTGTAAATGAGGAGGAGCTCATTCATTCTTCAGAAAACATTCCTCGAGCACCTACTATGCGCCAGGCTGAGGTTGGATGCAGGGGATAGATACAACACTCTCTCCTCTCCTGGAGCTTACACTCTCCAGGCAGAGAAGAAGACAGTAAATAAAAAAGAATAAGATAATACATAAACAGGAGAAAATATTCAGAGATTTTTAAAAAGAGGCATGAAAAAAAAAATAGAAAAAGGCACCAGGGAGAGAAAATTGGTAGCGCAGACTAGCTTAGTTGGTTGCCCAAACCAGGCTCTGAGACAAAGATTTGAGTGCAAACCATTTATAGAGGAGGTCATGATGTAAATACCAGCAGAGGCGTGGGAAAGTGGTCAGAGAAAGCCTCAGGTGGAGTCACAGATGTTGATGTCCAGAGTCAGGAGATTGCAATGGCTGGTGCTGACTGGATGTGCTGGAACCAGCAGTGCTCATCCTACCAAGCACAACGTCGCTGTGCACCACAGTTCCTCAGACCTGAGACTAAGGGTGAGCAGGAGGTAGCCATGGAGAGATCTAGAGATAGAGAGCATTTGCAGCAAAGGGGACAGCATGTGCCAAGGCCCTTTGGGGTACCTGAGAAAAGGACATGAAGGCCCGTGTGGCTGGAGGGCCCCAATCCTGCAAGACTTGCTGGGTGAAGTGGGTGAGGCAGGCAGGAATTGCAGCCCTTTGCAAGGAGATGGCACCATTGTATGTGCAATGGGAGGTAGGAGGTTCTTTGGGGGTAAACCTGCTCTACTTTTCACTGGATCGCTTTGTTGGATCATGTTTTTAGAGTTGCAGGAAGGGAATGGCCATTTGGAGTAATGGTGAGTTGGGGGTGGCATCTCAGGGACAGCGCAGGGCGTAGAAAGCAGAGTCTAAGACAATGACCACAGACAGTGCCAAGCTTAGAGCTGTGGGAAGGGCCTCTCTTTTGTAGTGCATTCTGCTTTAAAATGAAAACAACCCAGGCAGGGACCCTGGTCTGTTTTGAGGATGGCCAAGCCTTGAAGAAGAGGAACAATTAGATAGTAAAAGGATTGGAAAATGGGGAGTTTCCAGCGGCCATTTCTTTGTGTCACCCGTGATGCATTTTGACAAAGTGTGAAGCAGGGAAAAAGCCACTAGATTGCAGGACCAGGACCGTTTGGCTCTGCTCGGCAGAGCGGCTAACAGCGAACGCTTGCAGACAACGGGGTCTGCTCCTCCAGTTATGAATTTGGAACCGAAGCATGCAAAAAGAGATTACAGTTTAGCATTCACCGCAAGCATTCAGTGAGAAATGAGACTGTCATGCCGGCTGGGACTCAATCTACGAGGGAAAGTAGGGACAGAGGAATGCTGGCAGCTGAGCATGGACCACGGGCAGAAAATGCCCAGGCTGGAGGCTCAGGGTTTCAATGGCTTTGGGTGAGAACGTCTTCTTTTCGGCTATTAATTTTACCCTTCCTTGTGTCTCCGACCCCATGAGGCTTCTTCTTCTTTATTTTTCCTAGCTCACTCTCTATTAGAAATGTGTCCCCTGGGTTTCAAAATTAGGCAGCTGAAATGAAGGCTGTTTCAATTCTGGAGTTAGGGGAAGAGAAAGGCATTAAATATATTCAAACCATGACAGTACCTTAGAACTGTGTAAATTTTTTGGAGACGTTAAAAGTCATCCAATCCAAAGCCCTCTTTTCAGAGACGAGAAAGCAAAGGGCTAGAAAAACCAAGTGACTTCTCCAGGTTCCCACGGCCTCCTGGCTGGCAGACCCAAGGTTAGAGCCTAAGTCTCCTGACTTTCATGCCAAGACTCTCTCGGTGACACCCACAGATTTATTTTTCTCCTTTATTTGTGGGGAAACTTGAGTTATTGGCAGAGCTTATTCAGAGTCACAGACAGCTGGAGGCTTTGGTTGGCTATGAAGCTTTGCTCCTTCCCAGACGCTTGGACTGTGGAAGAAACGCCCGTGACTCATTAGTCGCCACTCTTTCCTTTGTGCTAACACAAATGCCATGCCACAGCCTTGGCACTGGGATTGCACGGGATTGGGTTTGGTACCCTAAAGGGGCCAGGGCCTGGGGATACAAGTCCAATCCTAAGGAGAAGGAGTGAGACAATAGCAGTGACTAGTGAGCTAGAAGGGAAATTGTCTGCAGAGGCCGGAAAGTGCAGTGGTTAAGGCTAACCCTCCAGAAGCAGGCTACCCAGATTTTCTATTCCAGCCCTACCTCTGACTAGCTGTGTGAACTGGTCAATTTATTTAACTTTCCATCCTTAAAGTAGACATAAAAATATACATAACTATATTGGTTATCTATTGCTTTATAACAATATTACTACAAACACAGAAACTTAAAACAACGCATATTCATTATCTTACAGTTTCTGTGGGTCAGGAGTCAGGCATGGCTCAGCTGGGTCTTCTGCAAGGCTGAAGTCAAGGTGTCTGCCGGGATTGGGGTCTCATCTGAGCCTTGACTGGCGAAAGATCCCCTTTCAAGCTCACTCAGGTTGTTAGCGGAATGTATCTCTGGAGGGCTTCATTTCTTTGTTGACTATTGGCTGAAAGCCACCCTTGGTTTTTTGCCAGGTGGGTCCCCAACGTGGCTACTTGCTTACTCAAAACTAGCCAGGGAGAGAGACACTCCAGCAAGTTGGACACGAGAATCTTATATAACGTAATCACATAATCACTCACCTATAATTACGTCACCTTTAATGTTTCTATTGATTAGAAGCAAATCACAGGTTCTGCCCACACTTGGGGGGGGGTACAATTATTAATATGAAGGTATGGATACCAGGAGTTGGGATCATGGGAACCGCCTTGAACGTCTGTCCACCACAATGCCTTATAGCAGCAGTCCCCAACCTTTTTGGCACCAGGGACCCGTTTCATGGAAGACAATTTTGCGTGTGTGTGTGTGTGTGTGTGT
Source organism: Homo sapiens (assembly GCF_000001405.40). Taxonomy (NCBI): domain Eukaryota; kingdom Metazoa; phylum Chordata; class Mammalia; order Primates; family Hominidae; genus Homo; species Homo sapiens. The sequence goes on along the minus strand of NC_000017.11, from coordinate 14,013,863 downwards.
GTGTGTGTGTGTGTGTGTGTGTGATGGAGTTTTGCTCCTGTCACCCAGGCTGGAGTGCAGTGGCACCATCTCAGCTCACTGCAACCTCCGCCTCCTGGGTTCAAGTGATTCTTCTGCCTCAGCCTCCCAAGTAGCTGGGATTATATAGGTGCCTACCACCATGCCTGGCTAATTTTTTGTATTTTTAGTAGAAACGGGGTTTTGCCATGTTGGCCAGGCAGGTCTCAAACTCCTGACCTTAGGTGATCTGCCTGCCTCGGCCTCCCAAAGTGCTGGGATTACAGGCGTGAGCCACTGCGCCCGGCCAGAAGACAATTTTTATGGGAGGCAGTGGAGGGGATGGTTTTGGGATGAAACTGTTCTACCTCAGATCATCAGGCACTGGATTCTCTTATGGAATGTACAACCTAGATCCCTCATATGTGCAGCTCACAGTAAGATTTGCGCTCCTATCAGAATCTAATGCCACCACTGATATGACAGGAGGCAGAGCTCAGGCTGTAATGCTCCCCTCCTGCTGTGTTGCCTGGTTCCCCACAGGCCACAAACTGGTACTGGTTTGTGGCTCAGGGCTTGAGGACCCCTTCCTTATAGGGTTATTGTGAGGAGCAAATGAGTTAATATCTTTAAAGCTCTTAGCAGAAGACTTTCACTCAGGAAGCACAGTAACTGTTGGTTGCAGTGGAGGTGGTGTTATTATTATCATCAGGAGAACACGATCCTAAGTTAGACTTGCTCTTGAAAAGTTTTCTACCAGTCTTTAGAGAACCTGGGATGATAAGCTTGAATTTAAACAAATACCTGCTATAGCTAACAAATTAAGTAATTTCAATAACATTTCTTACTTAATTTTATTTTCTATTAGTTGGGGGCTGCATGGTGAGTGATAAATGCACAGGGTTTGGAGTTTGAGGGGCTATGAATTTACAGACAGACAACAAATGTTGGCTGTCATTTTTATTTTTGATTATGCACCTCATTGGTTAAAAGTGTCTCATCATGTACTTTCAATGTGTACATCTTTATTTATATTGTTAAATGTGCAAAGTAAGAATGACAAAAGGTTGAGATAAATAAGAAATAAGCCACATTTTAGTGTCTTTCTAATCCTGAAGGCTTCAAACTATCATTAGCTCATATTTCAAGGTACTTTTGATGAAGTATGTCATCAACAATGGTGGGTATACATTCATATTGCAAATATAATTCAGTGTTGGAATAAGAATTGCTACAAAAAAAACCAGCAAAAAATATGAAGCTTTGAACATTTTTTGGTCAAATTTAATTAGTCCCATTCTTTTCCTTTCTCTGTTTTTCCCTTTCATAATGTGGCTGACAGAGAGATCAAATGGCAATGGGAGAATGGACAGATTAGCTATTGTTGCTTTGTGTCTACACTAAGGGTCTGATCTTCCATCTTTAGCATCTTTGCTTGAAGCCTTTTAAGCCATTGGTGTACTTGGTAGGGGTTAATTTAGGTTGGAATAGATTTTGCAGTCATTAAATTAATTTTATTGTTCCCACATAAACAGGGATACATCACAGTCTGCTTAAAGTTACTAGACGAGGGAGGATACCTCTTTAATCTGCCCCTCCAACTTTATGTTGTGGATGTGTGTATTGCATGTGACGTGTGCCACCTGACACGGATAGAGTGAGGGTGCTTGTGTAAAGCTGTATATTGAAAATTGGAAGAGTTTCATTTCCTATTTTTAAAAACAAAAATAAAAGTAATTCTAACATATTATCCCTGTATATCAGTGCATTACCTTCTATCTCCCTTGGGATATGTACACACAATTTGAAGACTCCTTTTATATATTAAACCACACAGGTTTGTTTTCTTCCAGACTGCTCTTTGGCTTCATGGATATGTGCCTGGGAATGTCTCCCGTGCCTGGCAGGTTGGTTGGGCTTGTTGCATGCTCACATCCTGCCAGCAAAAAAGCTGCCCCACAGAGCTGCCAAGTGGCTCAGAGCTCCCAACCTGAAAGTGGTTGCATTTCAGAAAAGTGTGCAAAGTTGGCAAATGTGTCCAGGCCAAGAGCTGTGAGGGACCTTCTCACATAGGCTTCCTGATAGAGTAAAACTGCTGACAGCACCAGAGCCTGCAGGGGCTCTTCTGTCATCCCTGTAAACAGGGTCACACTGGCCTGCTTTATCTCTCTGTGCAAAATGCAGATTTAATAGGAAGTGCCCTCAGAATCATTGCTGCTAGGTCGAGGCTCCAAAGGAATTAGGGATATAACAGTTTAATAACTCTAGAAAGAGCTTAGGTGCTTTGCTGTGTCGGGTATCTCTGAGTTAGCTACTGAAAAATGAACTTGGGACATTAAACCCTTTTATCACTCAGATAGAGCAATATGGGGAAAATCCATTCCTTGGCAGGGGATGAATTTACTGGCTTCTGAAGGGGGTGTGTGTTTGAATGTGATAGGGAAGGGAGCATTTGTCAGAGTGGAAGGTGGATCAAAAGACAAATGAATTCTTTCAGTTAAATAAGAGCTTTAAATTATCCCACTTTGAACTGCTTCAACCATCAGCAGAATGTACTACACTGAAATGCAGCCTGTCTTTCCAAGGTCTGTGGATGGCACGGTGGTCTCTCTCTGTTAATGCTACATGTTAAAGGAACAGGCAGTGTTAGGGCAGATGGCCAAGGCTGGGGAGGCAAGATAAATGTCTATTTAGTTGAGCAATAGAGTCGCTTTTGCTAACCTATTCACCTAGAAGCCTGCAGAAAATAAGAGATTTAGACACGACTGGCTCCCCACATATTGGGTGGGCTAGAAGTCTTCCCTCCAGACTGAGGATGGATAAATCAGGTTAGCTTAGCCCATGGTTTCTAAATTCTGGTGCATGGAGTCCTGTCAGGGTTTACCTTCTGTAAAGATTGAAGAGTGGCCACAGATTCTACCCATTCTTCTGTTCACAGCCTTGCATTGTGCCGTTGCAGCTCCCCTCATAGGTGGGTGAAGATGTTTCTCTACTGTCTAAATCTTTTTTGGGCATGTGACTTGCCTTGGCCAGTGGGACATTAGCAATCACAAGGAAAGCAAAAGCTTAAAAAGCATTTGTGCATTGAGGCTTGCCCTTTGGATGTTCTTAGAAACCCCTGCCTACCCCTCATGAAAAGAATCCCAGGCTCATCTACAGAATGATGAGAGACAGGGGCCCAGGTGTCCCTGTCATCTCAGAGAGCCAAACCCTGTAAGTAGGTGATGGGCTGACTGCAGATGCAGGAATAACCCCTGAGATCTGCAGAAGAACTGGCTAGCTGAGCCCAGCCCAAATTTCTGACTTCCAGAATTATAAACTAAACAAATGGCTACTGTCTTAAGTCAATAGTTTGAAACATTGGTGTTATGTATCAAAAATTTCAGGCAGAAAAGGAGAGAAAGCACTTTTAGGAAGAAAAGAACTAAAGGAGAAATCTCCAAATTTGTTTTCACATAGAGCATCTCTGATTTGTTTACTCTTTCATTTAAGTTGTTGTTTGAATGAAGTGTTTTGGGGGTATTGATGGTAGGGGGAGTCTTTCTCTGGCTTAGTCTACAGCATCCTAGAACATTCTTGTTGCTGGCAAATGAGTCCTGAGTCACCAGTTCTGAAACTGCTGCATATGGCTTTATAGTTTGGAAATTTGGAAAGAGTTTTTAGGGATGACTAATCTGTCCCCTAGTTATTCTTTTGTCATTCAAAGTGCCACATATCCAGGCATTTCAGTTTAGCATTAGTTCCCACTGGGAAAAACAGGAGGAAGTCAGTTGTAGATTTGTTGTAAGCTATTTAAATGAGCAGACATTTGGCTTTGCTCACTAAAAGGGAAGCTTTTGTCTTTACATTCTAGAAATTAATTATCCCCACAATCATATCACGCTGCTGCTAATGCCATAAGACAGGATTTGCACTTGAGGAGGAAGTGGGAGTTAGACTTATTTTTGGAAGAAATGAACCAAAAGAAAGGTACAACCTTATAGGCCTCTAGATAAGACATAAAGAAATTCAGTCTTTGTATAATTTCTTGCTGCATAGGCATGTCGTGATTCCATTAGCCTTTTAAATTACTATGAAATTATCTATGCACACTAAACATGAGTAGCATTTTTTCTGTCTTCCATTATTCCTTCTTTTTCTAACAGTGTCCTGTTTTTCCTTTGTGTTACGATCTTCCTTCAGTTGCAGACAGTCTTAGTGGAGCTGTAGTTCCAGGTGCCCTTCCATCCCTGGGGAAGGTTAGCATATCATCTGAGCTCAGCCAATTAGATGCTCTCACCTAAGAATTTGAAAGCTAAACAAATAATACAAAGACAGAATACATGGTTGTGGCTGATTCACACAATTGGAAGTGGTCTAAAGAGCCTGTCACTATGGTTCTTTATCTGTATGCCCAGGGTTGACTTTGGTCTTGTTCTCTTCAAGGTAGATTTCCTTTAATTCTGTAAGCTACTCTGTACCCTCCCAATTAATTCCTTTTTTGTTAACATTAACCAGAGTTGAGTTTGTTGGCTGAAACTAAAGAACATGGTTGGCATACTTTTCTTAGCCAACACTAGCACCTGTGGTAGTCATAAGTAATCTGGTCCTTCACTCCACCTGGACATGTGGTCAAAAGGTAACTTCCTGCCATCTTTCAAGATTGGTGTGGCTCATGAAAACTGAGTGGAAGTGTCACTTTCAGGCAGGAGTTTTAAGAGCCAGTGCAAGGTAGACCTCATTCTCTTGCTCCTGGCATGGTGGCTATGGATAAATGTAATAAGAGCCTCCATCAGCCTCAATCCCTGAGGAATTCTCATGAGCAAAACTCTCTGCTCCTCCTCCCTTTATACAGATTGGGCATATAAAGTGAATGATAAAATAGCCTTTGTTAAGACGAGCCACTGGGATTTTGGAATTGTGTGTTACCACAGTATAAACTGTCCTATCTTGAATCATAAAACCACCCTACGTGGACAAGGCCACATCCATATTAATAACTCATCATGCAACCTACCCTTGTAAGTCTCTACTTGTTTTGCCTGATCCCCATTCTGGCAAGAATGAATGGCACCTCTAAGAGTGTTATAAACATAATATCATTCATTCATTCTATAAATATACATTGAGTGTCCAACATTGATTTTTTAATCACTTTGAGTTCTTTGAGAAATTTTAAGGAATGTAACGTAAAATCTCAGTGAACAAATAATCGAATTGGGGAAATAAGATTAATATGAATTAATATCAAACAAAGGCAACAATATAAGAAGTACGAGCCTGGGCAAGGTGGCTCATGCCTGTAATCTCAGCACTTTGGGAGGCCGAGGTGGGTGGAGCCCAGGAATTCCAGGTCAGCCCAGGCAACATGGCAAAATCCCATCTTTACAAAAAATACAAAAATTAGCCAGGTGTGGTGGTATGTGCCTGTGGTCCCAGCTACTCAGGAGGCTGAGCCAGGAATATCACTTGAGAGGTGGAGGTTGCCGTACACCATGATTGAGCCACCGCACTCCAGACTAGGTGACAATGGGACCCTGTCTCAAATAAATAAATAAATAAATAAATAAATAAATAAATACTGCAGGGAATCTATAAATGCCTATTTAAATGGTAGGGTCAAAAAGCTGAGATTCAAGATGGAACAGATAATTTTACTGAAGGGCAGCCTTTTCAATAAGACAGAGATTTAGCTGGGTCTGAAAGTTTGGATTGAAACGGAAAAAAAAGGACTTTGCACAGAGAGGAGACACATAAGCAAATTTACAGACTGAGCAAAACAAATTTAGGAAATTAATCTGATTCAAGTGGAAGTAGTAGTAAAAGATAAAACTGGAAACGTAGAGCTGGATTGGAGAGAACCTAGAGGGAGTTTAGAAAATTTCCTTGGGTGATGTGGAGTTGCTCTGTTGGCATGAAACATTGATTAGAGGGAGTAATAATGAGATAAATATGAGAGTTTGGAAGATGAATCTGGAGGAAATATTGAAGGGAGCAAGGGACTGGTTGCAGGGAAACTAGCTGGGTGGCTATTGTGGTAAACTGAGGATGACATATTGAGGATCTAGAATCATCAGGTAGTAGACAGAATGATTAAAAAGAAATGCACAGGCCAGGCGCGGTGGCTCACTCTTATAATCCTAGCACTTTGGGAGGCTGAGGTTGGCAGATCACGAGGTCAGGAGATCGAGACCTTCCTGACCAACATGGTGAAACCCCGTCTCTACTAAAAATAAAAACATTAGCCAGGCGTGGTGGTGCACACCTGTAGTCCTAGCTACTCAGGAGGCTGAGGCACGAGAATTGCTTGAACCCAGTAGGTAGAGGTTGCAGTGAGCCAGGATCATGACACTGCACTCCAGCCTGGGTGACAGAGCAAGACTCTGTCTCAATAAAATAAAATAAAATAAAATAAAATAAAATAAGATAAGATAAAATAAAATAAAATAAAAATAAAATAAAATAAAATAAAGAAATGCATAATACAAAATACAAAAAAAGGAATTCAAGAAAATTTGGTAACTGACGTTGTAAAAAGAGAACAAAAAGAAAGTGTTAACAGGATTCTGGAATTATAATTCTAGAGGATGGAAAGAACAGCATCCTCAGCAGAAATAAGGAAGACTGGGGGAGTGGGGAATATGAAGACAAAATCGGTGTTACATAGGATGATTAACTGACGAACATGCTGGTAGACTCTAGGACATACATGTGATGCTTCCTTACCAGACAATCCTGCCTAAATGTGCTACATTCCATTTTAGTTCATGATGACACCATTTATAAGGCTTCAGATGAAACCTCCAAGTGATCTCCACTTCAGTTCTTATTTCTCTCCTTGCAAGTAGTTACCCACAGTTGCTAATTCTACAACTGCAAGGGATTCCATGTTCCTTCCTGTATTTTCATTCTCGGCTTATTCCCCATTTCTGGCCCTCCCTATGCCTTGCCTCAGTGGAAACAATGGCTTTGTGGTGTTTCCCTGCCTGTAGACCTCCTTACTTTTTTAGATCACTATGACTTGTCTTCATAAAGTGCAGCCCAACTAACTGCACACCCCATGTGGCCACTCCTCACACTAAATAAAACATGAGCTTTGTTTGTTTTTGTTTTGTTCTTTTGGCATAGAATTTGGGTCACTCTGACCTCAAACCTCCATGGACTCTAAACTCAGAACCAGTGGCCTGCTTTAGAGGCCACACACTCAGATGACTTCAATGGTCAAACAAATGACATGCACAAGGGTAGCCGATGAACTTTAATATTATAGAGATCAGTGGGGCCAATGAAAAATTAGAGAAAGTAAGACCCTATTTTAAAGGCATTCACATTTAAGTTTTTAAGAAAAAGGCACTGGGTGGAACAAACAAGCCTTCCTGTTACCCCCTTCTCCCAACACCTGGGTGCAAACCAGCAGTGAACTACCTGCAGTGAGCTTGGTGTTTCCTGCCCAAGGCCTGTACTCTCAGACAGGTTACTCAGGCTATTTCCTCATGTTGGAAGGTTTCTCTTCCAAAATTCTTCTCCCTGATGCTTAGTTCCTCTTTCCTCTGCTCTTGAAGAATACATTTGCTGGGATCCCTGTTTTTCATCTTTATTTTATTTTCCCTGGTGGATTAGTTCATTGTTTGCTTCCTTGTCTTCACTGGACATGCCTCAAGAAGATGTTATACTTCCCAAGATCAAGGAGCACACGCCATCACTCTCTGGCAAAATGTCAGCACTCAGCAAGTGATCAATAAATAGGTGTGGAGTTGACTCTCATTCACTTAATTTCATGCACCTTTAATCAGCTCTTTAATCATTGGCTTTCAGTTGATGAGTCCATGACTTCACTCAGATGATCAGATGCAGAGAAAACCTCATGGTTCTTTTCATGCTAAACCGCACAATCAGCTACTTCATTCAGGTCTCTCTTTTTTTTTTTTTTTTTTTTGAGATGGATTCTCACTCTATTGCCCAGGCTGGAGTGCAATGGTGTGATCTTGGCTCAGTGTGACCTCTGCCTCCCAGGTTCAAGTGATTCTTCCGCCTCAGCCTCCCAAGTAGCTGGGATTACAGGTGCGCACTACCATGACTGGATAATTTTTGTATTTTTAGTAGAGACAAGGTTTCACCTTGTTGGCCAGGCTGGTCTCGAACTCCTGACCTCATGATCCACCTGCTTCAGCCTCCCAAAGTGCTGGGATTACAGGTGTGAGCCACTATGCCCAGCTTCATTCAGGCCTCTTGCCCTCTGGTATAAACTTCCCCTTTTTCCTCTAAAATGGCCCTGTCTGATATCAGCCCTGGACTTGTCATATTTTTCCATGTGGCAGAGAAGGAATAAAGAGAGTCCCATATCCAGGTGCACCTGGCCTGGTTTCATCTACTCTCCTTGGCAGTCCTACTGCTCGTCATTCATGAATTTCCCCAAGTCATTTTCCCATGGTAATTTTTTCAGATTTCCCCTTTGATTTAAGTGCCACACCCAACCCTTAAGCTGATGACAAGTCTCTTACTGTATAGAGATCAAGACCAGAGTTCCTTCTTAGTCTCACCACATTCCTGATTTTTTGTTTCTTCTCTTGTACTTCTCTAAAATCTCAGATGAACAGAAACCTCTTCTTGGCAGACAAAACAAATCTTCCAGCTTTGAACCAGCTCCTAGAAGCAGTTGTAATGCTGAGTTCATTTCAAAGCTAATGGCCAATCTTCTCATAAAATGCTATCTTCCTCTGACACCTAGCTGGTTGACAACATCTTTTGTATTGTTGATGTCTTGGGTCCTGTCTGGGCTTGAGCCCTGAGTTATCTGGTTAACCTTCATATTGAATAGATTCTAATCTTGACAATTTGGTGCCAACAGCTTGATCTCCAGCTTTAGATTTAGATGCCAGTTCTCTTTATGGGAATTATCTGTTCCTTGATGGTATGAAAGAAATTGCTCATAACATACTCTGGGCTGTTTGGGGGTTGCGGAGGGGAAGGTCTTTGAGGTCTTCAAATTTGTTATATTGTCTTCTATACAGATTTCTCTAATAATTAAGAAATCAAATCTGAGTCTATGGTTTTATATCATTTTTATTTTTAATATTTGTGTGTGTGTGTGTGTGTTCATTTCTTGTTATCAACGTGTCTTGAACTTCTTTGGTTATCACAATCAACAAGAGTCATCTGTTAAAAATGCATTTCCAGGCATTCTGGGGATTGTGATTCTATCTTTTCATAGTAGTTTTACAAACAGTGAAAGATAATACTTATGATTATGTCCTCTTGGAAACTGCTTCTCTTATCTTCAGTCACAGGTTTTTCTCTTACAAGGGTTCTCAATCTTGAGTGCCATTAAGAATCACCAGTATAACCTGTTAACACTGATTGTTGGGCCTCACCTCCGGAGTTCTAATTCAATGGGTCTGGGGTGGGACTCAAGAATTTTCATTTCCAACCAGTTCCCAGGTGATGCTGAGCTAGTCCTAGGAGCACACGTTGAGGACCTCTGGTCTGCTGCAATGATTCCCAACTATGACTGAACATTGGGAATGGCTGGGGTGTTTTTCAATATCACCACTGCTCAGTTTCAACACAGAGCTTTAAATTTAACTGGTCTAGGGTGGGCCCAGGCACAAGTATTTCTTTTTAAAGTACTCTAATGTTTTAATGTTTAGCTAGGGTTGAGAAGCACTAGGAGCTGGCAAACTAAAGCCAGTTGGCCAAATCTGGGTTACGGCCTGTTTTTGTATGGTCTAGGAGCTAAGAATGGCTAAGAATGGTTTTTACATGTTTTTTTGAGTTGTAAACAACCAAATAATATAATGTGACAGACATTAATATATGACACAAACAATAATACATGACAGAGATCCTATAATATTTACTAGTTGGCCCTTTACAGAAAACTTTTGTCCTCCTCTACATTGTATTGATATTTCTGAGAACCATCATCTGAATTTAATTATCAACTTTTCTCTCTCTCACTCTCTGTTCTCTAACTCAATAGTGTCTGCTTTTATTATTTTGGGGTTTATTATTTTCTTCTTGCTTTCCTGATTTGTGCCATTACTCCTTTTTCCTAATTCCCTTAAGTAACTACATAGTTTATTTTCATTTCATAGTTTTACAAGGAAAGAATGTAAATAAGGAATTATTTATAAGAAAATAAGGAAAGCATGTAAGGATTAGAAATTTTTCTCTGAGCAGTGCCAGAAACCCCAGAAAAGCTTAATATGCAGTGTTCGTATTAGATTTATTTTCTAATATTTTGTCATCATATCTTTGATTTTGCCCTTTGACCCAAGGGGTTTAATAAAGAGTTCCCCCCTCACATTTTCAGGTGATGTTAAAATATTTTTATTAAAAACATTGGGTTTTATGCTATTGTAAACAGAAAACAGAGCCTGTCTCATGTTTACATTTGAAAAATCTGAGACTTTATTTATTGAAGGATGGCTCTAATACATGATCAATATTCGTACATCCTTAATAAAAGTTTAGCTACTAATTTTCAGCATTTGACAAACGGTTAATTCAACCTTATTGATCATATTATTAAACTACTCTATAATCTTGTTTTTGGCCTACTTAATCTGTGTCATTAACTTATAGAAGTATGTTAAATTTTCTCAAGATGATTGTCATTGTCACTTTCTGTTTAATGCTATGTTTCAATGCTATGTTATGGTACATAAAGATTTATATCCGTGTCTTTACTGTAGGTTGCATTCTTTATCAACAAAATATGACTCTTCTACATTTAATATCTTTTCTTTTCTGTTTTTTTTTTTTTTTTGTTGTTGTTGTTGTTGTTGTTTTGAGTCAGAGTGTTGCCCTGTTGCCCAGGCTGGAGTGCGGTGGTGTGATCTCGGCTCACTGCAACCTCCGCCTCCCGGGTTCAAGCAATTCTCCTGCCTCAGCCTCCCTAGTAGCTGAGATTACAGACATACACCACCACGCCTGGCTAATTTTTGTATTTTTAGTAGAGACGGAGTTTCGCCATGTTGGCCAGGCTGGTGTCCAGCTCCTGACCTCAAGTGATCTGCCTGCCTTGGCCTCCCAAAGTACATTTAATGTTTTTTACTTGAATTATACTTTTCCTGAAATTATTACATTCTCTACTTTCTTTTTGTTTCTATTCTTCATATACCTTTTTCTATACTTTTATTATCAACCATTCTGGATTTCTTTAAGCATAAATTATGTTTTTTTTTTCTTTCTGAGGCACTATTTACAAACAGTAAGAAAATCACCCTTTGAGGTATATGATCCTGCAAATTTTGACAAATTCAGTTTGTGGCACTACTACCATAGTCACCATATAGGATATTTTTTAGGTAAGGAGTAATATAACAAATTATAGATATAAAATATTTCTTGATTAAAGAGTGATTATTCTTCAAATAATGGAGCTTTTATTTTCACTTAAATTCACAACTAAATTGTCTGGTCTTATCTCTGTCACCCTATGTGCTTTCTGTTTCATATACTTTCTTGCTAGTTATTTTGTTTTATATTGTTTCAACTAGAGTAGCCTCCATTTCCTTCATGGCCCACTCTTGCGTCTCTAAGTTATGGAATGTTCTAATAGAGTGGTTCTGTTGGGATTGTCATTACTCAGTTGTAGATGATCACACCATTTCTCAGAAGGCGAAGTTGTGCATTGCCTACAGTCACCTCATTTATTCTATTCTCTTCTATTCTACGTTGAGTATAAATTCTATGAAGTATGAAGCAGATAACAGCAAGCTTTCTGAAGTCTGGCATTGATAAAATATTCCTCCTATTTTGCTATTCCTCCATCCTTTTTGATCACTTTCCAGAGGTTAGGTTGGATTCTCTTTGCCATGTCACCGTCTTTCCTGAAACTCTTCTATTTGCCTTTAGGATGTTCTTAAATATATGATGTCTTCTATATCAAAATGCTTTTTGCTGCAAAAGAAATTCCCATCAACAATGATTTAGGAAAATAGGGTGTGTTTTCTCATACAGCAAGAAGTCTGGAGGTACATGACTGCCAGCATTGGTTCAGCTGCTCAGTGAAGTCAAACCAGAAACTCTGCCATTTCTTTTCCCTCTTCTTCATGATCACAAGGTCGCTACCCCAAATGTAGGTATCATATCCAGAATCCACAAGACAGGCAGGAAGAAGGAAAAAGAAGAGGTTTGCAGGCACATTGGCTCCCAATATTGGGAAGAGTAAAAGCTTTCCCAGAAGTCCCCAGCAAACTTTGTATTCCATCTCATTGATCAAGCTGGTATCTCCTGGCAGCTACTAGCTGCAGAGGGGGCTGGAACAGTGAGTATAGCATTTCTTTCCCTTCTAGAGCAGAGATGAACAAAGATGGAAGGAACCGAGACCAGGTGTAGAAACACACAAATGAAAGTGTCTGCCACTTCCCATGGCATCTTGTAGAGATTGCTACTGCTCTGTGGTTTCACTAACATAGAGATATTATGTATACTGTTATAATTAAATATCAAATAGGCACAATGCCAATAATATCCCAATATGGTAACCGTAATATAGATATTATAAATATTAGACATGATGATGATACAGATTGTAATCACTAGAGAAGATTGTAAGCAAAGATGGGTGTTAAACTGAGTTAGAGCAGTCTTCAAAATATACAATGCAATCCCAGTTCTGTAGAATTTACAATCTATGGAGAAGTAAGTCTAGCACCTGAGACAAGAGTGAGCAGGGAGACACACAAGCTCTGAAACCAGAGGGGACAGAGGAGGTATTATAGAAATTAAGAGGGGAGAGAATTAAGGATTAAGTAGGTGTGTTAGGCAGTTCTTACATTACTATAAAGAAATATCGGAGGCTGGCTAATTTATAAAGAAAAAAAGTTTAGTTGGGTCACAGTTCTGCAGCTGTACAGGAAGCATGATGCTGGCATCTGCTTGGCTTCTGGGGAGGCCTCAGGAAGCTTACAACCCTAGGGGAAGGTGAAAGAGGAGCAGGTGTCTCATATGGTCAGAGTGGGAGCACGAGAAAGGTGGGGGAGGGGAGGTGTTACTCACTTTTACTCAATCACATCTCACAAGAACTCACTCACTATCCCAAGGACAGAATCAAGCCATGAAGGATCCACTCCCATAACCCAAACCCTTCCCACCGGGCCCCACCTGCAACATTGGGGATCAAATTTCAACATGAGATTTGTTTTTTCTTTTGAGACAGAGTCACACTGTGTCACCCAGGCTGAAGTACAGTGGCCTGATCACAGCTCATTGCAGCCTTGACCTCTTGGGCTCAGGTGATCCTCCCACTTCAGCCTCTGGGGTAACTGGGACTACAGGTGTGCACCCCCATGCCTGACTAACTTTTTGTATGTTTTGTAAAGATGAGGTTTTGCCATGTTGCTCAGATTGGTCTTGACTTTGGCTCAAGTGATCCACCTGCCTTAGCCTCCCAAAGTGCTGGATCATACACATGAGCCTCTGTACCGACCTCAACATGAAATTTTGAGGGGAGAATATCCAAACGATGTCAGTACGGGTTAGAGTCCTAAAAGAAGGATCCATGGTAGAAGTGGTTTTTAGACAGAAACTTGAGAATTGAGTAGCATTCAGAGGGGGAGAGATGGTGACTCTCTGGGAAGGCACGTGTGGAAGGGGCGAAACTTAGTTTACACAATCAAGTGTGCAATAAATGCAATTTTGTTTTTCTATAACCTGATTTATTTCAATATCTACTACCTGGCTATTGGAAAGATAATGCTTGTCATTTCTGGAAATTTTCTTCCTGTTTCTTGGGGTTCCATTGATGTTCTAGGGACATCATGCCCTTGATGTCATCTTGCTACACAGCATTTGCTGAGATTGTTTCTTTCTTTCTTTTTTTTTTTTGAGATGGAGTCTTGCTCTGTCACCTGAGCTGGAGCGCAGTGGCACGATCTTGGCTCACTGCAACCTCCGCCTCCCGGGTTCAAGTGATTCTCTTGCCTTAGCCTCCTGAGTAGCTGGAATTACAGGTGCCCGCCACTACGCCCAGCTAATTTTTTGTATTTTTAGTAGAGACGGGGTTTCACCATGTTGGCAAGGCTGGTCTCGAACTCCTGACCTTATGATTCGCCTGCCTTGGCCTCCCAAAATGTTGGCATTACAGGCGTGAGCCACCACTCCCGGCCTGAGATTGTTTCCTGTTTCTCTTGTGAGGCCCTTTCTGGTGCAATAGCCATTTCTACAGTGTCTATGCCACTCCTGGGTGTGTGTGACGCATTTTGCATCTCTGTAACTAAGGCAGGTTCTGGGAAAGTCTACAAGACTGTATACAACTCATGTACCTTGACATACCACGCTGCCTTCTCTTCTCTGGTGATTTGCTGCCTCCATGGGGCCCTTCCCAGAAAAGGAGGCACAAAATACCTTTGCTCTTTCATTGCCCCATCTTTATGGAGATTTGGCTTCGCTGGGATTTGCTGGGGTGCATTTATTTTTCTACACAGTCTGAAATTCAATATAGGGTCAAACATTCCAACAAACAACCAAAGAGATACATTACATGTTTTATAAGAAAACGTTTTAATATAAAAAGTATCAATTATACAGAGAAGTGAAGAGGATAGTAATGAAATCCTATGTCCCCATCACCCAAGATCTACTGTTGATGACGTCTTTCCATTCTTAACAAATGCTTAAGTCTTTTCCTTCAGAGAAGAGAAACTGTCCTGCAGCAAGAACTAACTTTTGTTTCTTTGTTGTGAAATTTTAGTGAAATTTGGCCTTTGTGTCTAGGCACAGAAGTCAATTGAACTGAAATAATTTTTAAGAAGGTTAATTTCAGACAAGTCTACAATTTCATTTTCCTGACATTAACCCACTGCTTAATGCTGAGCTTCCTGCTTTTCCTGCTTGTCTACACAGGGGCTATAGACATAGCTATTTTCCCTCAGTGTCCTGCTCTATAAAATGCTTGTAATGAGACCTGGCTCTGAGGCAGACCAGGTAGCATTCCCCTGCAGCAGGACTCCTCAGAGACCATTATGTATAATCACAGAGTGTCACAGGCATGACATGAATGATTATGCAAAACTCTACGCCCAATTTCCAAGTGGCTCCACAATTTGACAAAATGATGTGGCCATTTGTGAAATGCAAGCAAATGGGAGGAAATGGAGGGTATAGGATTTCTGCAGAAGTGAGAGACTCATCCAACAGCAAGAGCTCTTCCATTTGACAAATAAAAAGCAGAAATTTTTACCCTGAATGAACCAGCCTTATAAAGTATGAGTTTATGCCTAGCCCTGTCACTGGGGAGCATTTTGGATCAGTTTGTTTTTTTTTTTTTTTTTTTTTTTGAGACAGAGTCTCGCTCTGTCACCCAGGCTGTAGTGCAGTGGCGTGATCTCAGCTCACTGCAGCCTCTGCCTCCCGGGTTCAAGCAATTCTCCTGCCTCAGCCTCCAGAGTAGCTGGGATTACAGGCGCATGCCACCATGCCTGGATAATTTTTTTGTGTTTTAGTAGAGACAGGGTTTCACCGTGTTGCCCAGGCTGGTCTTGAACTCCTGAGCTCAGGCAATCCACCCACCTCGGCCTCCCAAAGTGCTAGGATTACAGGAGTGAGCCACCCCACCTGGCCTTTGGATTAGTTTTAACTATTTGTGGCACAGCCAATGGGGACTCCTTAAGGTGGAATGAAATTGTGACTGTCCCCCACTCTCATGGGAAGTAGTTCAAGGGGGGATACGTCCACTCCTAGGCTTCCCAGTGGCTGACCACAAAGAGGACATGCATGCCTGGCCATGGCTCATGCTACATGGCAGGCATCCTCAGGGCTCCATCTTAATGGGAAGAGTATGATTTTATTCCCGGGTTCAGACCTATGAGTAATTCTAAGGGAGGGCTCTAGAAGGAAAACAGAGCATCCGGATTTAGCCAACATTTACTGGATCCCCTGTTTTAAGCTACTTTCAATGCACGCTCAAGAAGATGGGTACTCTGTGGTGTGCAGGAACAAAGTCAGGAGAATTGTATTCCTTACCACAGCCCTGTCACTCACCCAGGTGTGTCAGGAAGGGATAATTTGGTAGGGTAAAGTCTAGACTGGTAGTTGTTGTACTGGTGATTAAGCAGCTCTGTGACTCTGACACATTACTGAGCTTCTCTGGGGCTTAGTTTTCTTAATTATAAAATAAGAACACAGCCAGGTATGGTGGCTTACGCCTGTAATCCCAGCACTTTGGGAGGCCGAGGTGGGTGGATCACAAGGTCAAGAGATCAAGACCATCCTGGCCAACATGGTGAAAGTCCATCTCTACTAAAAATATGAAACTTAGCTGGGCCTGGTGGCGGGCTCCTGTAATCCCAGCTACTCTGGAGGCTGAGACAGGAGAATCGCTTGAACCCAGGAGGTGGAGGTTGCAGTGAGCTGAGATCGTGCCACTGCACTCCAGCCTGGTGACAGAGCAAGAATCTGTCTCAAACAAACAAACAAAATAACAAAAAAGAACACTGGAACGGACAATATTGCTCCCATCCTTCTGAGATTTAAAATTTTAGCATTCTGTGTTTCTAGACTATATAGTACACCATCTCTTTTCTCAACACTACTACAGAGGAGTTCCTAGGTAGGGCTCCTACTTCTGTGTGTAGTGACATGGATTCCAATTTAAAAGGTAAAAACAGGTACAGCAAACCACCATGGCACATGTATACCTATGTCACAAACCTGCACATTCTGCACACGTATCCTGGAACTTAAAGTAAAATTAAAACATAAACATAAATAAAAATAAATAAAAGGTAAAAACGAGAAGAAAAACCACACAGAAAGGAATTCTCCTGGAGTTTGCACATAGCCCCTTCCCTTTCTCATGTGCCCCAAGTTTGATCTGACAGTGGAAATAGTGACAGTTTGGAATTCCCACTGTTGACCCCTCAGTAGCTCTTCAGGGAGCAGAGGTTCGCCAAGGTTAAGTGTCTTGCTCAGAGTCATAGCTGCTGAGTGGCAGAGTTATGAGTACACAGCAGGGAAGAGATGAGCACACACGTGGGAAGATTTCTATGGAATGTGACCCACAGTTGTCTCTTCCTCTAAGCAAGAAGCAAACCCCTCCTCAATGACTGACAGAATGATTTGGCTTGATAAAACTCATCCGCCACTGTGTAGACAGGGTCTACTCCTCAACCAATTCATTCCCACCCTCCCAACTCACCATCTCTGTCTCCAGTTTTCTCTTTATGGTATTGGGAGGTAGTGGGGATAGGAGAAGGGTGAACACATCCCCTGCCTTTGCCTGTTTGAAGTCCAAGGTGCGACATGGCCCTCTAATTAAATGCACCCGCCCATGTGGGAGACAGGATTGGAGACTGCTTTCCCAGTCCTCTAAATGTTCCTGTAAAGCTCTAACTATAGGGAACAAAATGCGGTTTCTTTTTCAGTTGTGACTGGGAGGCTGGTAGTTGTGTTCAGTGGAGTGTGGTTTTAATTAATCTTCAGCATTTGAACTTTAGCCAGCCTAACAGGGACTCCTCAAACCAGAGTTGGTTGTCTGTAGATGCTGGGCAGTTTTCGGGTGCTTGACATGTGCTGTCGGTTTTCAAGTTGTGTCTCTTTTGTCTTCTATAAATGTCACTGGCGGGGGTGGGGAAGAGTAGGGAAAGCAAGTGACTTGATAACGTCTTTAGAAACCAAGTAATGAGCCATTAGGAGGACTAACAATAAATAAATGCATTTTCCATCCAGTGTCTCTGTGGCAATCCAGAGAAGCACATGACTAGGAAAATGTAATGAAAGCAATTGTAACTCTTTCGGTAGAGAGGTAATTACAGTCCATGGCTGCCTGACTGATGAAAATTACACTGCTTATAATAAATTGCCACACAGCTAAGTCTTTTCTGAAGTCCTTAGTATGATTTGTGTTTGTGCACTTACTTAAAACATCAGGGAACAATTTATAAACATGAGCCTTTTTGGACACTGCCAGGATCGGCATTTACGATTAGAGAGCCTGTTTAAGGTTTCCTGATTTATAGGGGATAGATCATATTTTCCCCGACACTCTCATGGTCAATTACAGACCTGCATGGTGCATTTGGTAACTTAAAAGCAAATTTAATCATCCTTTTTTTTTTTTTTAATCTGTGAGCATGCCAAGTCAAAAAAACATTTTCTCTGAGACTGGAGGAGAAAGATGTTTCAAAGACAACTTACTACTGATGCGGGCAGGAAGCAATATCAAGCCTTGTTTTGTCTTCTTCTAATATAAACATTAGGAACTTCCTTATGGAAATAAAGGGACCTGGGCTGAGTACCTGAGTGCCCAAGCCCTTGTCAGAGGAAAGTTCAAAAAGGTCAAATGTGTTTAATGTCATTGCTTCTCAGACCACAAGAATCAGTATGGTGCATCAGAAAAAGCGCTTGACTACAAGTCACAGAGAACAGATTCTAAGCTTACTGGTGCAATTAACTAGCCCTGCGATCACAGACAAATCCGTAAGTTTTTCTGCGTTCCAGTTTTCTCATCTTCCTTTTCTTTTTGTTCTGTTTTATACAGGGAACAGAGGAGAAAGTTCAGAAAAGGAATATGAGGTATTTTCTTTTTTTTTTCTTTTCTTTTTTTTTTTTTTTTTTTTAGATAGGATCTCGCTCTGTCACCCAGGCTGGAGTGCAGTGGCACGATTATAGCTTACTGCAGCTTCAATCTCCTGGGCTCAAGCAGCCCTCCCACCTCAGCCTCCTGAGGAGCTGGGACTGTAGGAGCATGCCACCATGCCCAGCTAAGTTATTTTCTTCCTATTTTTTTTTTTTCTGGTAGAGGCAGAGTCTCACTATGTTGCCCAGGCTGGTCTTGAACTCTTGGGCTCAAGCAACCCTCCTGCCTTGGCCTCCCAAAGTGCTGGGGTTATAGGCCTGAGACACCGTGCCTGGCCAGTTTTCTCATCTTTTAAATGAGGGTTGGACTATTTGGGATCTCCATCCTTTTGGACAATAGGTCAATGACTCTGCCCCAGCTCAGGCTACTTAACCCTAGCTGAATGTTAATAACATGTATTAAAAATACTCAAGCCTTACTCCAGATGAGATAAATCAGAAGATATGGGGTGGGTGTTGGTGCTTTTATATTAAAAGAATTAGCAACACTACTCAGATGATTTTAATGAGCAGCTGGAGTTGAGAGCTCTGCTCTGTACCTTTTACATTTCTGAAGCCCAGATGGCTAGAACCAGTAGAAGAAAAGCCACAAGAGCAGGTTGTGGTTGTTCTTCCTCAGAGGTCCTAAGAACTGAATCAGCTCCTGCCATCCTATCTGAAACAAGACCTGAGTCCACTGCTGCCTATACTCGGCCTTCTTTCCTCTTGGAACACTGGAAAAGGGAAGCAAATGGAGGGGGTTGGTAGAGACAAGCCTCCTAGGATGGGCTCTGTGTGGCTGTGCCATTTAAACTGTTTTTCACTGAAGCCACTGGAAGAGGAGTCTTAACATTCCATATTTCAGAGTTTCAGAACCCCCCGTGAAAACCAGACAGGCCAGGGGCTGAGCTGGGTAGAGCCACTGAGCATTCAGCAGCAGTGATTTCTCTGCCCACGCCTTTCTTCCTGGGGATGCTGACGGAGGTGATAAGGTGCTGGGCTGGACCCCGCTTATCCTGGCTCCCACGAGTCCACGGTGTACATATTTTTCTAACACTGCCTTTAGAGGCATTGCCTTGGTAGCTTGAACTTGGCCAGGGGAGGAGCATTTACACAACAGAAATTGGCAAATGTTACAAATCAGCACCTCCCTGCTCCCTACCTTCCAACTGGCTGTTAAACATTGATCAGCACACCACTGAATTGAAGTATTTAGATGATCCTCTCCTGCTTTGACTTCTGAGACCTTCTTATATATATGGAGAACAATAGTGTCAATACTTACATATTAGCTTTACCTCTGCTGGCAGGCTGTTACACATTGGGAAGGCAGCAGAGTATGTTTCATACGTGTTGAACTGTGTAAAGTTACCTGAGAGAGTGGGGTTAACCTCAAAAGAAATAGAAAACATGGCCTGTTCCATGGATGACTTCAGTCTTATTGGGAGATCTAACATTCATTGCTGAAACCAAGAGCAGTGATTGTCCAAGTATGGTCCCTGGACCAGCAGCATCTCTTGGGAACTTGTTAGAAATGCAAATTCTTGGGCCCCCACCCTAGATCTATTGAATCAAAAACTCCCAGGGAGGGGCTCAGCAGTCTATTTTTAACAAAGGTATTCAAGTGATTTTGATGCAAGCTAAAGTTTTGAGAACCACTGATCTGAAGAAAGTCATAAGAGAGAAGAAAATGATGTACTGTAAAAATGCTACAATGTCAGAGATAAATAGTTGGGGCACAGTCCACGTGGCCCACAAAGTCTAAAATATTTACTGTCTGCCCTAAACAGAAAACGTTTGCCAACCCCTGCTCTTGGCCATTATATAGAAAATGCACGCACAAACCCCCCCCCCCACACACACACCCCGACACACTCATAAACATTAATGAGTATACATGAGTATCAAGGTTCTGCAAAATTTATATACTGCTATTCACAATTTCATCTTGAAGGAGCTATCATTACCTGCTATCACCTCTTCCTCACCTCTTCCTCACCTCCCACGCTCTCCCCACATCTCTGACATTTTTCACTCCCCCAAAGCTCCTCTTCCCAACGTTGCAAAAATCCCTTCTTATTGCTAACATCAAGAAATGCTTTCGAAAATCCTAAATTCTCTTTCATTTTCTGAATCATTTGTTACAGCTGATTTATTACTTCCATTTTGAAACATGTTTTTTATTAGCCTCTCTGACACTTCCCTGGTTGTCCTGTCCGTTATGGACCCTTCTTTACTCTGCCCCGGAAGATAACTCAGGCTGGGCTTTACCCTGCCTCCAAACGATAACTCAGGCCAGGTGCAGTGGCTCACTCCTGTAATCCCAGCACTTTGGGAGTCCCAGGCAGGAGGATCAATTGAGCCCAGGAGGTCAAGACCAGCCTGGGCAACATGATGAAACCCTGACTGTATAAAAAGTAAATTTAGTTGGACTTGGTAGCATATACCTGTAGTCCCTGCTATTTGGGAGGCTGAGGTAGGATGGCTTGAGCAGAGGGAGGTTGAGGCTACAGTGAGCCATGATGGTACCACTGCACTCCAGGCTGGGTGACAGAGTGAGATCCTGTCTCAAAAAAAAAAAAAAAAAAAAAAGAGACAGAGAAATCAGAAGGTCGTGTCTATGAAACCTCAGGAAAGGAGTTCTTTGAGAAGGAGGGAGTGGTCCATAGTTTTGCAAGCTGATCCTGGTCAAGGAACATGAGAATTAAAACATCATTTCACCGGGTGCGGTGGCTCACGCCTGTAATCCCAGCACTTTGGGGGACCGAGGAGGGTGGGTCACGAGGTCAGGAGATCGAGACCACGGTGAAACCCCGTCTCTACTAAAAATACAAAAAAAATTAGCCGGGAGGGGTGGCGGGCGCCTGTAGTCCCAGCTACTTGGGAGGCTGAGGCAGGAGAATGGCAGGAACCCGGGAGGCGGAGCTTGCAGTGAGCCGAGATCGCACCACTGCATTCCAGCCTGGGTGAGAGAGCGAGACTCCGTCTCAAAACAAACAAACAAACAAACAAAAAAACCCATCATTTTCTCAGGGCTTGGTTCTATGTCCTCTGCTAACATTATGCACGTGTTGATGTTTTCACTCTTACTGACGGTGTCAGTAACCATCTCCACACAGAAATTCAGGCCTGCAGATACTGCTTCTCATAGGGTATCTTTAGCTGACTATCTCCCAAGCACCCCAGGCTGGACATGTGTTCCTTTGAAGTCACCGTCTCCCCTCCAGAAATCAATTTCCCCTCTGCTGTTCCTACTGCAGTAAGTGAAAGCAACATCTATCTGCATGCCAAAATTACCAAATCAACCTGCCTTTACAGGGTATCTTTCCACAACCAAAGCAGTTCGGTAAAGTGTTTTGCTGACAAAACAAGCGCCTTTTTGCTGACAATACAAGAGCCATTTTCCTGTGAATCACTTTCCTTCTTTTGCTTGCAGTTTTAAATCAGAATCAGAAACTCAATGCCTTCAATAATTAGGAAAGGAAAAAAGATAACAGGTAATAGAGAGTAGTGGGGACTGCGGTGCAATGCAAACACAGTGTATATCTGCCCTCCCCTTGACCCACCAAAAACCCCATGCAAATTATTTAAATTGCAAATTCTGCTTCAGCCAAGTATAATACACCCATAAACTCAATTTCTTTTTTATAGGCCCCAGCTTGTTACTCCATTTTAAACTAAAGTTTAAGGTCTTCCTACGTGTAAGTTATAAAAACTGAGCTCATACTACACCTGCAATTTTCTTAAACATCTGTTAAGCTTAAAGCCTTGTGATGCTGGGCACAGTGGCTCACAACTGTACTCCCAGCATTTTGGGAGGCTGAGGTGGGAGGATTGCTTGAGCCCAGGAGTTCATGACCAGCCTGGGCAACATAGCAAGACCCCCAACTTCATAAAAAATAAATTTTAAAAAGTCTTGTGAATATGTTTCCATGTCATGAGTATGTTGTAAATAGTTTTGAATGGCTGATACTAGGTAGGTGCCATAATTTATTAACTAATTATTCTTTTGTTGGAGTCTTTGATCTTACTAGATATGTTCCCCTTGAACTCAGCTTGTCTAAAGTGAAAGTCACCTTATTGACAGATGTTTCTGGGAGAGAAGTCTTTAGAATTTGAAACATCAGAGTAACCTCTGTGTTTTCATATGAGCTTGACACATGGTGCTAAACTGTCCTTCAGAAAAGTGATATGAATTTGCATCCCATCAGGCTGATAGAAGAGCACCTCTTCCTTAAGAGATATCAGGTATTTTCATTTAAAAGTAGATCTTTTTAACTGGATAGGCAAAAGGGCATTTCATTGCTTCCCTTTGTGTCTCTTTGATGACTGGGTAAGCTGAACACTTACCTTACATCAGGTTCCCTGGAAAGAGACCTGAGATAGATTGGCTACCGTATGCCTGTTGGGCGGCAATCTCAGGATATCACCTGAAAGAGTGAGCCAACCAGACAGGACAGGGGAGAGGCTGGACTGGGAGCTAGGGTGGCCTTCAGAGTTATCTTGACTCAAGGCAATGAGACCCACCCTTTGTAGCTCCTCCTTGGGCCAGCCATTGGGTACAGGCTCTCCCAAAGGAGGGACATACCTTGGGAGAGGCAGTGTGTTAGTCTGTTTTCACATCGCTATAAAGAAATACTTGGGACTGGGTAATTTATAAAGAAAAATGGTTTAATTGGCTCACGATTCTGCAGGCTGTGCAGGAAGCATAGCAGCTTCTGTTTCTGGGGAGGCATCAGGAAACTTACAATCATGATGGAAGGCTAAGGAGAAGCAGGCACATTTTCATGCCCGGAACAGGAGGAAGAGAGAGAGGGGGTAGGTACTGCACACTTTAACAGCCAGGTCTTGTGAGAACTCACTCATTATCATGAAAACAGTGCCAGAAGATGGTGCTAAACCATCTCCTGGACCACCCCCATGATCCAATCGCCTCCCACTAGGCCCCACCTCCAACGCTGGGAATTACAATTTGACATGAAAATTGGGCAGGGACAAAGATCCAAACCATATCAATCAGCTGTTTTTGCTGGAGGAAATGTCTAGACAGGGACTCAGACATTGCCCCAGACAGCCACCACGCCCAGCAGCAGGACACTGTGTGCCACACAGTACCTATAACACCTTGTGGCATAGAGTAAGCATAAATATTTGTTGAACAAATCAATAAATTCCTATTTCTTCTGTTGTTCATGTCTTATATCCCTTTATTTTCTATTGTATTTTTTTTCTCTCATTTCTTTGTGAAGAGCTGCTTTAATTTTAAAGACATTAGCCCTTCATCATGTGGTAAAATATTTTCTCCTATTTGCTGCCCACCTTTTGATTTCATTGGTTTCATTTTTGTGATATATAGACCTTCCTAATTTTTATATGGTCCAATCTATCCACCTTTTCCTTTTTTTGCTTGTATGTTTAGTAAATCTTTGCGATCCCTAGATCAGAGAATGCTTACTCATGTGTACTTTTTTCAAGTTCTTTTAGGTTTTATTTCTTACATTTAACTCTTCAACCCATCTGGAAATTATTTTGGTTTAAAGCATGAGGTAGAGATCTAACTTAATTTTTTTTCTCTGAAGATCCCTTTATATCACTCCAAGGGGTGTGGATTTTATTTGGAAATTGATAGGGAATCCCTGGAGAAAGCTGAGCAGGGGCAGTGATGTGATGAGGTTTGCTCTAATGGAAGGCTTGCAGCTCTGTGGCACCTGGACACATGCAGATGTTTTTGAGTAGCGGGCTTTCCTGCCTCTCCCACTGCACTATGTATGGCTCTGTCTACCTCCCCGGAAGGCTGCCTTTGCCTTTCAGTGATTAAAGCAGGGTCCACTGACACTTCAGGAACTCATCAGGGAAACCCATCATGAATTTGCTACAATTCAGCACTTGCCAGAAGCTGGCTGGAGATGTGATGTGCATAAGAGTCTGTTGAGGGTTCATGTTAAACATCCATTCATCTACATTCTTTGAGCTCAGGCCCAGGATTGAGATTGGTCTGCAGAAAGCCATGTGTCTGGTCCGTATTATCTTAGTCCCTTTTAGAAACGCTTCCACTCTGTTAAGATTTAATGCTGCTTCCCTAGCTTTTATCTAAGAGCCGTGCAAGAAACACCCCTTTTGAGAACCTTTCTGTATCTTTCGTTAAAACACATGGCAACTGCAGCATGATTTTTCTTTGTTTGAAGAAAATATTTTACATGTGTTTTAAGATTAAAATTTATCTCAAATTCTTCTTGGGATTTATAAACAACAAACATGCAGATTGATGATTAAAGGGCTGGTAAGAGAACTTCCGATAAGTCTTTTGAACCTTAGGGGAACCTGTCTTAGTCAATTTGGGCTACTAAAACACAATACCATGGATAGAATGGCCTCAACAACAAACATATATTTCTCACTATTCTGGACGCTGGGAAGTCCACAACCAAGGCGGATGTGATGTCTGGTTTGCACTCAGCCTGGTTTGCTGGTAGCAACTTATTCCTTGTATCCTCACATGGTGAAGAGAAAAATGACCTCTCGTGTTTTCATAAGGGCAATAATCTCATTCATGAGGGTTTTACCTTCATGATGTAATCACCTCCCAAAGGCCCCCCTCCAAACACCACCGTTCAGCTTATTTGGGGTGGCGGAGAGACATCAAAATTCAGTGCGTAACATGTCATTTGGGCTCTGTCCTGTTGAGGATCCCAGAATTTACCTACTGACTTACATGAGTTTTGTCTGATCAAAAAGCAAAGGAGTCCTGTCTTGGTGGAAGTCACAGTGTCCACCTGGCCCATCTCCCTTGATCTCCCTAAATCCTTTTTTTTTTTTTTTTTTGAGACAGAGTCTTGCTCTGTCACCCAGGCTGTAGTGCAGTGGTACAATCATGACTTACTGCAGCCTGGACCTCCCGGGCTCAAGGGATCCCATTACCTCAGCCTCCTGAGTCACTAGGACTACAGGCACTCACTACAACATCTGGCTAATTTTTTCTATTTTTTTTTATAGAGACAGTGTCCTCACTATGTTGCCCAGGCTGATCTCAAATTCCTAAATCTTTTTAAGCCTAATTCCATCTGGACTCTGGTAACATCCCATGTGATTCCAGAGTACCCTGAACCATTTCATAGACATTTCATATGGTAATATGATTTCTTGCTCACTTATTAAAGCCCCTTCTAGGGCTTGAGCTCCCTGAAGATGGGGCCTGTCTTCTCCATTGTTCTATTCTCAGCGCCTGGCAATAGGCCTCGCAGTACCTTAGCGGGTGTGCAATAAGCATTTATTGAATGAGTGAATGGGACATGGCAAGGAAGACTGGATACAGGGTATTCTAGAGCTGGAAATGGAGACTGGAATTAAAAGGAAAAATGATTGAAGACATTTTCAGAGTTCCTTGGAGCAAATAATTTTCATAGGTATTTCGTTCTTCATGCCTTCATTTCTTCATTAATCCTTTCATTTTACCATTCAGTCCTTCATTCCATCGTTCATTTCTTTATCTTTTTTTTTTAAAAAATTACTCACAAAGTAACTACTTTTTGCACATCTACTCTGCCACTTGCAAAGAAACTTATTGAAAATCCCTAACACAGAGACCAAGCAAACGAAGCCCCATTCCTGTTTTCATACAGCATTATGAAATTGCTTTTCCATCTTTAAATGGATTTTTTGAAAAACAAAAGAAGAATAATGTTTTACGAAGTGAAATTTAGAAGAGGTTCAAATTTCAGCTGTCCATAAATGAGATTTTCTTGGAACACAGCCAGGCTCATTTGTTTACTTACGGGCTAGGGTGGCTTTCACACTCCAAAGGCAGGTCTGAGTGGTTAGGATAGAGATGGCATGACCCATGATGTTTAAGATACTCACTTTTGGCCAGGCGCAGTGGGTCATGCCTGTAATCTAAGCACTTTGGGAGGCAGAGGCAGGTGGATCACCTGAGGTCAGGAGTTCGAGACCAGCCTGGCCAACATGGCGAAACCCCGTCTCTACTAAAAATACAAAAATTAGCTGGGTGTGGTGGTGCGTGCCTGTAATTCCAGCTACTCAGGAGGCCGAGGCAGGAGAATCACTTGAACCTGGGAGGCGGAGGTTGCAGTGAGCCAAGATTGCACGATTGCACTCCAGCCTGAGCAACAGAGCAAGACTCTGTCTCAACAACAACAACAACAAAAACTTACTCTCTGGCCTTTTACAGGAAACGTTTGCTGACCACTGATCTAACAGATAAAGTACACACTCAAAACACAGGGCACATGACCCTGGTGTTTAAATGGCAAGGGTGAAATGGCAGGAAGAACTGATTAGGACCAAGAGCAACCCTAGGCTGGGGTAGGGGGAAGTTCTATAAATATCAAGAGTCAGATAAGCGCTGGGGCAGGAATAGGTCAGTTAATCAGCCAGTGCAACTCAGGGAAGAAGAAGCTGTGGTTCAAGAAGTAGCTGAAGTATGAATGGCCATTGGAAGTTGAGAAGGGTCTAGGCAAACATGCTTTCCACTTTGAGAGGCAGAGAATCAGCCTGGAGCAATGTAACCAAGGAGGAGCCGCCACCTCATTCCCATAGCAGCACCAGCCTTGCTGTGACCCTTTTCCTTGGGCATGAGTGGGCAAGGCTCCCAGAGTGTGCCTGCAGCTGGGGAGGGATCCCAGTGTGCAGCTTGTGCCTCAGGAAGGCTGGGCCTGGGTCCGAGTGGGAGATGAAGTAAGAAGAAAGGGAGGATGGAGAACAGGCCTCCTGGCAAGTTCATTCACTGCCAAAATAGTGGGAGGAACTTCTTGGAAAGATATGAAAGCTGAAATTTACAACACAAGGAAATGTATTGAAGCTATTAACAAGTGCCTCCATAGACTTCTGTCTTAGGATTGTTAAAGTACTTATCTCCTTGGCATCTGAATGCACTAACGCGAACATGAAATATATGTTGCAGGATGGAAAATAAATAACGAGGTGGCAATCGTTTCAACTCTTGATTTCATACAACATTGGTTCACACAGTGGCAACCCGCAATTTGTTTAGGGAGATTCTTGATATAAAGGGGTCTGACATTCCTTTGAGATTTGAGGGGGAATAAAACCTCATCACTGCTTTGGGTAGGATATTGATTTTTGTTCCATTTCTCCTTGGCAGATAAAGAAAACTGAGTTAGGCGCGTTAATGGAGTAGAAGTCGGAATGTTAAATACAGGTGGTTCTGCACCATTAACCTCGAGAAACTGTCAAGACGTTTTATTTTCATACTGGTGTAGTCCAAATATTCATTTCAGTAAGAGGGAGCTAGAACTGACAGCCCCTCAATTTCATAAGGAAAGAAGGTGGCCGTTGCATATTTTTATCTGTAAATGGTTTTATTCTGCTTAAATATTCAGAAAAAGGAAATAACTCCTTGTGGAAGCTGGGTTCTGCCAGGGAGTTCTTAAACTGGTAGCAATTTAAGGGTGGTTGATGTATAACCTTTAAACAAATTGATGCAAGCTTTTTAAGAACGTAATAGAAAAGAAGGGAATGGGGTGGAGACATTTTTATTCCAATGGAATAAAAAAAGGAAATCACAAAGAAATGTAGTTTAAGTAGCTTAGTCTGTCTTCTGTCTCTTTACTGATGTGATCAAGGAGGGAAGAGGAATAAGAAAATCATATGAAGGAAGTCAGGACCTAGCCATTCCATCCCACTTTGCTTCCCTCTCTCCGCCACCAGAGAAAAAGAGAAAGCTTTGCATTCTCCAGAGGCTGGGTCGTTTCACAGCTACAAGAGTTCGTCAGATGCAGCTTGCAGAGAATAGAGTTTGTTGCTATAATTTTGGTCTGATCTCTGCTCTGATCCACTACCTACTATCTATAAATCACTTAATTCAGTTCATTCTGAGCTTCCAATCTAGTGATTCCTAGCAGTCTGTTCAAAGCTGTTCATCTGAATTTCTTTTCTGCTTCCCGTCCTTACTGTTGCTGATTATAAAGCAACAACCTCAGCCAGGTGATGAGTCCAGGTGGAGGGATGTCCCATTTGGAGGCTTCTTTTAAGTCTCTCTCTACCGTCAGCAGTTGTTGTCCTTGTGTGTTCTTTTTTTCCACTTGCCACAGGAGGGATGCATCGGTGGCTCTGGGGAGTGGCACACCCGATTGCAGCGTGGGGATATGGCGTGGATGCTCCCATACAGATGCAGCTGCCCAGTCGCACATCTGGCAGATAGCCCAGTATTTTGCTTTGATGTGTTTCCCTTCATTTTATCAGGAAATTCTTGGGGCTGGTCAGGGCAACCATTCAGCTGCCTCCTGCCTCTCACTCTGGACCCAGGAAAATCTAGAGCTCCTTCTCACACCATTCCCAGGCCCACAGAAGAGTCTTAACTCCACTTAGAATCTTATCTTTAAATACACCATCCACTGTTTTCCATTTTCTTTTTTGTCCCTAGGGCTGCCACTTTCAAATAACAGCTGGGAGCCAGCCTGTCAGCCGTCCTTTCCTTCATATGTATACCCCCAAATTTTGTGGGTATCTCTATTTTCTTCCTTTCCCTTGATTTTCCTCAAGCTCCAGCTGACTTATCACTCTATTTTTTTAATTGTTTTCTCCATCGTTTTTACAGTGCTTTTTTTTTTTTTTTTTTTTAAGAAAATGACCAACTTGGTGCTATTGGTTCTCATGTATTCTCTAAGAATTTTAGTTTCACAGTCAAGAGTTGGTATTATTTTGCCCTAGAAATTTGCTTTTGACATCTTTGCTGTTGGCAAAGTGTATTTGCCAGTTAAGGAGGAGGGAAACCCAGCAGAGAGGTTGAGGGGAAGAAGACAGATTGCTCAACGAATACCTCACATGTCCAGGGACTTTCCTGTGATGTTTTAGTAAATTAGTTTCTGTAGAAAAGAATCACTGATGGGATTATATGGCATCTAGTTTCTGTCTTGACATCTATTTAACAAAAGAAGTTACACGGCATTTCCGATGCGCCCCCACAAAACGCAGTCCTTCTGCTGATCACTGGAGCTGCTCCATTGCTCCTGCTCCGTTGCTCTGCGGGGCACATAGAGAACAATTTCCACCTTCCTCACCACCACCCCTTTCCAACTTGTTTTGTTCATGTACTTTTTTCTCTGCCTTTGGATAAAGTCCCAGAAAGTTCCCAAAGCTTTTCTGGTTATTTCTTTGGGGGTAATAATGATAATACAACCCAGACCAGCCTAACGTCAAAACGCTGGGCTCTTATTCAGTTTAAAAGTTCTTCCCTCCCTCTGCCTGAGCCTGCCTTGGGCAGCTCTACCCCAAGTCGTGGAAGGAGACACAGCCTGGCTTCTCCCTCATGTCCTCTGGCTACCTACTCCTTCATTCACTAGCTGGGAAGGTGACGATGAGCTTGGAGGAGAACACAGTCTCATGTGGGTGGTGAGGCTTTACCTGGCATTGGTATGCTGTGACTGTGTCACGGTGAACATTTTGACATCTTCTCTTGTGTATATTTTTGAGTTTTTTATAGCTCCCTCCCATGCAGTCTCCTCCATGCTAAGCTCTGCTACCCCACAGTTCCTTGAGGAGGTGATCCCTCAGTTACCCAGCTATTTATGATGCCTTTGTCTACTGGCTTCTGCTGACCCACTTCTTCACTAGGGTCACCTTGTTCCTGCAGCTTTCTTAGGTGGGGTCCATTTCAAAACAACTCATGGCCGGGGCTCTTTCAGAAGGTCCTCACATGACCCAAAGCAACACGGATGCATTGTTACCTCAACCTCTGAGATTTCAGGCCATTCTCTTTGCTCTCCTGCCCTCCTCCTCCTGCCAAAAGCCCGTTCCATTCATTTTTTTCAGGCGTGAGACAGGTACCAGTCCCTGTGTCTCCAAATTCCATGGGAAAAAGTCAAGTGTCTGAGTTATACTCCTGATGAAAATAGATGAAGGGGAGGGAGGAACACTCCATTTCTTTCCGCCTTGGGTGAGAGAAAAGAAACACTGTTCTTTGTAAAGAAATGTTCTCTAATCTTTCTCTTTATCCAATCTCTGGGCTTCCCATTATTAACCTTGAGGTAGGTAATGGGGGAATGCAAGCAAATGGGATAACTTGGGGCCATTGCTTGTGCAGATGGCTTAGCGCCTCACAGTACAATGAGGGATGGTATTGCCTATACTTCTTGCCCTTGTGGTCTCTGCAAAACTGAGATAACAGGATAAATATTTCTTGCCTATTCGACTGCTCTAAGAATGAGTTGCTTATGCAGACTCTCGTAAGACTGTCCTACAAGAAGGAGTGCTTGATTCCAAGTCTCACTTGATACCACGGGATGGCAAGTCAGGAACACACCTTCCTGTTGGCTCTTCTTCTGCCCCTGCCTAACCCCTCCTCCTCATTCCTGCCCCCTGGTGCTGTGCTTCCTATTTCCACAGGAAATAGGCCTCTACTCTGGGCTCTGATTTCTGGGGAAGCCAGACAAATATAACTACTAAGTGCAAAACTCTGCTAGATGTCATAGAGAAAGGAAACATGGCTCTTCTCAAACCAGCTCTGCCTTTGGAAGTACTTACGAGGTTAACTACAACTGAAGGATGGCAAGTACGGAAGCATCTCCCTAGGCCAATCTTAGGACACTCCTTGTATAGCTCTTCATGGTGCTTCCTTGGCCGGGTCGCTGAGCCACTCTGCTCATGATTTGGGCGATAGCAAGAAATTGAAGAAATAAGAGCTTTCCTTGGGAGGATCCAAGAGTCTGCATTTGAAAACAGTGTTATCTCAGGGACGGCATCTCATTTCTTTAACCTCTAGGTTTAGCTCCTAACACGCAATAGACTTACGAGTCCATTAGGTGACTAGAAACAGGGCCACTCGGGATGAATTTTCTTTTCTTTATGCTCCTTGTCTTTCTAGGCCAATGAGGTTAGCTCTGAGTGTAAAACTTCTGACTCGATTCTTCATTCTCTTCTGCAGATCACTTCCTAAATCTCCACCAAGCAGCAATCACAGAGATAAGAAAGAAGCCTTTCATGTTCAAGGTTACTAAACTTCACACTAAAACAGGTATTAGAGCACCCATACCTTCACACACACACACACACACACACACACACACACACACACACACTTCCACATTCTTGGATAAACTTTCTCTTATTAAAACTAGCTGAAACTCCCTAGGAAAATCAACTGTTGTTATAAAGAAAAAAAATGCTCTTGGCCTTGGCCTCAAGATAAGAATCAGCCATAGGAGATTGGAATCGTGATGGGAGGAATGCATGTCCCTCTGGGAGTAGCTAAATCCTGACTGCTCTGGCATTCTGCCCAGATGCACTATCTCCTGAAGGCCTCGTGGTGGGATTCTGTTCAGTCGGGATGCTCCTCAGCAGTGGACACAATGTTTTGATTAAGTCCAAACAAGAAGACTGAATGATTATCTAAGGAATTTGGGACTGTCTCTGGTACCACAGTGGGATATATTGACCTCCTCAAAGGTTCTCTCATCCCTTGATTTGTTTCAAGTTAGCATCTCATTAGTGATGAGTGCAGAACCAAATAGTGTCAGGCAGAGAGAATCACTTCAACTTAAAGAGCATAATGAGAGAGTGAAGAGTTAGTAAGTCAGGCTCACAGATTCTGTGCTTCTCTGAAGGTAAAGAAGGAGAAGGAACATCGGTAGAAGTATCAGGACAGCATATAGAACCATCAGGAGAAATGGGGAATGGTTCTTCCTCTGCCACTAACTCAAGAAATGACTTTAGGTGAATGACCTAAATTAAACTCTCTAGGCTTAAATTTATTTATCTGAAAGTGGGATGACTGAGATTGATCAGGGCATGCACACTTAATTGTTAACAGGGCAAGTAGATAACTCTCACGGATGCGTTGCCCAGGTGTGGGTACACATACGTACATTGGAGCATTAGTGTGGATGCCCTGAGCTGTGTGCCTCTGAGCCCACTCCACTCCCCACCCCATGATAAAGAGAGCAGCAGACACTCAACTTTAGCCTATTGTTGCCATGAGGAAATACAGACTCAGTGTGATCAGGTGTTTCCACTTTTAAATTACAAATCCAGATTTACATGTGAAATCTCCTAATTTTTAAAAGCTGGCTTAAACTACTCAAAAACAATTTTTAAAACATCACTCAAAAAAGCAACTAAAACACATCTGTAGGTTATATCTAATTGTTGGACCTCTACTTTATGGACTTTGAACTAGGTTGATATTTCTAAAGTGTGTTACTGTAGAACAAGATAATAATAAATGAAATCAGTAAAAATCAATCAATCAATCAATTGGTTGATCAATAACTGGAAATAAGGGTCCTGCAGTCAAATAAAGTTTGAACACACTGGATTAAACAACATTAAAAAGGTTTCTTTATTGTAAGTCTTCTCAGAGCCTTTATTATTCTAATGCTCTACTTACAATATGGTGGCCATCAGCCAAGTGGCTGTTTAGCACTTGATATGTGGCTCATCTATGTTGAGATGTGCCGTTCAGTGTAAAAGCATGTAAATGTGGTTTATTTTATTGTTAACTTGACTGGGCACATGGATGTTTGGTTAAACATGATCTCTGGGTGTTTCTGGATGAGATTACCATTTGCATCAGTAGACCACAGAAAGCAGATTAAACTCCCTAATGTGGGTGGGCCACATCCAATCTGTTGAAGGTCTGGAGAGAATAAAAGGCTGAGCAATAAAGAATTTTCTTTCTGTGTCTGACCATCTTCAGGGTGGAACGTTGGTCTTCTGCCTTGAGACATGGACTCAGATCGGAACTATACTATTGGCTTTCCTGGCCCTCCAGCTTGCCAACTACAGATCTTGGGCCTTCTCTGGCTTCATAATTAATTATATGAGCCAATGCCTTGTGATAAATCTCTCTGTTTCTGTGTGTTTGTGTGTGTATGTGTGTGTATTTGTAGGCATAAAATAAATATTTTATTAAACCTAAATTGATTTAAAAATATGGCTTCTCAAAAATGTTAAATTACTAATGGAACTTGGGTTATAATTTTCCTAGACAGTGCTGGTCTAATATATGTTGGGATCATCCAAAAGGTGGATAAAGTATGAGCATTTCCAAAATTTATTTGACTTCAGATTCTTTTGATTCAAGGAGCAACTCATGAAATTAGTATTCTGTGGAATATACTTCAGAAAAGTGATCCAGCTCTGAGATATGATTTTTTGATATTTTGAGAGAGGGAGGAACAGAACAACCTTCTGGAGTTCCCCTTTGCCTTCAGTTCTTGTCTATGGTCCATATAGTGGGCTCTGGGCACTTATAACCCTTTAAAAACTTATTCGCCTATTTCTTCTTCCCTAATTAAAAACATTGATCAAGTGTGCTGATGAATAATTGACATACTATAAAAGTCATCCAATATGATGACTTTTGACAAGTGAATGTACCTGCATAACCACAATCAAGATGCAGAATTTAAAAGAAAAATTTTTTTTTATTATACTTTAAGTTCTACGGTACATGTGCACAACGTGCAAGTTTGTTACATATGTATGCATGTGCCATGTTGGTGTGCTGCACCCATTAACTCGTCATTTACATTAGGTATATCTCCTAATGCTATCCCTCCCCTCTCCCCCCACGCCATGACAGGCCCAGGTATGTGATGTTCCCCAACCTGTGTCCAGGTGTTCTCATTGTTCAATTCCCACCTATGAGTGAGAATATGCGGTGTTTGGTTTTCTGTCCTTGCAATACTTTGTTCAGAATGATGATTTCCAGCCAATTTTTTTTTTTTTTTTGAGATAGGGTGTCACTCTGTCTCCCAAGCTGGAATGCAGTGGCGTAATTTTGGCTCACAGCCTCCCAGGTTCAAGCAATCTCCCACCTCAGCCTCCCAAGTAGCTGGGACTACAAGCAAGTGCCACCACACTTGATTAACTTTTGTATTTTTTGTAGAGATGGCATTTCCCCATGTTGCCCAGGCTGGTCTCAAACTCCTGATCTCAAATGATCTGCTCAGCTCGGCCTCCCAAAGTGCTGGGATTACAGGCATGAACCACTCACTGCACCTGGCCCAGGACACAGAATATTTACATTACCCTACAATGTTCTTTCAAGCCCCTTCCCAGTAAACCCTCACCCCTCAATATCAAGCTGGTACAACCTCCATCTGCTTTCTCATACTGGTCTTCTTACCTCTGATCTGTGCTCTCTGTCTCTCTCTCTCCTTTGGACTCCCATTGTTTGGATCTAATACAGTTATTCTATCTCTCTAGAACCCTCCTACAGATAGGTCTTTTCATCTCAAACTTGGATCTGTGCTTTTGGCCATTCTAAGTAACTACCTTATTAGCCCAGCAGCCTTAGTTTTCTGAAACCCTACTTGGTATCCACCTGTCAAATCAGATTCTTTTGAGTCTGGCCTAATTCCTTCCAAAGGGAGAAACCAACCAGGTGGTTGTGAAAAGCCAGGTGGTGCATTTTATTGAATGTGACCAAATGGTGTTTCTAGAGCCTAGAATTCTGCCTATCATGCAACCCCATTTCAATTCCTAGTTTTATTTCCATTGGATAATTGTAATCGGGTGAGCTAGTCTCTGCCATAGAAGGATGGGTGAGGCACATAGAAGGTATTGGGGCAATAATAAAGAGAAAAAGGGAGCCAAGCAGAAGGAAGTTGAGGAAATGATGCAATGGAGAGAGAGGGGAGAGGTGCTGCACTCTTTTAAACAATCAGCTCTCTCATGTGCTAATAGAGTGAGAACTCACTCATTATGCAGGTAAGGCATCAAGTCATTCATGAGGCATCCACCTCCATGACCAAAGCACCTTCTATCAGGCCCCACCTCCAACATGGGGGATCAAATTTCAACATGAGATTTGGAGGGGACAAATATCCAAACTATATCAACAGGGAAGCAGTGGAGAAAGTCTTCTGCACCATGCAAGTGGGCTTACATTTTCTCCTGGAAAAGTGATGAGACCCTTACAAACTTTGAACCTGTGACTGGAGGTGTGACCTGACTGTCAGAGAGTCTCTCTGAGAGTGCTGTGGGATTGTGTGCAGGGCAGGCGAGACCAGTGCCAGAAGGGCTAGGAAGGAGGCTGTTGGCATGGTCTGGGCCTTTTTCTCTTCATTAATATCCATTTATATATAGCCCTCACACTAGGAAGTCAGTCTGATCCCCTGGCTTCCCTCCAGTCTCTGTAACCTTCCTCAATACCAAGACTATGCTGGGGCCCCCACTGAGGGGGTGAGATGTGTTTTGAGCTAGTCAAGGCAGAAAAGTTCCACTGAGGATTTTGATGCTTCAGGATCTTAGGTTTCCTGAGTGGAGGTGGTTCATGCAGTGAACCACCTCATGATGCAGGTGGTGGAATGTCAGGCATTCACCTGGTGAATGCGGTGGTGGAATGTCTCTGAACAGGGTGTTTGTTTCAGACCTCTATGAAGACCTTTTAAAATAAAATGCTGGTATTTCTAGTGAAGACTGTTTCCTACAATATCATCACTATGGGCAGCTGTCTATGAATTCTAATGGTGCTACCATTGCTATCAGCCATTTTTCTTTCCTCTTGGCAGATTACTTTCAAGGCTAATTTGAGTCACGTAATGGAATCAGTCTGATTTTTTAAAATTAACTTTGATTTATCATAAAAGTGATGCATCCTCATTATAGAAAAAGTGTCACCTTTTTATGACCCCAATTACTGGGCTTGGGCACTGACCCGATTCATCTTCCCTGTTCCCAACTGTCTGTTGCCTGTTTGTAAATCTCAAATCCCACTCAAGGATTAAGATCTGGTGCAGGCTCTGGAGAAATTTACAAAAAAGAATTTTCAACACTTACTTCTGTAAATTCTGGAACATTTGGTAAATATGCATTCATTACTTACAGTAGCACCTCATAAAGTTGCTCTGGAATCCAGATCTGGCCTCTGAAAAATTCCAGTGAAAATGGTTTCTCCAAGTGAGCTGGGGCTACTCAACAGACTGCTGGCTCTTCCTCAAGCTGGTTTTATCTCTAAGGGAGCCAGGTCCTGCACAGAGGTGTCTCCTCCTCTCAAAGATGATCTGGAATTAGCAGTGATGACTGCATTTTCTCCACCTCTCTGCTAGACAGGAAGCCTTTTCATGAGATACAAGGAATCCCTTCATTTCTTTGAAATCAGTCCTTTGCTTCCGAGAAGTACCTATGGAGCAGAAGAATCACAAATACTGCTTTTTCCTTGATGCTCTTCTCTCCCTAGGAGGCTCACCAGTTGATTTTTATTTTTCTGATTTATGTGAATGCAGAAGTATCTTTGCATCTAAGCCTATGTTGATGGGATCAATGGATGCTCAAGTTCTATCGTCAGGCTGACCACTTTTCCTCAGGTTCCAAATGCTACTCCTGACAGAGACATAGAAGAGACACCTGGCCCATCTCCTTTGCTTTACAGATGAGAATGATAAGAGCTGGCTTACCCGTTTGCCTTCATGCTCCTGTTCTCAGCTCACACATGGCTTTGGCGAAAAACGGGCACAGTTCCTCGAAGGGCAGCAGAGACACAGTAACAAGGTAGAAGCTACAGTCTTTCTTTTTTTTTTTTTTTTTTTTTTTTTTTGAGACGGAGTCTCGTTCTGTCGCCCAGGCGGGAGTGCTGTGGCGCGATCTCCGCTCACTGCAAGCTCCGCCTTCCGGGTTCACGCCATTCTCCTGCCTCAGCCTCCCGAGTAGCTGGGACTACAGGCGCCCGCCACTGCGCCCGGCTAATTTCTTGTATTTTTTTTAGTAGAGACGGGGTTTCACCGTGGTCTCGATCTCCTGACCTCCTGATCCGCCCGCCTCGGCCTCCCAAAGTGCTGGGATTACAGGCGTGAGCCACCGCGCCCGGCCTAGAAGCTACAGTCTTTCAAAGGGGATCCAGCTGCACCCTAACAAGGTCTTTGCAGCTTTTTCTGGACCACTCAGTAGAGGCTTCCAAAATTCTCTGAACTTGCTACTTGGCTAAAGCCTTTAGATCAAGACCCCAGAGGGTCACACAAACTGACCTTTGGTTCCCCTGACTTAGATTTGACTGCATTTCTATGGATACCTCTTTCCCAACTTCTGTTCACCTCCATGTTTATTTTGCTTTAATCTCCTAACAATTTGATGATTTCATCTCAATTCTTAGCTCATCTCACACTGCACCCTTGGCTTGGGTGTTTTAGAGGAATTATTGTCAAGTTTTTCTTTTAAGCAATGACATAATCCTTATCTAAAATAAATTTTAGATAAGGATTAATTTCTGCAGATTCCCTATGTGTGAACAGATGCAGATATGAAGAACCTACTTGACTTTGACGTGCCTCAGAATCACCAGGGAGCATGTTAACAATGCCCTAGGATGCTTCACAGAGTATCCTGTGGAACTCTACAGATTCAACATTAGAGGGTTCAAGATTTGGTCCAGGAATCTGCGTTTCAAGCATCCTCAGTGATTCTGATGCAGGATGTATTTCATGAATTTTTTAAAAATCCTAAGTAATCTAATTCAATTAGTCCAAGACCATGTCTTGAAAGATGCTGTCATATAGTATTGAAAAATTATAGTTTATAAAAATACTCCTTTAGAGGATGGTTGGTTGATGAAGATATGATCCCTGTCCTGAAGGCACGTAGACTCTAATAAAGGGTGCTGTGAGACAGACTAAGGGACTCCTTACACAGCTAGAATGTTCTGAGTTTATTCTGGTGTTATTGCTTAGAATAATTTTGCATAAGGGACTGAGAAGGCTTGTGGGAGAGAATTTATTGGTGGCCCAGAGAGTTGGGTACACAAGTTTGACCCAATTATTTTGAGATCTGTTGCACAGCATGATGACTATGGTTAATCATAATATATATTTCAAAATTATTAAGAGAGCAGATTTTAAAGGTTCATACTACAAAGTAAAAAAAGATAAGCATGTGAGGTAATGAATATGTTCATTAGCTGGATTTAATTATTCCATAATGTATGCATATGTCAAAACATCTCATGGTAAAGGAGGAGACCACCTCTCATACTGTCTTATGCCCAATTTCTGCCTCCAAAGAAAGAAAAAGTAAAAACTAAAAGGCAGAAATGAAATCCACAAGCAGGCAGCCCGGCGCCACACCCTAGGCCTGGTAGTTAAAGATCAACCCCTGACCTAATCGGTTATGTTATCTATAGATTACAGACATTGCACAGAAAAGCACTGTGAAAATCCCTATCCTGTTTTGTTCTGATCTAATTACCAGTGCATGCAGCCCCGAGTCACATACCCCCTGCTTGCTCAATCGATCACGACCCTCTCCACTTGCACCCCCCTAGAGTTGTGAGCCTTTAAAAGGGACAGGAATTGCTCATTCGGGGAGCTCAGCTCTTGAGACAGGAGTCTCGCCGATGCCCCCGGCCGAATAAACCCCTTCCTTCTTTAACTCTGTGTCTCAGGAGTTTTGCCTGCGGCTCGTCCTCCTACAATGATACTTTATAAATACATATAATTATTATTTGCCAACTAAACATAATATTTTAAAAATTAAAGAAAAAAACAATAAAAACCAAGGTCCCACTAGGAGGAAAGATGCCATGCCCCCAGGGTCTACCACAATGCTTGACATATAAAGGGCATTCAATAAATATTTCCTTTGAAGGGATAAACAAATAAATAAGTTAATGAGTGAGGGTGATGGTTAATATTAGGTGATGTGATGGTTAATATTAGGTATCAACTTCACTGGATTTGAGGAATGCCTAGATGGCTGATGAAGCATAGTCTCTGGTTGTGTCTGTGAGTGTGTTGCCAGAGGAGGCTGACACTTGAGTTGGTGGGCTGGGAGAGGAAGACCCGCCCCCACTGTGGGTGAGCACCAGTCAACAGGCTGCATTATTTAGTCATGAATATAAGAAATGGTTGGGCTGGGAATACAGAGATGCTTTGAAGCCCAGAGCGTCTGTGTCGCTTTGAATCTGAAAGACTAAACCAGCTGCATGAGCAGATGTGATGCTGAGGGGATGAGATGCCAGTGCATTGCTCAGCGGCAAGTGGCCTGGTGTAGACAAAGGGGAGAGTGGCAAGGTGCCTTTATGACTCCGACAGGCAGTGGCACTCAGCGTGTATATCACCCAAGAGTTCTTTCAGGACAGAAGAACAAAGTACTCTGAAGCAGAATCACTGTGAAGTAGATTCACCGTGCACTGGCTACCAACTTGTCTGAGTCTGGTGAGACAGAACACACCATGCACACAAGTCACATGAAATGGATTTATTACTTTCTAGGCAGCAAGGGACAGCAGAAGCCTAGTGTTCGTGATGTGCTGATCCCACAAGCCTCAGGAAAGCTGCCTGGAGAGGACAGTCTTGTCTGTGTGTGCCCCGCTAGCACTGCAGCTGAGGGACCCCAAAACAGCCCTCCCTGTGTTCCCATGTATTGCCCCATGGACATGACATGCTGGGCTAAAGCATTGAAGGACATTTTGTTTCTGGGGGCAGGTTTGAACAGGAGCAGAGCTCACCCTGCTTTTCCCAGTCCCTCCATATTTCAGGATGTTTCATTCCCAGCACATTTTACAGTTATTCTTGGAACGGCAAGCAAGAAAGTGAGGAGAACTGGATCAGTCTAAAGCTAGGGAGGCTGAGACAGGAGAATTGCTTGAACCTGGTGGAGGTTGCAGTGAGTCGAGATCACGCCACTGCACTCCAGACTGGGTGACAGGCTGGATGCTTAAATTGTAGTAGTGTCCCTATTTTAACCATAATATCTCTTCCAAACAGGGGGACTGGGCAGCTTGGTACTACTAGAAATTTCTGTGGAAGATTTGTTTCTCAAATTGACAGATCAAAGGAGGGGTAAAGAATCTTGTTTGTGGCTTTCCTTCCAATCCCATAAAACCCATGGACCAGGAGGAAAATTTGCCTGCATAAGCAGTAAGGACAGGGTAATTCACCCCTGTATTGGAAAGAAACTGAATTTGAGAGCCCCTGACGTCCAGTTACCTGGGGATCCTAAGTAGTAATTACAGTGTTACGGGACGGGGGGGTGAGGAAGACCCTGGGCCCTCTCAGTCTTCATCTAATTCCTCCTTTTGCACTGCTGGAGTTTTGCCTGACTGAGCCCCTTGGTGGGAGCAGGGGCAGTCAATTCTCCAGTGCCAGGAGTCACAACTGGTGCCTTCCCATTGATGGCAGGAGCCTGATGGAAGCTTAGTACATTCCTTTGCCCAATGCCCATTTTCCTTGCATTTGAAGCAAAAGCCTTTGCTGGCATTAAGAGCCCATTATGGCCACTTGGTGTTTAACCCATGCAAATGAAGTGGTGGCCTACAATCATTCTGATTGGTTGCAGAAAGCAACCAATCAGAGGCTGAAGTGAGGTTACAAAGTTACACTCCTACACAAACGTCTGATTCATTGCTTTCTAAAACCAATTTTCCATCTGCCCTGCAGAAAAGGGCAGTGGTTTATGGCCCTTCGGGTTTCCCTTAAATGCTTTTTGGGCATTCAGGGCATCACCAATGATGTCTGCCATAATTTTGGCTTGCTGTTTTTCTTCACTCTGTTCCCTTTTTACTTCCTCCAGGTCATAATACCACCATAAAGGTGGTATTAAGAAGTTGATTTTGATTAGTTTGTGGCCCCATCTGTAGCTTTTGCAGCTTATGTCTGATAACTGGGGTGGATTGACTGACGAAATGCTGTGCCATTAATGTTTTGCCTTCGGGAAAGGAAACGTCCAGATTAGTATATTTCTTAAAGGCTTCCTCCAGCCTGCTGTAAAACATGGCTGGATTTTCCTCCTTGCCTTGTGTAACCTCTCTTACTTTATTATAATTTACTGGCTTAGTTATTCCCTTTCTCATTCCTCCAAGGAGAGCCTCAAGAAATTTAGCCTGGTTGTTCATTCCCATGGGGGTGTTATAGTCCCAATTAGGATCAGTAATGAGAACTGTATCTGGCCTCCAGTGATTGTCCTGAGGGTTTCAAGTGAATAATTCATCCACTTCTCGGGTTGGGGAAGTGGCCTCAAAGATTCGTTCCTTTTCTGAGGGAGTGCAACAGGTTGCTAAAATGAATTGAACATCTCTCCATGAGAGTTCAAAGGCTAAGGTCAAAATTTGGAACCCATCTGCACATTTCCTAGGAATCTCAGAATAGCTTCCCCTTACATTGTTGTATATCAGTTATAGAGAAGGGGGCCTGCACTAGGACAGGCCCCTTGGTTCCTGCTACTTCCCTAAGGGGTAGCAGGTCTGGAGGGAGAGTTGAATAAGGTGTTCCCCTCCAAGTGTGAGGGGGACTTAGTAGGGTTCCCAGTGTTTGCTCCTGGGTTTTAGCCTCAGGAGCCTTGGCAAGGGGCTATATGGGGGCAGTTGCTATTTACTCTGAGAGACAGGTGGTCCTTGTAAAATGGGATCATCTATAATATTGAGCTGTGCCTTAGAACTTCCCTTTAGGGGGTGGGTTCTGGGAGTTTTGCAGATTGTTAGGTTTTGGTATAGGGTCATGAAAGCCTGTATTTATGGGATTTCTGACCTTTTGCCCTGCCTCTTGCAAAATAGGTCTAATTGCAGGATGGTGTCATAATGAAGGCTACCGTTGACTGCCCATTGTTCTTGGCTGGGCAGCTCATAATGGGGCCAGATAGTATTGCAGAAAAAAAAATATGCTCCTTCTCTTTACATTGTCAGGGTCAAATTGCTTCCAATGGTGGAGGATGTAGTCAAGCGAGGAATCAGGTGGAATAGATTCAGAGTTGTCCATAGTGGCCTGGAAAAGGGAAGAGGACTTTGAAAAGTGGAGGGTTTATCAAGTGACTCAAATTTTACCTGGGTCATCCCCCTGGAAAAATTCTAGGCCCTGACTGGAGTCCCCAGGGGTGCCTTCAGTTTAGGGTCCTGACTTAGTCCATCAAATGTCTCTGAACTTAGATGGGTGCTGGCACCACTTTGGACTGGTTCCCTTCACCACTGATGACCTGCTATGAACTTTCTTCAAGGTTTTTCTATCCCACTTAAAGCAACCTTTTAACTCTGTAAATTAAAGCAATAAACCCACCTGTCAGTTCCTGCATAAATTCCCTTTCTCATGGATCCCCCCCAACCCATGACCCACATACACCACCTACAACATGCCTGGACCCTGTGACTTGCCCTAAACAACTCTCTCTTTAAACAACTAGTTGTATAATCTTTTTTGCATAGCTAGGTGGGTTTTTTGTCCTTTGCCAGTCAAGTAGGGGAAGGGAAGAATTTAGCATAAGAAAAGAAGGTTCAAGTTGCCTGAAACCTGTGTGAGTTCACCCTGGACAAGCTGCCACTGCCCGCTGCATCACACGTAGGGACCAGGGACTATAACTAGAAAGGGTAGAAAATAGTCTTTTCCTTTTTTGGGCCGGGCAGTCATCCTTGTTCATTCCTTGGCCTTCAGACAGCACCAGACAGTGGTCCCGGCCAGTTGCCCTCACGTACAAGGGAGCTACTAGGAAATAGCAGCCGAAACACTGAAAAAGGAATAAAAAATGAACTCAGAAAAAGGGAAAAAGGAATAGGATTCAGAAAAAGGAAAAAAAAGGGAAAGGACTCAGGTCCCTCACCTGAACTGGGTGGTGGTCAGGGGCTTCCACATGGAAACCTTTCTGTTTCACCAGAGAGTGGCCCTGGCCAGCAACTTGCAGTTGCCTCCGTGCTTTGGCGCTGTCCATCGAGCTCCCTGAGTTGGAAAGGAAAAGAGAGAGAGAAAAAAAGATTCCCCTGTATGCAGCAGAGAAGAAAAGGGGAAAGGAGAAAAATAAATCCCTAACTTTGGGCTTATCTTCCGGTTGGCTCTCCAAAATATGTTAAGGGTAACATAACGGTAAAGGGTCTTGACTGCAAGTTGTTCAGGTTCTTTGCATTTTGAACAAAGAATCGGACAAAATGCACAGCAAACAAGGAAGGAATAAGCAACAAAAGCAGCGATTTATTGAAAATGAAAGTACATTCTACAAGGTGGGAGCAGGCCTAAGCAGTGGCTCAAGAGCCCCGGTTACAGAATCTTCTGGGGTCCAACTACCCCCTAGAGGTTTCCCATTGGCCACTGGTGTCCACCCCATGCAAATGAAGTGGTGGCCCTCAATCAATCTGATTGGTTGCAGAAAGCAACCATCAGAGGCTAACATGAAGTTACAAAGTTACACTCCTATGCAACCATCTGATTGGTTTTGGAAAGCAGCCAATCAGA
The DNA here is from genome assembly GCF_000001405.40 of Homo sapiens. Taxonomy (NCBI): domain Eukaryota; kingdom Metazoa; phylum Chordata; class Mammalia; order Primates; family Hominidae; genus Homo; species Homo sapiens. Next base: position 13,970,208 of record NC_000017.11, on the reverse strand, counting down.
GGTACTTTAATATTTCCATCTGCCGTGCAGAAGAGGTGGTGGGGTTGCAAAGTGAGTAGCATCTGGTCCTTTTGTTACTTAGGCGTGAAAATTTGGGGTTTTCCCTTATCAGTTTAGTTCTAGGAAGTCAGCATGAATTGGCCTTAGATTCCCTGCCTCCAGACCCTATTCTCCTGCCTCGAACTTAGGCACCATATCTGCATTCTTACTACAGCTAGGAGAATATGAATGACATATTAGAAATGTACAGTGGTTTCTTCTAGATAAAATATTGATGGGTTTATATGAAGAAAAGGTCAACAGGGTTTGATAAATGACAGAAATCAGGGATTTTAAACTCCATGAGCACCCCTCACCTGGAGGCAAGGAGTGGAGTTGGAGACAGGATGTGAGGTGGGCAAACACTCCTCTTAGAATCTTATGTGTCTGCAGGGTGAGCTCCAGGACAACTTTGATGGGGACTGTAGCAGCTACTGAATAGGAGGGATGCAAGGGTGACACCCCAGAACAAAAGGAAGGAAAGATCTAAGAGCAGCTGTGTCCAGGACACAGGCATCAACACCATACAAAGGGCTTAGCAGTGGCTGAAAAAGGAAAAAAAAAAAAGAACTCAGGAAAAGGAAAAAAGGAATAGGATTCAGAAAAGGTAAAAAGAAAAGGGGGAAAGGATTCAGGTCTCTCGCCTGAACTGGTTGGTGGTAGTCAGGGGCTTCCACATGGAAACCTTTCAGCTCCACCAGAGCAGTGGCTGGGGATCAACCTCTGTTTAGAGTCAGTTTCTTTGGAGTTGCAAGGGGTGGCACTGGAAAGTAACCAGAGGAGGTCAGAAGAAATTTCAGCTGGAGGTCAGGGGGTCAAGGGCTGCTACCAGAAGTTCTTGAGCATGGTGGCAATGGAAGGTCTTCTCATCACTGGGTCAGGACTTCTTACCAAAGAAATTAAAAGGAAGTCAAGCTATACTGTCTGGCCCCCAGCATACAGACTTCACTGAAAACCAGAACACCTCCTGGCTGAGGGGAACTTCCTCTGGCCCACTCTTCCCACAATGCTGGGAATCATTGAACTGGTTCAAAATTGGAGGCTCACATCTCAGACCCTGCGTTTAACAGCTTGCAAGCAGACAGTGTGCAGAATGCCTTATCTTGGAATAAATAGTTCTTGATGTATCTCCTATCATTTAAGGATGAGGAAATTAAATGCAAACCAGTAGGGAGCCTATGAAGTAATGCTATAACATAAAGGAAAAAATAGAAGGAAATATCGTTTTTAAAATATTACTGCAATAAACAGAAGAAACTATTCACCAGCATGTGCCTTGTACTCTCACGGCTCAAGGAAACATGGACAAATGAGATGAAAGATGAATGATAAGAAATTTGAGCTGAGAGGGGAACAGATTGAGATAAATCAGAAATTATAAAGAAATTAGATAAGGAAAGAATTTCAGGTAAGTAAACATGCTCTAATGGAATTTAAAAATTCATTCAAAGCAGAATTATTCTATGAAAATCAAATCAGGAACGTCGAAGATATATTTGAAAAGTGCTTCCTGAATGCAAAGAAATGAGACCAGAATATGGTTTTTTGAACGTGGCTGCTAGAAAAATATTTGTTCAAATGTGTTGACTTTAAAAATACATTTTATTGATTTTCTTCTCATTACAAATGAGTACATGTTCATGGCTCAAATATGAAGAAGAAAAGCTTTCATTTTCTACTATCATATTTCATATATCCATTAAGTCTTTTTCCTATGCATGTAACTAGTTTGTCTACAGGATCTTTGCACAGAATATATATATATATTCACATATATATACACATATATATACACATATATACACATATATATATGCACACATATAAACATACATACATAACATGTTTGTGTTTCTTTTATAAAATTGAATAATAACTCACAGAAAATAAAGCCAAGATGAACAGTTTCTACAGCAATAAAGAAAAATAAGACCTGGCTCATGTGACAAAAGACCCATCTCAGTTCATGTCCTTCTTATCTCTAGCTTTTTCAGGTCAAGGATAGTTTTATCAGAGGCTGCCTATCCCAGTGTTGCCACTCCAAAGTAGTGATACAGAATGGCTGGGCTCCTGGCTAAACCCCACCCTTAAACCTGGAACCACGGCCCTAAGTGAAAACACCTGACCCTGTTTTTCCACCCAAATGTTGCATTTTGGCCTGCCACGCCCCTATCCTGTGCCCATAAAAAGACTTCAACTGGCAGAGCAACACAAATGGATGATGCTAGTGGTTAGGGATGCGAGCAGCTGAGCTTTAGGGATACAAGCTTCTGAACATTGGGGATACAAGTGGCTGAGTGGTGGAGACTAAGGATAGAAGCGGCTAACTTCAGATGGTGTGGCCCCAGGGAAAGATCTTCTTTCCACACCATACCCTTTCCCACTCCCATCCCACTGAGAACCATTACCCAATAAAATCTTCCACATACGCTACACTACCCTTCAATACGTTCATGTGACCTAATTTTTCCTGGATGCTGGACAAGAACCCAGGTGCCAAGAGGGCAGAGGCTTGGACGCTGCTGCGGGCCACACACACACAGAGCCTGCTCCCACCAGAGAGGAGTGACTGGACAGATCCAGCGTTTGTTACCTCTGGTTCCCACAATCACTTGCTCTCAATGTTCCCTCTCGTTGGGAGTGGCCAGAGGCGGACTGACTGAAAAGAGCCACTCCAGTTTCTGCCCACAAAGGAGGCCAAGGGAACAATCCCATCTCATCTAGGGGCCCATCTGGGATACAACAGATGGTTAGTTAACATGCGGGCCTGTCGGATCTGCCTTTTTTTCAAGACCCTGCCACCTCTCTCTTTCCACCTGGTAAAAGGAATATTGGCTCTTTTTCCCTTTATGGAGGTCTAGCTGGTCTGAAGTGGGGAAGGGATACAGTGATTAAAGGAACCCATTTCCACAGAGCAGAGGCTCTTCCTTCAACCCCACCCACTGCCCTTATGCCCTTTAAGTTGTTTTTCTGTTTTTCTAAGGGAGAGGGTTCTCTTCCTACCTCAGCACTCTGCTTATGATAGGAAAATGACAGAGGAGGAAACCTTCGTGGCTGGTAGCTGTAAATTTGCCAAAGCCTGTGGGACTTAATCTAAGTGAATCTCTGCAGCCCTTCAAATACCCTTTTTTAATCTCAAACTTGATTCCAAGCTTCAGGTTGAGGCCCTGGAAAGGAAAACGAGATCTGAGGGATCCAAAGCCAGGCAACATGCGCAATGTAAATGGGCAGGATCAATTCCTGCCAACAAAAACCCTGCTTCATGGAAGAAGGCCATGCTCCATGGCATAGGTGAGAACCAGGGAACTTAAAGCTGTTGACAGCAGGGGAGATAGGGTGTATGTGGATAAGAGCGGGTACTCCCACCCGCTAGGCCCCCCTGCTTCATCGGTGCAAGCCGCTTTGGCACCCATGGGTGGCACCTGCCAAGGTCACTGGGACTCGGGGATGGAGATAGAAAAGAAAAGGGGGGAACACCCTCTTTCTTTCTCCCTCACACCCCAAGTTTTTGCTAAAAGAAGGAAGGGAATGAGGGATGCCCCAAATTGCCTGTCTTTCAGAATGGACAACCAACAAACTTTATCATCTCCAGTTTCTACTCAGAAACAGACCCTGGGTCTAGATAGTACTTTAGAGGATCTCCTGAAAGTGGCCACCTTGGTCTTTTAGATATAAGAAAGAGGCAGAAGCTTTAATGACCACCGTGCAAGCCCATGAACCCCAGAATTCCTAACGTTCACCTGTTAACCACTACAGATGTGGCAAGAACAGTTCTCTCTCTCAAAGTGTAACCACTCCCATACAAGATTTAATTTTTTTCACCGGGGTGAGACAGCTTGGGGTACAATCTTGTTAGTATATTTCACTTCTTATTTCTGTAATCTTTGGCAATAAATTCTTTCCTTGCATAATGCACGTTTGATCCATGCATATTTAACCTTGTAAAGCTTGTTTTTTTCTCTCTCCTGGAGGCCATCAGGGCTCCAAATAGGCAGGCAGCCAGAGCCTCGGACGATGGCTCCCTTTTGCCGGGGATCCTTAGGTAAATCTCTGGGAGGAATCTGATTGCCATTTTCTGCAAACAGTGTCCCCTTTCAGCAGGAAGTAGCTAAGACCGGTCGTTGTCCATATTCTAAAGGCACTTAGATGTGCCTCTTCAGAGCGGGGAGATGATATAGAATGACTGGGCTCCAGGCTCCCCACTAGACCCCACCCCTAAGCCTAGAACCACCACCCTAAGTGCAAAAAAGCTGACCCCATTTGTCTGCCCAAATGTTGCTTTTCTGGCCTGCCGTGCCCCTATCCTGTGCCCATGAAAAGACTTCAGCTGGCAGAGCAACACAGTGGCTGATGCAAATAGTCAATGCAAGCGGTTGGGGATGCAAGCAGCTGGGCATTGGGGATCCAAGCTGCTGAACGTCGGGGATATGAGTGGCTGAGTGTTGCAGACTATGGATAGACGTGGATAACTTCAGAGGTGTGGCTTAGGGAAAGATCGTCTTCTTTCTGCACCATCGCCTTTCCAACTCCCATCCTGATGACAGCCATCACCCAATAAAATCCTCCACATACACTACCCTTCAATCCATTTGCACAACCTGATTTTTTCTGGACACCGGACAAGAACCTAGGTGTTGGGAGAGCAGGGACTTGGACGCTGCTGCAGGGCGGCACAGAGCCTGCTCCCACCAGAGAGGAGCGACTGGCTGGTTTCAGCCTTCATTCCCTCTAGTTCCTGGACTTGCTTGCTTGCCTGCTCCCTCTTGCCTGGAGTGGCCAGAGGCCGGCTGAGTGAAAGGAGCCACTCCAATTTCTACCCATGAAGGGGGTCAAGGGAACAATCCCATCTCAGTACGAGGAAGGAAACCTTAGGATTCTTCACTCCCCAAGCCCACGATTTAAAAGTTGGCACTGAGAAGCAGAAAGGGAATTTATTCCAATAAGTGCAGTAGAGGCTTATTTCTTTCCCTTCTGTAGAAAAAGTAGAAGAGAAAGCTTTTGCGTTGTGGCTGCTTTGGTGCAGAGTGGGCAGAGCCAGAGGAGCTGTGAGAATCTCCCAAGTATCACTGGTTATCACCTGGGACTGTCACGCCAACAGGCAAGCCTGGATCCATCCTCTGTTTACCCTCACCCCTAGGCTTTGTGTTTTCATAACTGTGAGGTCTCCAAGCTTAACAAGGCTCTCAGTGCTGACAGGTCATTCTTCTCCATTCCTAAGTTATCTTTTTCCTCCAAAACTTACTGTAGCGATTTCAAATCCTTTAGTTTTTTGATACTTCCAACTATGTCTATAAAAACATGCTCACCCACGCTGGTCCACAGATATATTATCCTCCTGCCTTGTTGTCATAAGGGAACGGGCATCTTTCTCAGATGTGGGTCTAATATCTGCATCTGTGCTCTGCCTGACATTTCTTCCTCTGGATCTTCCACCCAACCCTTGACTGGCTTCTTTCTGTCCATATTTAAATATGCTTGAGATTTTCAAATCTTTATAAAAGTTTCTCTCTATTGCATGTCTTATGGTCCCCAAAGATCTGTTTTGAGAGTTATCTGTAATCTTTACTTGTTATCTTTACTTTCTCACTTTTTTCTTGTACTTCTACTCGTTGAAATCTGACTTTTACTCCTGCCCTTGCAAGGGTCATCCTACTTGTAGCTCATGTTAAGGAACACTTCTAAGTCCTTAGGCAAGAAATCCCCTCTGGGCAGCATTTGGCACTGTTGACAAGGTTCTCCTTATTAAAACACTTTTATCTCGGTGTCTGTGACACTGTGCTTTTCTGGTTTTTCTCCAATTTAATCAGATCAGATTGTTTCTTCTCAATCTCCTTTTTTTTCTGTTATTGTTTTCTTTCTGCCCAACCCTTAGATACTGGTGTTCTTAAGAGGGCTCCTTCTTTCTCACTCAACACATTTTCTCTCAGATGATCTGTAACAACAAACTATTTGCTGATGACTGCCATTTATTTGTTTAACAAGTATTTATTGAAATGGAAACAAATCATAAGAAGAATAAACAAATTCAAATGCTGGTTCATTGAAAAGACCAACAATATAAATCAACTTCTTGTGAGTTTGACTACTTAAAAAGAAAGAATGAGAGTAAAAATATACAATATTGAAAATAAGAAAGGAGATATTTTCACAGATATAGAAAAAATTAAAATGTTCATAAAAACCCCACATCCAACTCCTATGGCAATACTTTTTCTAGGATTTTCTAAAATCCTAGAAAAAGGGATTATTTCTTAACAAAACATAATTCACCAAACTGTACTCAAGAAGTAGGAAGTTCGAATAGGTCAATTTTCAGTAAGAGTTTGGAAAAATTAGAGGCACCATTGGAAAAGGGACTGAGAGAATAATATTCCTCTTTACTAGTTTACTTTTTTGGCAAGGGAAAGGGGAGGATGAAGGCTAGTAGAAAGTGGGGTGTGGTCAATAAATCTAACAGAGGAAGAGGTCAGAGAAAGATGACTGAGAGTTTCCCTGTTCAGCATGTAGACTTTTTCTTAAAACTCCTGGTACCTCCCTAGAGCAGGTGTCTATAAACTATGGGCAAGTGACCAAATCCAGCCCACCATCTTTTTTGTAAAGGTTTTGTGATACACAGCAACACCCATTTGTTTAAGTGTTGTCTATGGCTGCTTTGGCGATACAATTTCAGAACTGAATAGTTACAGCAGAGACCAGATCGCTCATAAGACCTAAAATATTTGCTATCTGGATCTTCACAGAAAAAGTTTGCTGACTCCTGCCCTAGACCTCATCTCTATCTGTTTCTATGTCTGGTGACACCAAGTGCAAAGGTTCTGTAGGACATTTTCTTTAGAGAATACACCTCCCATTCCTACAGAGGAAGAAGAAGGGTTGTTGCCTAACTCTGTTGGAGCAGGGGAGGGGGTGGATATTTAGGAGTTTAATTATTTCTTTTTTATGCTTTTATATAGCACTCCCGCCATGATCTTTGGCTGGACCTAGTGCCATTGGTTTGTTAGTTTTCCAAGGTCCTCAGGTTGATGATTAGTATGCTACTCCATGAGTGCCTTGGTTTGACTCTCCTTAGCTTTTGAGTCACTTTCCATTTCTTCATTCAGTCTTTGTCTTCATATATTGTAGCTTGGATTTAGGGAAGCTTCTTACTTTTACTCAGCTGGGGTTTCTGTTTCTGTTTCTCTTTCTGTTTGTTGACTTAAGGTGATACAATTATCTTAAAGTCCAAATGAAAGTATAAATTCCTAAGAAGAGCAAATAAGATAAACATCTCAGGACATGGTAAGATCAGTGTTACTGGTATGAACTTAATGATATGGAATCCATTCAAAACGGATCAAGGAAACAAAAGAGCAACTATAGTAAAGTGTCTCAGTATATGAGATCATTTAATATATGATTTTTGGTCAAGGCTTTTTGTTGCAGACAACAGAATTTACTCTAGCTAGTTCAAATGAAGGGGATCTGCTAGGATAGGTTAGGTAGATTTCTAGATGAAAGAACTGCTTGGATGTTATGCAGCCAGGAAGAGGGTTCACCATACATGAGACATTTCAAACGGAAGTAGCATTGCTGCTACTCTTATTGACTGGAATTTATGATATAAGAACTTGAGAAATCCCCTCACAGCTACCCCAACAGAGCAAAATATTTTTTTCTTTCTTTCTCTCTCTCTCCCTTCCTTCCTTCCTTCCTTCCTTCCTTCCTTCCTTCCTTCCTTCCTTCCTTCCTTCCTTCCTTCTTTTTCTTTCTTTCTTTCTTTCTTTCTTTCTTCTTTCTTTCCTTCTTTCTCTCTCTTTCTTTCTTTCTTTCTTTCTTTCTTTCTTTCTTTCTTTCTTTCTTTCCTTCCTTCCTTCCTTCTTTCTTTCTTTCTCTTTCTTTCTTTTTTTGAGACAGAGTCTCCCCCTGTCACCCAGGCTGGAGTGCAGTGGCACAACCTCGGCTCACTGCACTCTCCGCCTCCCAGGTTCAAATGATGCTCCTGCCTCAGCTTCCTGAGTAGCTGGGATTACAGGCACCTGCCACCACATCCGGCTAATTTTTGTATTTTTAGTAGAGATGGGGTTTCACCATGTTGGCCAGGCTGGTCTCGAATTCCTGATCTTGTGATCCACCCATCTTGGCCTCCCAAAGTGCTAGGATTAGAGGTGTGAGCCACCGTCCCTGGTCCAAAATATTTATTTATTTATTCCTTCCTTCCTTCCTTCCTTCCTTCCTTCCTTCCTTCCTTCCTTCGTTCCTTTCTCCCTTCCCTTCCCTTCACTTCCCTTCCTTTCCCTTCCTTCTTTTTTTTTTTTCAGAGTCTCGCTCTGTCACCCAGGCTGGAGTGCAATGGCATGATCTCAGCTCACTGCAACCTCTGCCTCCTGGGTTCAAGTGATTCTCCCGCCTCAGCCTCCTGAGTAGCTGGGATTATAGGCATCCGCCATCATGCCCGGCTAATTTTTTTGTATGTTTGTAGAGACAGGGTTTCACCATGTTGGTCAGGCTGGTCTTGAACGCCTAACCTCAGGTGATCCACCAGCCTTGGCCTCCCAAAGTGCCGGGATTACAAGTGTGAGCCACTGTGCCCAGACAATTTCACTGTGCTTTCTAAGAGAATAAACATTCTTTTGTACAACTACTTATCATATTGACCTCTCTGCTGTAAGACTTGCTTGGGTGTGTCTGTTTGCTGGCATGTTCATCTCATATGTAACAATAGTACAACTGGATCTAAGAATGCAGGATTTTTGCCTTTAGCCTCAGACTGTATAAGAAGGCAAACTAGAAGGGAGTGGCAGCTGAATGAGCCAGATCACAATATCTTCCGCAACGACCAAGGTAGCACGGCAGCACTTCTGAAAGAAAATAGCACTGGACTTCATCCCATATGGTTAAAAAATCCAGACAAAAAAGGGGAAAAGATAGGATACAATTAGAAAAACAATCTACATGTATTTGAGACTTAAATAGAATCATCTTAGCAATATAATTCCTAGAAACAGACCTTAAACTATTTTAAGAGACAAAGTCTAGAAACTATAGAAGGAACTATATTTGACTATGTAAAAGTGAAAGTTTTGATTAAAAAAAAGGATGACACAAACTAGTGTCACTTAGACCTGTCTGTAAATTTGTAGAGCTGTCCAGTCTGCCATGTGCTACCAACCCATTCCTAGGCAAGTACAGAAACTGAGAATAAGCATTTATGGACTTTTATAGACATTCGATATTGCTATGACATCCAAGTGTGTGATTTTGTGTTTTACAAAACAATGATTTGCTATAGATTGGAAATATTCTCCAATACTGGGCCTTTGGCACAGAGAATTTAAGAAACACTTCCACAAGCAAAGTATATATACATGCGTGAACTCTGGAACAAAGTTATTTGCAGTACAGCTGACAAAGTATTAAACTCTATAGTATACAGAAAATATACAAGTTGACATGAAAAAATTTTAAAAAGTACCAAGAAATAAATGGATTTAGAGATGTGAAATTCAAATGTTCAATAAATCGTATGTCATTTGAGCTCATGAATGGTCGACCATATGTTTCCACTCTTTAGACTTAAAAAAATTGAAAAGAGCTACAATACATATTGCTAATGCAGATATAGGAAATTTCTTATACATTGCCAGTGGAACTATGAATTGTTATAGCCTTTTTAGGAAGCAATCTGGCAGCATCCATTAAAATAAAAATAAATTGAACATGCTCTTTGACTCAGCAATACTCGTCCTGTGAATCGATCCTATCAAAATAAAAACACCCATAAGTAAGCAAATCTCCTCAAAGATGTTTATTGCAGCCCCATTTGTAGTTGCAAAAATTTAGAAACAAAGTGAATGGCAGTAATAGGGGAATGGCTGAATAAATTGTGGTCCATCCACCCCAGGGAAGCTTATGTGGCTATTAAGAAGAATGAATTAGAATTACACCAATTACCTTGGCAGGATTTTTATGAGGTATCCTTGAGAGAGTAAAAGAAGATGCAGAAAATGTTTCATATACTATCATTTATGTGAAATCATAAATGACAAAACCCTGTACATGTATATATTTTATCTGTACATATTGAAATGTAATTGTGAAAATTGAGAAAAATAAGAAAAATAAATACTAGGTCATTAACATGGGTTATTGTGGGTGTGTCGGTGAAGATGTGGGTGAACTTGAGGGGTGGAGAGAAGCAAGAAAAAATAGCATTATAAATCATGTCATGCATGGTATGATTCAATTTATGTAAAAGTGTCCATTTTGTGTATGTACATAAGACACTTTTTAAGGCAATCTTTATAAAAGATGAGCTAGCTTTGTATCTACCAAGTTGTAGAGATAACCACAATAATACAACAATACAATAATATGCCAATAAAGAAAACAATTAAAAAAATGGGAAAATGTTAATATCTTGGTAGAAAAATATTCAAAGGACATATATTGTGATTCAATAAAAAATAGATACGAAATCACCAATTGCCATATTAAAAATATTCAACCTGATTAAAAATCAAAGAAAGGCAAGTAAAAATATCATCAGATGTATTTATTATTACACATAATATGTAAATATTATTAAAATCAGTAACTTTTGAGCTGTGAATAGCACTTTCAAGTATATTTCCAAAGAGAATAAAAATTAAAATAATAGTTCTAGGGGGAAATATCTGCAAAATCGAACCGTGTATATGTCGTTGATGTTGTTTCCTTTTGTAAAATTTTATTCTATCAATGTAAATACGTTAGTAGGAAGGAACTGCTTTTTCTATGAAAAGAGACGTACTAAGGGGGTGTCAATAAGCGAATGAAATAACAGAATCTCTGTATTATTTACAGAGTGAGACACTTTGAACTGCCTAAATGTCCAACAGAAGGAAATTAGTTAAATAAAAGATTGTACAACCACATAAAACACCTATTGTTATGAAAACATGCTCAAAATGTGTTGTGATTAAAATGCAGGTGAAACAGCCATGTTAATAGTTTGTTGCTTTTTTAGTAAAGTATACATTTCTATGAGAAAAATTAGAGAGACAAACACAAAAAAGTTAAAAGTAATTTTGGGGAGCATGACGGGATTATGGGTAACATTTTGTAGCCTCATGTCTTTCTGTAGTTTCCAAGTTTTCTGCACTGAGCAATAGTTTCAATTAGAATGAAAAAAGACGTTATAAAAATGTTAAAAGGCTATAAAGATTACCATCTTCTGGAAGTGCACTCGGAAGGGAGATTAAGCAGGTAGGAGTTATGTGATGTATTCAGGAAGAGAGCTGGCCACCGTGCTCTGTCACTCCCTCCACATCAGTTTGGCATAGGAACTCTAACCTTTTGCTTTCAAAGCTGGAGATATAATCAAAGGTAGGTCATTAGTTAATTGCTTTGAGGTTATTTCCAAAATCCCTAGTGGGCTCTTGTAAATGATTAGTAATATCATTATTACTTACACAATTGTGGGCAGGCCATTATTGCTTTCTCAGCACTGACTCAGGGTTTTATAAGCAAATGGCTCTCAACTTGGGGTTCCCTAACCTCGAGAGGTCCAAAATGATGGTAAGGTCTCTGAACTACTTTGTATACATAAAAAATGTCAAGAAATTATGCCTTTATCCTTATAGTCTTGTACAGGCTGACAAAGCCTTATTTTAATAGCTTTTTTTGTCTTTTGCTTTTAACATAATATACAGTTTTCATTTGATACATCATGATAAATTGGTAATTAAAATAGTTTTTGATAAATATACATATATTGGAAATGTTGGTTTATTACTAAATGAATACAAATTTGGGTTTTAGAGAAGTCTTTCAAACGTGGAATTAATTTTTTTTTCCTTGCTCTAAGATTATTCTTGTATTTAATATTTAGGCCCAGCCACAATCCCTAAAATTGTATTTATATTCCACTTACAGATATGAACTTGTTATGATATTTCTGAAGAAGAAGAGACTGTAAGGAAGACCTCTCCTAACTTAGCAACCATTCTCCATTTTCCAAAAGGGTAAACCAAGGCACAGAAAGATAGGCACAAGGTCACGGTTGCTGAAGGAAAGAGCTATTACCAAAACCTATACTTTCTGTTTTCAATTTTTTCATTTCTTCTTGGGTTCTGGGGTTTTTTCCAGGTAACTTATGCATGCAGAAGGTAACAAACACTCGTGCACACACACTGAAAATCAGAAAGAGAGAGAGAGAGAGAGTTGCCATAATTAGTACTTTTGTTTAGAGAAGAAAGGCTGAAGCCTGGAGAAGTTAAGCAACATGCTTAAATCCACACAGCTAGTCAGAGGCAAAGCCAAGATTTGAACGTGGGTAGTCTGAATCCAGGATCTTGGCCTTCACCCCTCTATAACATGACACCCTCATCCCTGAAAAAAGAAAAAGTCAACCGAAAGCATTGTGAAAAGTGTCCTCTAATAAAATGGCTAATTCTGGCAACAGGCCCAGAGAGGGGATGGAGAAATCCACTTAGTTTTACTTTCATGACTGATACATATCTTAAAACTGAGTTTCTTGCTGGAAGATTTTTTAAATCTTATTGTAAAGACCTAGGAACTTAAAACTAACTGAAAATTCTGGCCATTATTGATCATCAGGGATATGTTATCTTAAAGAAAGAACTTCTAGCCAATGTAACACTTGGATTAAATTAATAGCTTCTCAATCCAGCCAATAGGTGCTTCTAAACAACACTGGCTGCTCTTGGTCTATTCTTTAAGTGACCAGAACAGAGAAAGAAAGGTTTTTCAGTGTTATTTCCCTTGCTATTTTCTAAATGTGCTGTGATCCCTTTGTTGTGGGAAGTTTAGCATTGAACTTATAAATTTGACAGTCCAGAAGAGCTCTTCTAGGTGGAAGCGTAGATTTAAATTTTAGACCCCAAGCAAAACTTTCAATTAAAAAAAGGGAAAAAATGCTTTTAAAGGAGAAAATATGGTGGCTGCTTAGTGTCTGTGTATAGGTTGGAGGGCTTAGGGTGGGAGGAGGAGTGAAGAGAGCCTCCTTTTGTTGATTTCCCTAAGTCATCAGTCAGACTAGCAGTACATCAATATTATAAGCATTTTTCTAAACAGAAGAAATGAATGAGTTCCCAAGTGTAGCCACTCAAAAGCCTGCATCAGCTCAGTGAAACTTTCCTTCCAAGAGGCCCACAGCTTCTGGCCTGTCTCCTGATGGAACAGAATATGTGTGGAAAGGGCTTCATGCTGTGGTCACTGATTACAGAGTCAATTATCTTACTACAATTTTTTTCACAGTAAGAAAACCTAACCACTTTCAATGAAAAAACTGTCTCTACTGCATTCTCCATAAATGTCCTTGACTCTTCTTGAGGGCATTTTTAGGGCCCTCAGGTATACAGATTTGATAAAACATACTAGATTCTCTGTACATGTTTGTTGAAATAAGTTATTTTAAGACCTATTACAGTGGTGTGGGGGAATACTTAACCCAGAGAGTTGGAGTTTTTTTTTTTTTGGTTGTTTGTTTTGAGGCAGAGTCTTGCTCTGTCATCCAGGCTGGAGTGCAGCGGCACAATCTCGCTCACTGCAACCTTCCACCTCCTGGGTTCTGGTGATTCTCCTGCCTCAGCCTACTCAGTAGCTGGGATTACAGGCGCGTACCACCACACCTGGCTAATTTTTATATTTTTAATTGAGACGGGGGTTTCACTACATTGGTCAGGCTGGTCTCGAACTCCTGACCTCATGATCCACCCACCTCGGCCTCCCAAAGTGCTTGAATTACAAGTGTGAGCCACTGCACCTGGCCCCATAGGATTGTTTTTAAGATCCAATGACTCCTGTTGCCTGGCTCAGTAAATGGTAGTTATAAAAGAGTGCTAAGTTCCATAGGAAAAAAGAAATTGGTAAATGATGTGGGAGTCTAGAGATTAATGAATTTACTTCCAGCTTTGGGAATGAAGATGAGTGTAAAACTTAAAGCTTTTTTCAGAAGTAACATTTGAACTGAGCCTTAGGGAGGAAGAAGTCTATTTTTCTTCCTCTACCATCTTTTCGTTTCTCTGGATGGGGAGGTATACAGAATTGATTAAACCTTGGGCCATGGATGGCTCACATTTCCTAGGGGGTAGGTCCAAAGAACATCAAGTTAGATCAAATGCATGATGCAGTGGTCTCTCTCCTTTCCTGTTTCCATATAGGTAAATTTCTATTGATCTGGGCACTGTACTCTCTTTCATCTCCAGCAATCCTATCACCAATAGATGTGTAGGCTGAACGGATAATTCCTGTCAGAGGCTGCCATCTTGCTTGCCAGTCTCTTCCTCTCAAGGACCTTTGTATCCTGGTTACTTTAGCCTCGTTTTAGAATGACTGTGGTAAGATATAACTTTGGTATTACAGTGGAGTAAAAGTCCATATTAGTTTTCTAGGGCTGCTATAACTTAACAAAATTCCACAGACTGGGTGGCTTATAAAATAGAAATTTATGTTCTCAGTTCTGAAGGCTAGATGTTTGAGATCAAGGTGTTGGCAGCTCTCCTGAGGGCTGTGAGGGAAGGATCTGTTCCAGGACACTCTCCTTGGGTTGCAGATGGCCATCTTCTCCCTGGTTCTCTTCACATGGCGTTCTCCCTGTGTCCATGTCTGTGACTAAGTTTTCCAAGAGAACAAGGCATTTATTAAGTATTAACTCACACAATCATGGGGTCCTACAATAGGCTGTTTGTAAGCTGAGAAGCAAGGAAAGCCAGTCCAAATCCCAAAACTAAAGAACCTAGAGTCTGTTGTTTGAGGGCAGGAAGCATCCAGCATGGGAGAAAGATGTTGGCTGGGAGGCTAGGCAAGTCTAGTCTTTTCACATTTTTCTGCCCGCTTTATATTCTAGCCATGCTGGCAGCTGATTAGATGGTGCCCACTCAGATTAAGGGTGGGTCTGACTTTCCCAGCGCACTGACTCAAATGTTAGTCTCCTTTGGCAACACCCTCACAGACACACCCAGGATCAATACTTTGCATCCTTCAATCCAATCAAGTTGACACTCAGTATTAACCATCACAGTCTATAGCCAAGTCTTCCTTAGGGCTTGGATCTGCACCAGTGTTCCAATATTTTTTGCCACAAGATCAAAATTAAGTGATGACTTTGAGTTCCAATCTGATCTGTCATTGTTCCCTTTGCATATTCCCTGTTGAGCCTCTGTGATAAAGAAGTCATTTGAATATACCAGGTTCCCCGATCCAAGTGCCAACTAACAGTCTTCACACACCCTTCCCTCAAAACCCTAATATGAGCTTCGAAAGATGCATGATTTGAATATGTGGAGATGGGAAATTACTGAGCCCGTAGAGTAAATATCACATGTGGGGCTCAGTCTTAAGTGAGGTTACTGGGGCACCTACCTTATGGACAGAATTCAAAGCGATGCCAAAAAGCTTATTAATCAAGTTAAATAATATTTTAATGAAGTATTTAAAAAAGCAAACTAGTAAAAAAAGATAAAAAACATATCAAACTTTAAAAAGACAAGATCCGTGACAATCCTTCAAATATTTTTAGACAGGTGTCTGAAAACCTCTCAGAGCCTCTAAGGCTTCTAAGAGCCTCTCTTTCTGGGTTGAAATCTTGCTGTGGTGTCAAATGTCTCTTATAGGACATGGTATTTAGATCTCTCACTACTCTTCCATTAATTCATTCAACAAATTATTTGTTCATTGTGTGTCTACTAAGTGCCATCCAGAATAGTAATTAAATATTTGTCAAATTAATAAACAAGCAAATATCTAATTACAGTGTTTTTAAAAAGACACCCACAGGGGCTGTCTAGTCTAGTAGAAAGAAGAAGCATTAACAAAGTGGTGGGTGTCAGAAGGGCTTGGATTGGATGGTAAAGGATCCTTAAAATAGGTTTTTTATTTATTAAGTCAATAAATAATTATTTAGTATATACTAATGCAGGGCATTCTACATATATCAGTTAAGCATTTCAAAATGCTAGTAGGCAAAATGATTTAGAGACTCAAAGTGTAAATTGTCAGTATTTTTCAAGAGATTAATTTCATGGAGGAAGGCCTCCTTGGTGAATTACTCTAAGAGACAATGTTTACTGGATACATGTCATTGCATTCCTCTAGCTGTTATTCCTCTAGCAGCAATAACTAGAGGAGGAGGCAGAGATAGCAGAAGAGGGCATTTCTTCTTTATTAGTCATGACAAATGAGAGATATAAACCAAATTGGCAAAAAGTGGAAACTAAGTACAGTGATGAATATTTTAGTGAAGAAGATGCACATTTGGTTACAAAATTGCGAGTCTGCTAAGCCTGTATGAAAACTACAATGAGCTATCAGTTAATCTCTACTGTTTAAAGTTCTAGGAAGAGAAGTAAGCAAGTTGCATCCCTTGTTCATAAAACCAAATGACCACTTTCAACCCTCAAAGGACAGTATTTAGCTGATGATGCTTTAAGTAATTTTCTGGAGTTACGGAGTAAACGCTGCAACAAGAGGTAGCTTCAAGTTCCCTCTTTGTGGGAAGGGGATGATAGGCGAAAGAACAAAATTGGCCTCCTCTCTAGGAAAAAAGGATGGAAAAGATGGGATAAGAAAGACAAATAGGCTTACCCAGACAATGGGCAGGAAATCGGGTGTAGCAAATGGCTTTATAAAGAGACAGCACAGAGCAGTAGCGGGTATAGACCCATCTAACTGAAATAACAATTGAACTAATACTGATGGAATGCCTACAATGTATAAGAAACCATCCTAGAATGCCCTGGGGGTATTCATGGCCCCTGCCCCTGAGGCACTGATAATAAATAGGAAAGAGAATGACATTTGTGAATTACTTTAATATAAAATGAAGTCTGGAAGATACTACTACAAATATATAAAATATTATATATGTACTGTAATAATAAAACATGCATATGTATGTATGTGTATGTGTGTATATATGTGTATATATGTTGTATATCTGTGTTTACATATACATATGTTATGTATATATAACATATGTTATACATTATACACAACATGTCTGTTTATATATATATGTGTATATATTATATAGAGAGAATATATAGAAAACATTCAAGTACTGTTAAATATCTATCTGAAAGCCTTGCACTCATTCTCCTCCTAATCTGGAAACTACGATATTGTTTAAAGCTAGTGTTCGGCACAAAATCAACACAGTGTAAGGAAATAAATGACATCCTCAAGAAGAACTTGCTGTGACTTATCCAGTGTGAGTCTACAGGGCAGCACTGTGTCCACGCCCATTTCTCATAGGGATGCTGTGAAACAGATCACTTACAGGGCAGAAAACAGTGAGAGAGCCCTGATTCACTCCATCATTGTAAACCCAAGACATAGGTTCTGCTGGGCCACAGCCTCGCTGGTCACCTGGCCTTCTGTTTGGAAGAATCTCAGAACAGCTGACTTTAGTACTTGATGGAGACCAGGCCCAGGCCAGCCACCCTGTGGCTCTGGATTTCTGATTGCAGCCTCTTATAAGTCAGCTCAGCAGCATGAGTACTAGGGATTGATTCCCTTAATCACTGATGTGGACAATACGGTTTGGCCTTATGCCAAGGTTCTTGGCTCTCTGGCTCCTGTTCCCAAAAAACATCCATCTTCTGCAGTGACACTGACAGGAGAAATGAACTGCCTTCTATGTCCTTAAACTCTCTACTTTGTCAAAACAACAAACACAGCTCAATACACTGGGGGCTTATCTTTTAACCTTTGCTGGTGTGTTGGGCTTTAACATTGCTGACCTGGGGCTCCAGGCCCAGGCAAATGGACAGATCTATTCCTGAGATGCTGTTTGCCCTCCATTGTCAATATTGGCAAAGGGAGGGGGGAATCAATGGCAGTCTAGCTGGTTAGATTAGTCTTTGCAGGAAAGAGACTCAAAGACCATGTCAACACTTGTTTGACTGATTTTTAACCTCAAGGGTGAATCAATTCAGTTTAAAAGGGTGGAGCCCATAGGACATGGAAACGCAGCCACAGAATGCCCCCGAGTCATGTTACCAGCAAAGAAACACACATGGACATTTGAGGGCCACCCACGGGTTTATGTGAGAGCATCATTTGTGATGCTACACACCATGAAAAGAGAATACTACAAATTCACTGTCCTGCTTGAGAGTCCTTGTGTCTTGGACAGTCCCAGATTACTTTTGTATTATTCTGGGAAACAGCAGAATTCCCAAGAATAGCCAACTGCGACCAGCATGCTGCCAAATTATTTCTATTTTCTCAGCAGTTATTCTCCAATAAATGCTAATTTGCCAACCAAATGGATTATTTTTTGTTGGCCTCAAAGAAGTAATAACCAAGGGTCTCCTGGGTTATTTCTTGCTGTTTCTTTTAACTCTTCCACAACACCCCCTGCCACCTTAGGAAAGTTTATTGAATAAGGAACAAAGTCAGTTATTGTACTTTTTTTTCGGGGCGGGGAGCGGAGTTTTCACTCTTGCCCAGGCTGGAGTGCAGTGGCGCGATCTTGGCTCACTGCAACCTCCACCTCCCAGGTTCTAGCGATTCTCCTACCTCAGCCTCCCGAGTAGCTGGGATTACAGGCACGCATAACCATGCCTGGCTAATTTTTTTTTTTGTATTTTTGGTGAGATGGGGTTTCACCATGTTGGCCAGGTTGGTCTCGAACTTCTGACCTCAGGTGATCCACCCGCCTTGGCCTCCCAAAGTGCTGGGATTACAGGCATGAGCCCCACGCCTGGCCCAGTCATTGTACTTTACAATTACAATATTTGTACTACACAATTGATAGTATGATGTTCACTGTATAAATAACTGTATGATGTTCACTTTATAAATAACATGTATGATGCTCACTGAGCCACTGGGGTGTGTGGCTTCAAGCAGCACTCCTCCCAGGGTTAAGGAACTAGGTTGGGCAGATACAGGGAAAAACCCCTCTTGCTTTTTAAAGATGCTTGCCAGAGTTTCTAAAAGCACTAGTAACATTGGAGAGACTGAAGCAGTGAGTTAGCATGATGTAGAACTGAAAACTAACCCATATAAGGAACACTTGGAGATATTCATGACATGGTAACGCTGTCTGGTCAAAGGATGACTATCTGAAGGAGGAGTTAAATTAGCGCTATGTTATTCCAGGTGGTAAAACCAGGACAAATATTTGAAAGTTACTAGGAAACAGATTTTATTTAGTCTCCTAAAAAGAACTTTTCAGCAAACTGAACTGTGTATTTTTAAATTTTTATTGATTAATTTATTTTTTAGGTTCTTGCTCTGTCACCCAGGCTGAAGTGCAGTGCTACTATCATAGCTCACTGAAGCCTTGAACTCCTGGCCTCAAGCAATCCTCCTGTCATGGCCTTTCAGATTGCTAGGATTATAGGTATGAGCCACTGTGCCTGGCTTGAACTGTTTTTTAGAAAGATCACGCTCCCTTAAAAAGCAGACAGTTCCCCATCATTGGAAATACTCAAAGCAAGACCAAGTGACAAGCGATGTTGCGTTGGGTGGAAGGTTGCCTGGTGTGGACTTAAAAGTGCTCCCGGCACTTCAGATCCTTTGATTCTGTGAAGAAAGGGGACATATGCTCTCCTCCACTAGATCTTCAGGTTCCCTGGAATCTGTCCAGGATCTATGGTATTGTAGCAGTCAGATGTGGCTAGCTCCCAGGAATTTCTCTTATCCTGATAACTCCTTTAGGTCAGGAGATGGATACTAATAAACTCATGCAGGAAATTAAAATTGTCCTCCTTTAATGCTATTTGAAGTCAAACCTTTGGAGCATTCTTTGTTCCCCATGCTTTCCTCCCATTCTTTATTTAAAACAATTGTGTGAGGAGCTGTCTTCCTCTGTAATTATCCCTGTCACGGCTGCTCCGGATGGTTTTACTAACTAGCAAGCAAATCTCCCAGAGAAAATGGATGATGGGCAGTTCTAAAGGGGAACATGGAGACTTTTCGTCTTGGAGCTCCTGTGATGGCAGATTCTAGTCAAGATCCTCAGACAGGGGCTGACACTGCCTGTAATGTCACCCCAAGATGAGAGGCTACTCATTCAAAGGGAATCCTCTGAACATGAGCTCCATGGCACACCTTGCCACTTCAAAGTGTTGATTAGCCTGAGAGTGAGAGGTTCCTGCTGGATTAAGGCTTCACTTACTGTTAATTGATGACTTTAAGAAGTACCAGTCAGTTTTGCTAGATCAACAGTCAGGTTGGGTACCGGAAGTACTTCCATAGGTCCTGATAGTGTAGAATTCTTAGTGGCCAAGGTTGAGGCCCCCCACAGGGTGTGCAGAGCTTGTAATGAGTTTAATTTGAGAGGGAAAATGATTTTCATTATAGTTATAAAAAACACAAGGGAGTTCAAATGGAATTTCTGTGCCAGTCTACAAAGATGCACATTGAGACAGCAAGTCAGATGTCATGCTTTTAGGAGACTGTGTCCTCATGGCATCCAATCTGAATGCGAAGCCAAAAAAAAAAAATCACATCATTCACTCATTCACTACTCTTCAGCATGCCTTTTATTTTTGCCATTGCAAGCACAGCTATAAAAACGGACTCGGGATCCTGCAATTAGCTGATAGGAAATCCAGGACTACTTGATCCTTCACGTAAGCAGGAGAATTTTGTACTCTGAGTGATATTTTATCCTTTTAGGGTTGCCAAGTACTTCAAACCATTCAATATTAGATTCCACCCTATCATGTGTCATCTGCGTAATACATCCCTTTGTGTTTCTTCACATAGTGGACCTCAGTAACTAGGGACCATTTCCACGGGGAAAAAGCTAATTATCTAACTTTGATTCCATTTTTGTTCAGGTTACCTGGAAATGACTATTGGCCACTGAATTCTAGAATGTAATTGTAAACTGAATAGTGTATGTGGTTCAAATACATTTGGTAAAAAAAAAATCTGATGACACTGGAGGTTAGATTAAACACAAAGCCCAAAGCTTAGGTCCTGTTCCACACATGCAGGGATGGTTGACGGAAGCAATAGTTCTGTGCAACTGGGGTCAGCTCTCTCCTCTGCCACCTTCCCTCACTTCTGGAATAGCTTCAACCTGTGGCTCAACTTAGCTTTCCAAGGCATCATCATCACAGCCTGCCTATACAGTTGCTTTAATTTAAGCAACATTTATTCAGTACCTATTATGTGTCAGACTCCAGCTAGGAATACAATGATCAGGAAACCATCTGGGGGAGGCTACGGGTATAAATAGCTATAACGTGTGAGATATGACATGACAGAAAGTAGAAGCTATGAGGGGTACAGAGGATGAAATAGTGAATTAGGAACAGTGGGGGTCAGTGAAAGTTATTAGGGGAGTTAAACACTGGTTCATGTGGAAGAACCATTTCATAGGCTTAAAAAAACATAGTCATTTATAGGTTGAAACCTTATCTTGGGATTCCAGCTTTTCAATCTGTAACATTATATGTATTATTCAGGACTCTTTTGGGGGTTAATGGCAGAAAAGTAACTCAAATTGGTATAAGCTAGAAAATAAGATAGTTGACTGGCATCACAAAAAGTGCAAGATACAGATTTTCAGGTATGGCTGGATCCACAGGCTCATTAGTTGAATTATTGGTTTTCTTCCTATTGTTTGAATTCCTTATATATTTTTAATATTATCCTCTTATCAGATGTATGGTTTGCAACTATTTTCACCTTTCATAGATTATGTCTTCACTCTGTATTGTTTGATGGAATCCCACTTAGCTATTTTTGCTTTTGTTGCTTGTGCTTTTGGGATCATATTAAAAAAATCATTGCTGGTCAGGCATGGTGGCTCACACCTGTAATCCAGCACTTTGGGAGGCTGAAGTGAGTGGATCTTTTGAGGTCAGGAGTTTGAGACCAGCCTGATCAACATGGTGAAACCGTGTCTCTACTAAAAATACAAAAATCGGCCAAGTGTGGTGGCACATGCTCGTAATCCCAGCTACTTGGGAGGCTGAGGTGAGAGGATTGCTTTACCCTGGGAGGCGGAGGTTGCCATGTGATGTGAGCCATGATCACCCCACTGCACTCCAGCCTGTGTGACAGAGCAAGCCTCTGTCTCCAAAAAAAAAAAAAAAAAAAAAAAAAATCATTGCCTAGGCCCTAGGCCAGTGTCATAGGGCTTTCTCCCGGTTTTCTTTTAGTAGGTGTACAGTGTCAGGTCTTATGTTTAAGTCTGTAACTCATTTTGAGTTGATTTTTGTATACAGTGTAAGATAAGGATCTAGTTTCATTCCTCTGCATGTGGATATCCAATTTTCCTTTATGGGCCCATTAGGGCTTGGACTCTCTTCATTTCCCAGCTCTGCTCTTTCTTATTGGCTTTATGCAGAGAGGCCCTTCATACATGATGGTAAGGAGACCCCCAGTAGCTTCTGGTTTATAGTCTATCTTCTCAGCTACCTTTGTAGAAAGAGTACCTCTTGCCCCACAGTTACATAAAAAAGTTCTGGAATGGTGTCTGTTTGGTTTGGCCGGTTTAAGCGCCCATCACGCCTATGCTGATCACTGTGTCCAGGGAGAAGGACTGATTCGCTTGGCAGGTCTAGACTATGTGTCCACTGGAACCACGTAGACTGAGGAGGGAAGGGGTGTTCCTTGAAGAAAATTAATGTGTGGAATGAGAGAAGAATGCCAAGAAAAACCAACAGATGTCCACAGTTTCTTTCTTTTTCCAATTATACTAGAAGATTCTGTCCAGTTTTCCCGATGCCCTTACTGTAGGGTTGTCTGTCAGATACAGCAAATAAAAACACAGAGCGTACGGATAAATTTGCATTTCTGATCATGAATAGTGTTTTGGTGTAAGTATGTCCCATAATTGTTGTTTATATGAAAGTTAAATTTAACCAGGCGTCTTATATTTTCTCTGGCAACCCTTTAGTACCTCACAGAAGAAACTGTTGGAAATACTAGTGCCTAAGAAGCTGTTAATAGCTTAAAATATTCTCTCAATGTGAGAGAATATGGTGTTGTTCTTAACAGGGTTTGAAATTTTCATTGAAGCAGTCATTGTAAATTTTGCCTGTATATTGGAGTCTTCCAAGGAGTTTAAAAATATCAATAATTGGCCAGGCGCCGTGGCTCATGCTTGTGATCACAGCACTTTGGAAGGCCGAGGCAGGCAGATCATGAGGTCAGCAGTTCGAGACCGGCCTGACCAACATGGTGACACCCCATCTCTACTAAAAATACAAAAATTAGCCAGGTGTGGTGGTGTGGGCCTGTAATCCCAGCTACTCAGGAGGCTGAAGCAGGAGAATCGCTTGAACCCAGTAGGCGGAGGTTGCAGTGAGCCCAGCTTGTGCCACTGCACTCCAGCCTGGGCGATAGAGCAAGACTCTGTCTCAAAAAAAAAAAAAAAAATCAATAATTGGGTCCCACCCTAACTAAACTGAATCAGAAAATCTGAAGCTGGAGTTCAGAATTTTTTAAGATTCCCTAGGAGATAACAGTACATGGCTAGAATTGAAAAGCACAGCACAAAATATTAATTCTTTGAAGGCATTTTTTTCATTAGAAAACAAAGAAAAGGGGGTCGGGAAAGCCTTTCCCAGTTTCTAAGATCACACCAGTAGCCATTTCTCTATTCTACCTTCTACAACATGGTTTCTGGTTTACACAGTACACTGCTAAATTTGATAAAAAGTCACTCCTGGAATGATTCTTTCAATGTAGGTGGCAAACGTAGGCTATGTAATTTTTAAAAATGAGTGCCGATAGAGAGTCATTCCTGAAAGAAAAAAGAATGTGGGAAAGAAAGTTAAATTGTTATGTAGCCTAAATTTACTAAAGGAATCTTTTATTTCCCTGCATGTGTTAGCTATGTAGTTTTAGCACTTTCAGCTAAGCCCTTTAATAATGAGAGATTTGCAAATTATTTGTAGACTGTGCTTAGAAGGGCCTTAATAAATAACATCTTCAGTTGACATAGGTTAGATTGGTTTTGAGATGGTCACCATGTGTTGACTCTGTGTCTTCTTTCTGCTTCTCTGCTCTCCTTATTCTCTTAGATCATGCTGGGTATGTGACTGTGGCTTCTGATTGGTGGTAACTACATTTGCATATGTAGGTTGTCTCCAGTTATGCACACCGGGTCTCAAATTCTAGTCCAGACATGAGCTATATCAGAATCATGTATCAGAATCATCTGGAAAGCTTAACGCCTGCAGACACATGCACGCACACACACACACACACACACACACACACACACACACATTCCATCCTCAGTAATTTGAGTCATTTGATGCAGCTGGTCTTGGGTAGAGTCCATGAAGATTATTGAAAATATAGCTCTAGGTGATTCTATTGCATATTCAGCTTTGAGAATCACTAGGCTAATTTATAACATTCAGCAATTTATTGGGTAAGGTTGATGATAATGAAAGTTACTATTTATTGAGGGTGTACGATGCATGAAGCACTGTGAGAGGACCTTTACAACATACATCATCTCTTTCAGGCCTCCATGTGCCCAATGAGATTTTATTTCCATTTCAAGAATGGAAAAACTGAGCAACTGAGTATTGTGGAGATCATGAAGCTTATATGTGATAAAGCTGGATTCACATCCACATCTTGACATGTCTCCAGTGCCTGTGCTACTATATATGGTACTTTATGGTTCTTCTGGCCACATGGGGCCTGAGTGCAGTGGGTCACATATCTGAGGGCTTTGTTTTTTTCCTGGGAAGGCTGTTCAGCTCATTTGTTTATTGGGTTCTCCCATTTGATGCATGTACATCCTGCCAGGCAGAACAGCCTATAAACTATGTGAAGGAAGGTTTGATGTCTTACTGTGACTCCTAGAACCAGTTACAGTGGCCTGTCCTCTGAAGAGAGTGATGAAATGTTCCTTCATGATGGTAGTCAGGAGTCCCTGACTTCTGAAGAGATGAAGCTAAGTCCAACTTTCCAACCTTCTTTCTCGTGTCTTCCTGGAGAGCTGAACTCTTTTGGGTAAGAGACAGCACTTGTAATATCCATCTGAGCTCCTCCAATGGCTCATTTCCACCCCCAACCCCCCAACAAGATAGTGGAGTTTCGTGTTGATAACTGTCTTAGTTTGTTCAGGCTGCTATAACAAAATGCCATACATTGAGTGGTATATAAATGACAGAAATTTATTCCTCACAATTATAAAGGCTGGAAAGTCCAAGACCAAGATGCTGGCAAATTCAGTGTCTGGTGAAGGCCTGCATCCTTGTTCATAGATGGCACCTTCTTACTGTGTCCCCATGTGGTAGAAGAGGTGAATGAAGTCCCATGGGAGTATTTTATAAGGGCACCAATCCCATTATGAGAGCTCCACCTTCATTACCTGATCACCAACCAAAGACCCCTCCCCCTAATACCATCACCTTGGGAATTAGAATGTCAACATATGAATTTTGAGAAGTGGATGGGGGCAGGGGCACAAACATTCAGAACACAGCAATAATTCACCCAGAAGAGTAAGACACAGTCACATATGAAGAACAAATTAAGATAATGCAATAAATAGGACCCTTTTGTAAGGAGAAAACTTTTGATCAGCTCACTGAGCTTCCTGTGTTTGTCTATGTAAACACCAGTCCCAAGAGAGGCTCAGTAAAGAGATCGGTGTGAGGTCGAGATACTTCCTTAATAGAAAAAAATTATTCTGAAATCTCCAAAAAGTTGATGATTTCTGCAACTGGGGTTTTCTGCACTATTGTGTTCACTATTAGCATAGCTCTGTATAAATACTGTAATAGTTTCATAATGTGCTTCCAGCTGCCTGCTACCCAGAGTGGCTGGTTATTCAAAACAAATCTTTGATCAATATGATATTTTTGTCCCATTCCTCATTTCTTCCTGTTGATTGCTCACACTAAGAGTCCACAAGAGCTTGTTTTCTTCCCCTTTCTTTTTCCCATGCTAAACAAAGGATGAAGACATATTAATGTGCATGAGAGAGGTGGGCCACAGAGATGTCCTCAGCAATCCAAAACCGGGGGCATTCCATATGTCTGAGGGCTCAGAGGCTAAGGGGTCAATGATGAGCCCTTCAGCTGCTAACACTGAGGTCAATGTTTCCAACCCTGTCTCTGATGGTGGTAACCTAGAAGCCAGTTTCTCTCATCAGCAGTCAATGAGAATGATTTACTAGTGCTATTGCAGTTCCCAGGGGAACAATTCTCATGGCTCAGTTGCCTGTCAAGATTTATCTTGCAGCCATCATCTAGTTAGAGTCTCTGAGCCGAGTCAACCAGTGGAAACTCAACTAATTTTTCTGTCATTCAAATCTCAAAATTGCAGCTTCAAGGGATCATCTCATCCTGTAGTTTTTACTCTGTGCTTCAGAGATATCTTGGGTCAGCAGAAGTACTTCAGGGGCTAATGTAGAGAGAGGGGGTCACAGAGTGGATTGGGATCCAGGTAGCCCACTACTGCTTCAGCTGGAGCTGCTGTGCTTTCCTGTGCTTTTTGTATTTAGGCTGCATATACAATTTTGCTTAATCTAAAAGAGAACACTTTCTTTTGATTTTTGGTCTGGGAAGCATGGATTATCCTTTCCCAACGGCATCCCAATTTCTGTTCGAGGCATTACCTCTTCCCCTGCTATGTACTGTCTTAGTGGGACTGGAAATTTAGGTGTCTATTCTGCAGTGGGAGATAAAAGGGGTCTCTGGGGCACCATCTCCAAGATTTGCCTGCTTTCTGACCTGGTACATCCAGTGAAAAGGCCACCTACCCCAAGCTTGGCCAATCATATGCTGGAACTTGGAAGAGTGAACAAAGAACGCAAAGGTAAAAGTAATGGTCAGGATTCATCTTCCCCAGTCAATGCTCACTTTGCTCTATAATGGGTCTTTTTCTGTAGCTGATGCTGCCAAGTTCCTTGCAGTGTCTTGCTTTGTTCCTTATTATTTCTCAAACTTGATTCCTTAGCTTTTGAATCAATTATATGACCTTGGATATTCATATAAAATTAACTACTTTTTTTTCACAACGAAGACACCCTAACTTATACAAAAACTTTTATTTTATTGGAGAAGAAATTGAGGCTAAAACAGGGTATATACCTTGCTTAAAAATCCCTCATACTAAATAAGAACTAAGACTAGAACTCAAGTCCAGTTTCCAGGCTAGTCCCTTTCTCCTGCACTGGAGGAAAACTCAAATGCCTATAGTGGTCAGACAGGCAACAAAATGAGCTACTTGTTTCCATTTTTTCTTAAATTACATGGACTTCTCAATTTATTATTTTCCTGATTTTCATTGGAAAAAGAGCACAGAAAAATATTTATTTACTATAAAAAAGTGCAAAAATAATAGTAATTGCCAGCCAATACTTTGCTTCAGTATTAAGTACATAATATGGAGTGGTGGAGATTGTGGAAAACTGGGGAACACTTTTTATCTAAAAGTAATTGGCACTGTTCAGCTCCAGCTTGTTATTACCTTGAAATAGTTTGGTCCCACTGGTGCCAGAAATAGCTATTACCTCATGTATTTTTTTAGATAAGTGAGGCATGTAAATTTATATTAAAATAATTCTTTTTTTTAGTGGTGGCTCAAATTGTTTAAAACTACTTTGAAGCCCAAGCAACATGTCCCTGGGTTGGATTTAACTCAGGTACCATTGGTTTGTAACTTCTCTCTTAACTCATGTTCATTCTTTCTTTTTTCTATAACTTTATATTCCTACCTCCCATGTAATGCTGTGACTGTCTCATTCCCAACATGGAAAACTTCTAGAAACAAATTGTATATTGAGTCCTGAGATATTCTCTAACAGAAAGAAAAACACAAGCTTGATTTATTTTCGGTTTGGCTGTCCTTCTATTCTTAGCTAAAGTTCAGGGTGAAGGAAAAGATTTAATTAGAGGAGTCATTAATTAGAGTGTTCGTTTTCCTATAGGGATAAAGTGGGTATGTGTGGAGCAATTCTGTCACATAGATCATTATCTGGAAAGGTCAGACATGAAGAAATATTGATTTCAGGAGTTTAGGATGATTACCCTACAACACTGTATGGAAAAAGTCACTGTGATGTGTGTATGACCAAATGAAATAATGTACTTGAAAATGGCATGTAATAAAATATAGAACATTGCGCTAAAAAAAGTGGTTGTGTTATCACGAGTAAAAATGAAGACAGAAAAATGTGTTTTAAAGAATGAAAAACACGCTGCAGGGACTTCCCACAATGAGTTTAGACCAGGGGTTGGCAAACTACAGCCAGTTCAAATCCTGCCTGCTGCTGGCTTTTGTAAATAAAGTTTTATTGGAACACAGCCATGATCACTTGCTTACCTATTATCTATGACTGCTTTCATGCTACAATGGCAGAGTTGAGTAGTTGCAGAGATCATATTTTTTTTTTTGTTTTGCAGAGTCTGAAACCTTTGCTACTGGTCCTTTATAGACAAAGCTTGCCAACTCCTGATGTAGACCTATGAGAGTGTTAGGTCTTGTTTTAGACATCAAGAATAAAAAGTGTCAAGAGTCAGGAAAGTTTGGACAAAGGTATAGAATTGAGAAGTGGTAGGATTCAGCGTGTATTTTGAAGATTCATGCTAAAAAAATTGCTGGTAGGTTGGATGAGGGTTATGAGGGGAAGAGAAGATGAGGTAGAAGGCTAGAAGGATTTGTTTTCAGGTCACAACCTTTCTGACCCAAACAGGATCTGGTCCAGGCAAGATAAAGTGGAAAAACCAGCAGGAACCAGCAGATGGCTACAGAAGTAAGCCCTAGCTGCCCTCATTACTCATTGGCATAAGACACTCCCACCAGTGCCATGACAGATTACAAATGCCATGGCAACAACCCGGAAGTGACCACACCATTCCAAGGCAATGACCTGGAAGTTACTGTCCCTTTCCTAGAAAGTTCTAAATAATCCGCCCCTCAATTTGCATTGACTCACCTCTTAATTTGCATGTAATTGAAAGTGAGTTTTTGTGAGTATAAATACAGTTGTCAAGAGCCCATATTTGCCGACTTTGGGTGTAGTGCCTGTGAGTTAGCCCTGCTCCACAGGGAGCAAAAAAGGCAGGAGAAGTTAAGGAAGGGTCACAGTGCAAAGCAGGACACCTCAACTTCTTGGACTCTTGAAAGACCCTTGACATGCCCCATTTTGAACTTCATCCAAATGGCTGCTGAATGGTTTTTAGATAGGAATTACATTTGAGCTGATGTGTCCCTAGTGGTGACAGAGAATAACATTAATGGATGGGGATGGTTCTGAGTGAATATGAGGAGCTTATTTTATGAGAGAAAAACACAAGACTTTAGTAGTTTAACAGACATCACCTATTCACAGGAACTTAGTTCAGAATAGAATTTTGAATTGAAGGTAGAGGTTCTAATATGGTCCCACAAGGAACATTTTTTTTTTTTTCCTGGCTGAAGGAACTTCAGTTTCTGAAGTACAAACTGTTCTGATAATATCTAGAAGAACTTTCATAAGATATGCGCCAAACATTACAGATTGTACCCACATTCCTTATCTACTCCTTCCTTTATTATTTTACTCAGAGATATGGGCATCTGGGTTACAGATCACATTTCCCAGCCTCCCTTGCAGTTAGAAGTGACCATGTGACTAAATTCTAGCCAATAGGATACAGTGGAAGTGATCTGCAACTTCTGAAGAGAGTCTCTCAAGGTATGATCCCTACCTCTTTTTGTAGCTTTCTCCCTCCTGTTGGACAGAATAGATGTTTAATAATTTGCTCTGGCAGCCATCTTGAACAGAGAGGTCATCTTGGAATAGAAGCCATGAATGGTGGAGCAACAAAAATTTAGGAGCCAGTGACTCTGATATGCTAGAGCACTATGCCAGCTCTGGGCAGACTACTTCCGTATTTTCATTGTCCTGAAATCAATATTGCTTTGAAGCTGAACTAATTTTACTTAATATATTATATACTCTGAAATGGAAAATGTTGATTATTTTGATCTAGTGCTGCAGCTTAAGTGATTTTTCCCGTTACCTAATTTGTGGACTCTGTGGTCATAGGAAGATCCTTCTTTCACTTGTAATTTTAGTAATGGGCCTGTTTTCTTTTATTTTCTTCTTTGTCAGCCTTCCAGAGGTATCAGTCTTTTTAAAGAAACAGATTTCGGTTTTACTGATTTTGTCTAATTTTTGAAATTTCAATTTTTAATTCCTTTCTTCAGTGTATGCTGTGCCTGTTTTGTTCTCCCCCCTCCCCAGTGTTTCTTAAGGAAGACCTTTTGATGATAGATATGAGAATTTTCTTCTTTTCACATATTTAATTCTATAAGTGTTCCTCTAAACACTGCATTAGCTGCATCCTGTAAATTTTGAATTGTTATCCTGTTCAAAATCTTTTCTATTTTTTTGGAACTTTCTCTACATTGCATTGATTATTTTGAAGTATGTTGTTTAACTTTCAAGTATTTGAATATTTTCCCTTTACATTTCTGTTATTCATTTCTAGTTGAAGTCCATTATAATCAGAGAACATACTTTACATAATTTAGTTCTGTTAAATTTGTTAAGGTTTGTTTTATAATGAATCCAGATGTTGTCCATATTGGAGAATGTTTCATGTGCTCTTGAGATGAATGTGTATTTAGCTGTTGTTGAGTAGAAATGTTTTATAAATGTCAATTAGATACAGTTAGTTAATGGTGTTGTTCAGTTCTTCTATAGTGTCAATGAGTTTTTTATCTACCAGTTCTATCAATTATTTAAAAGAGGAGTGCTGATATTGAGATGGGAAAAGTACCCTTATTCCCCTCTCAGGGCATGTGATAGAAGTGTGGCTCCCTTCTTTGGAGCCCCACTGCTCAAACCTCTAGAGGGAGCATGCAGACAGGCAGGTTGTGGGGCTCCAACCCCATGGCAGCGACTAGGGGTGAATGTTTACAGCTCCTGAAGCCCCAGTGGATGTTTGTTACAGTATGCTCTTTTAGTTTTGCCTCAGGTGGCTTGTGTTAATCAGCCCAATTAGACCCTCTGCCTTATTGCAAAGATAGAGGGCTTTTTGTATCCTGAGGTTCTTGCCTTGGTGTACTGGAAAAAACAAATCACACTTGGGCTTGGAGAATGAGTGCAAGGTTTTATTGAATGGTGGAAGTAGCTCTCAGCAGATGGATGGGGAGCCAGAAAGGGGATGGAGTGGGAAGGCGGTTTTCCCCTGGGGGCTGCTGAGCAGCCAGACTCTCCTCCAACCACCGCCAACCAAATTCCACGTTGTCCCGCCATAGATGCCCTACTGGTGTCTACTGGTGTGTTCTTCTGCCAGTGTGTTTCTCTCGACATCCAGCTGCTTTGTGTGCATGCCTGCTAGGGTCTCAGAGTTTTTATAGGCACAGGGTCAGGGCGTGGCAGGCCAGGTTGGTCTTGGAAAATACAACATTTGG
Source organism: Homo sapiens (assembly GCF_000001405.40). NCBI lineage: Eukaryota > Metazoa > Chordata > Mammalia > Primates > Hominidae > Homo > Homo sapiens. Next base: position 13,938,843 of record NC_000017.11, on the reverse strand, counting down.
GCATGAAAACAGGAGTGCCTGTCCTCACCTAGGTCTATGGGAACAGACCTGAGGGTGGAGCCCTCCCTAGGGACCCTGTCTTTCTCTACTCAGCCCTTCCCTGTCCCACTCCTGTATCGATATTCTCAGCTATATGATGGACTTATTTATTTCTTCTTTCATTTCTGTCGGTTTTTGCTTCATATATTTTGAATATCTTTTGTTACATGCATGTATATTTAGGATTATGTAATATCATTCTTTTTCCCTGGTAATTTTCTTTGCTCTAATGTATGCATAGACTAATGTAACCACTACAGCTTCCTTTTATTTAGTGTTTGCATAGTATAACTTTTTCTACATGTTCGTTTTTAACTTGCCTGTATGATTATATTTAGACTGAGTGTCTTTAGACAGCATAAAGTTGGTTCATGGTAAAGATCATTTCTGTCTTTTATTTGGTATAGTTAATGCACTTATATTTAAAGAAAATATTGGTATATTTGCATTTCAGTCTACCATTTAATTCTGTTTCCTCTTCTTTTTATTTTCATAGCTTTGCTCTATATTCCTGCTTTATTTTGGGTTATTTAAATACTTTTAGTATTCTATTTTATCCATTGTATTTTTGATAATATCTGTTGGTATAATTTTTTAATGATCGCTACAGTGATTACAATATACATATATATTTTTCTCAGTTTATTTAAAATACATGTTTTCCCACTTCAAATTAAATATAGAAACCTTGTCGCCATTAAATTCCCATCATTTTCTCCTCTTATCTTGTGGGTGTCTTATTTATCACATCTGCATATATTGAAAACCCAGCAATGTTACAATTTCAAGTTTCAGATATCAATTATATTTTAAAGAATTTAAGGGGATGATAGTCTACTATATTTATGCAGATATTTACCATTTATTTTGCTCTTCCTTTATTTCTGATATTCCAAGTGGATTTCTGGTATTATTTTCTTTCTTTTGGAAGAATTACTTTTATAAAGAAGCAGATCTGCTGAAAATGCATTCTCTTAGTTTTTCTTCACTGAGGCTATCTTTGTTTTAGCTTCAGTGTTGAAGAATATTTTTACTGGGTATAGACCTCTGGGAGTTCTGTAACTCTGAGGGTCAAGAAAATTCTTTCAATATGTTTTGCTGAGGAAATTATCTCTGTATTTTTACCTCGACATAATACCTTTCATATGCTTGAAGATCCTTGTTTTTAATTATCTTTTTCTCATATTGCCAAAATTTTTAGCATCTGCTGCCACTCCTTTCCAGGTAATATGATAAAATCATTAGACAGAACCTGGCTGTGTGGATAAGTTTCTGTGAGAACTCAGTAAATATTTGGCTTTAATTTTCCTGTCTATAAAATAAAAAAGATAACATTATATATATGACTGGTTTGACAGTAATATCTTTCAGGACTTTGAAAATATTAACTTTATTATGGTCTCCTTTTTTTTCCCTCTTTCTTTCCTTCTTTTGTTTTGTTTTGTTTTGTTTTGTTCTTTAGAGACGGGCTCTTACTTTGTTGCCCAGGCTGGAGTGCAGTGGCACAATCACAGAGGACCGCAGCCTTGAATTCCTGGGCTCAAGAAATGCTCCTGCCTCAGCCTCCTGAGTAGCTGGGACCACAGGGACATACTACCATGCCTGGCTAATTTTTAAAATTCTTTGTAGAGACAGAGTCTCACTGTCTTGGACTTCTGGGCTTAAGCAGTCTTCCCACCTTGGCCTCTGAAGATGTTGGGATGACAGGCATGAGCCAGTCTAGCCATTTGAATCATTGTATTATGTTAATATTTATGTTTCACTTTGTTTTCATTTTTATTTGGCTGTTTTCAAAAATTTTTGTTGTGTATTTAGTTTTCAGCCACTTTTAAAGGATGTATTTGGGTGTGGACTTTTTGGATTTTTTTTTTTTTTTTTAGATGGAGTCTCACTCTGTCACCCAGGCTGGAGTGCAATGGCATGATCTCAGCTCACTGCAATGTCTGCCTCCTGGGTTCAAGCGATTCATGATTCTCCCACCTCAGCCTCCTGAGTAGCTGGGATTACAGGCACCTGCCATCAGGCATAGCTAATTTTTGTATTTTTGTAGAGACGGGGTTTCACCATGTTGGCCAGGCTGGTCTTGAACTCCTGAACTCAGATGATCCACTCGCCTTGGCCTCCCAAAGTGCTAGGATTACAGGTGTGAGCCACTGTGCCCAGCCTTTGGATTTATTCTTTCTGGGACTTGTTGAGCTTCTTAAATCTACAAGATTATATCTTTTGCCAAATTAAAGAAGTTTTCACTATTATTTATTTATTTATTTTTCTGCATTGTATTCTTTCCCTTCTCTCTGGGATGCTTATGACACAAATGCTAAACCTTTTCCTACTATCTTATAGTTCTCTGAGTCTCTGTTCATTTTTGAATTTTTTTTCCCTCTCTATTGAGGACTGGATAATTTCTATTTATCTATTTTCAAGTTGACTGGCTCTTTCCAATGTCATTTTATTCTGCTATGCATCCTTTTCAGTAAGTTTAAAATTTTTATTAGTAGTATTTTTCAGTTTAAAACTTCCATTTGATTATTCTGTGTGTCTTCTATGGTTTTACTGATACCTTCTATCTTTTCATTTATTTCAAGGGTATTACTCTTACTTCTTAGAGCATTTTTATGATGGCTGCTTTATAGTCTTCATAAGATAACTCCAATATCTGTATTATCTCATCATTCACTTCTGTTGACTGTCATTTTCCATCTGAACTGAGAATTTTCTAAATTTTTATATGCATTTCTGTTGTGTTTTAATTATATTGAATATTATCATATGAGACTTTGGGACTTAAGTAAATCTTACGACGAATATCAATATATTTACTTTAAAAGGCAGTCAACCATCTGAGTTCAGGTTGAAGGTCTCATCAGCCTTCTATGGATGGTGTTTTAGTGCTGGCTACATTTTCAATGCCTTCACAGTGCTATTTGGATCTGTCACATGTGGGCTCCACCCTATGGCCAGTTGGGGACTTGGATGGTAGTATATCCTGAATTATAGTTCCCAAAGCCTTTGGTTTTCTGTTTAGTGTCAGATTCACACATACACAATTTGTAGGTGAGCTTGGGAATTCATAAACACCTGTATGAAGTCCAGTTCTCTTTCCTGAGTTCCTTCCTCTTTGAGATTATCCTTATACTTTCAGGCTTCCTGAGGCTCTCTCTTTTTGGTTCTATGATCAGCAAGATGGGGTTTCATGTGCCTTGCTCTACTATATACTTTCTGTAACATGCCTGAAAAACTGCAGAAGAGCAGAGAGAGGAAGAAAATAATAGGGAAAGATCTCCACCCCTTTGGACCCACTACTCCTCTGATAAGAAAGAAAGGTTCAGAATTTTAGGCTTCCATGGGTCCTCTCTTCCATTACTGTTGCTACCACTACAGGCACTGGGGACTGGGATGAGGAGAATTAAAAAAATCAGAAATTAATGAACAAAAAATTTAAAAATGGGAGATTTTCCCCCACTCTCCCTGAATATTAGGATACTTCATTCCTGCTTCTTGATACAGAACTAGAGGGATTCTCCTAGAGCTCTCTCTGTCTGCATGGATCCCTGTTGGTTTCAAGCTTCCTTGATTCCATATTGGAGATACCATAAGAGAAAAGATGGTAAATCCGTTCACATTCCCAGTTCAATGGCACATCACACTCTAATCCTTTTTCCTAGTTTACCTGCTACTAGTTATTTTTCACAGGCTCTGAATAACTACTTCATGCATTTGGTTCGGGACTTACAGCTGCACATAGTGAGAAAGTCAGTGTGACAGTGCTTGGTCCATATTTCCTGAAACTGGAGCCATCTCTAGATTTTAATCACCAGCGAGCCCCTTTCCTCCACCAGTTACAACTCTTAAGTTGAGCATAATTTGCAGTTCATTCCACCTGTAATATATTATCACAAAAATGCAGTGGGGGGCTAGAGGCTGCATTGAGGAGTAAGATAAATTTCAGATGCAAAGCAGACAATTGTCATGAACTTCTCGTAACTGAGGGGTTATATATAGGGTATAGGAAGGTAGAAATTATTCGCTACATATAAGATAGCTTTGTTAGGAATTAACTCATCCTCCCCCGTTGTTTTTTCTCAGGATGCTTCATTTAGAACAGTCTTAATGTTCATTTTGACCATCATTTATGTACATAAAGTTGTCACGTATTTGAGATACTTGTTGGGAGAATTTGGGGAGTATTGCATCCTGATTCCATTCAGGACCCAGTTCTTCTGGGAATAACCCTGATTTTTATTTTACTTTTTCTTTCCTTTTCTGTTTTTCACTATCACTTTTTCAGATACCCGGCACATTTATTCTCTTCCTTATTTTATGGACAGAAAAATAAAGGCCAAAGATTCACTCGGTTCTCTCAGAAAATTATTCACAAAGCCAGGTTCTGTCCAGTGATTTTTATCATATTACTTGGAGAGAAGTGGTGGCAGATGCTGAAAATTTTGGCTTCTTATTTCCATTGAGATAACATCCCAAACTTATCCTAACCATCCATTCATCCAAAGTAGGGATAGGTGGGATAGGAGTTGGTGGGATATTGAAACCAACAGACTGGTGCAGAACAGACTCAATGAAACTGGCAGAGACTGGTGCAGAAGGGACCCAATGAACCTAAGAGCCAAGGATTTCCATCCCGGAGAGATTCTGTTTAATTTAATAAAAAGCCAAGTTAAAATAGATAATCGGGCAAACATTCGATCTGGTTATTTCTGGCCCTGCCTCTGGCTTACCCTGTCTCTATGGTTTAGTGTGTGCATGTGTGTCTGAGTGTGTCATAAACCCTTGAAATAGGTTGCAAACAAGCTTATTACAAAGCAGGCTCCTATCTCCACTTCTACCTTTTGCTATTCCCCACCCAACTCCCCTCCCAACACATTCTATACTCTAACCTTTCTGAGCTACTTGCATTTCCCCAGATGGGCTGTGTGTTCCAGTTTTTTTCCGCAATCTTTTGCACATGCTGTTCATGCTGTTTACTCTCCTGTCCCTCCTTCACCTGGCTAACTCTAAACATTGCTCAATTCCTCAAATATTTTCATACCCTCTGGAAATCATTCCCTGGCACTTCGCACCTATCTCAACAAGAGTTACATTTAATAAACAGAATTGACTAGCTCATAAAGAGGAAGTCCATCATAGGACAGCCGTCAGTGTTGTTTGAAGCATTCTGAACATTCTTCTCTCATCACATGGAATGGCAGTTTTTAGTAACTTAACATGACTCTGTTTTAACTTGAAATTATATCACAGGCTTCCAGTCCCTTATATTAAGAAGCAGATATGGGCCGAGTGCAGTGGCTCACACCTGTAATCCAAGCACTTTGGGAGGCCGAGGTGGGCAGATCACCTGTGGTCAGGAGTTCGAGACCAGCCTGGCTAACCTGGTGAAACCCCGTTTCTACTAAAAATAGAAAAAAATTAGCTGGGTGTGATGACACGTGCCTGTAATCCCAGCTACTCGGGAGGCTGAGGCAGGAGAATCACTTGAACCTGGGAGGCAGAGGTTGCAATGAGCAGAGATTGTGCCATTGCACTCCAGCTTGGGCAACGAGATTGAACCTCCATCTCAAAAAAAGAAAAAAAGAAGCAGATATTATCTTTATCTTTCCTGTGCAGAGTGACTTACTATACATGTTGAAGTGCTCTGATGGAAGGAACAGAAACCTCTGAAAGGAAGCCGTCAAAGTAGGAACTGCCAACAAAAATGTGTTATATGAGTCTACACTGTAAGTTTATAAATCTTTTCTGCATATAGTTATTGCATTGAATCCTGATAACAGCCTCCAAAAGAGGCATATCATCATTTTACAGGTGATGAAATGGGGAGTGATTGAGGATTGGGGCCTAATAAAAAGCACCTGTCTGGAAGCCATGGCACCTGATGTTTCTGAGGTGTCACAGGAATAGAGTAGAATCACGAAAAGAGAGAGAACCTCCTCGCATCCGGCAGCACACCTAACGTTCATTGGCACAGTGGCCTCATCAGCACCTCTGACGTGATCTAACTATCCCTGTCTTCTTGTTTCCTTCAAGTCCTTCTGGAATCTCCTTTCTAAGATGGGAGTAAAGATACAAAGGAAATTGTTTGAAAGGAGTTAATTGTCTTTGCTTCTGATTACCTTCAATGGGTTTTTTTCAAGGGCAATGGGTTAATTATCAAGACACTAACCACATGCTACATTCCCTGGGTGAAAGACACTTTCCTTTTAACATGATTACACTGTGTTAATGATACTGATCATTCCTAGGATACTGCTAAAATAATTGTCTATGAGCAGGTTGCTCTACAGAAATATTCATGGAGCTTAGAGCATTAAACCTCCCAATTGCATATTAAAGAAAATTTTTCAAACCATAAAATTACTTAGCAAGAAAAAAATACATTAATTTAAAAATCTATACTTAGCCAGCCCAAAACTACACTAGAAATGTTCCAGAAGTGGCAATTTAAAGAGGTAGAAAATACCACACTTCTCTATGTGCCTCCAGTACCAAATAAAACTGTTTCTATTTACTCTGCAGGGTGGACTGGTGCTTTGTAAAGTTTGGTTTCTTAACAGCAGTAAAGGGAGTTCTAATTTGGCTTTAGGTCAACATGCACAAGATTCAGTTTGCCAGAAGCGGCTACTCAGTGACTCAAGACTCTAAACACATGAGGATCTGAGACCCCCACACTAAAAATTTGGAATAAAGACAGCAGGTTCTAAACTCTGACTTCAAGTCAAGTGCTAATAGTTAATAATGAGAACGACTCAGGCAAATTCACTTTTCCCAATACATTTAAGGAAGTGGTTCTCACACTTGAGCTTGCGTAAGAATCCCCTGGAGGGCTTATTAAAACACAGATGGCTGGGCCCCACCCCAGGCTGTCTGATTCACTAGAGCTGGGGCGTAGCTCAGGCATTTGCATTTCTAACAAGTTCCAAGGTGTTGCTGATGCTGCTGGTGTCAGAGCAACATGATGAAAACTACTGATTTGTTTAATGAAGACAGTTGATGCCAAGGACATAGTCATGATTATTTACCCCAAAGAGTTTGTTTACTCCTTCATCTGGTGGTCTCCTTATCCCCCAATGGGCAGATTTCCCACTTCATTTACTTCATTTTGTGCTCCATTTTAGCCTTTTTTTTTTTTTTAAACCATTGTCTACCATATTGGCTGTATTATTGTCAGTATTCAATTAGGGTCTTTTGGACTGTAACAACAGAAAAGAGAACTCAAACTGGTTTAGAAAGTTATTAAATGGATTTATGTCTAATAAACAGAATTTACTAGCTCATAAAGAGAAAGTCCAGGATAGGGTAGCCTTCAGTGCTGTTTGATGATGTCATCAAGGACCCATGTGATTCACTTCTGTTTTTTTGCTCTGCAAGCCACAGTTTTGGCTTCACTTTAAGACTGGTTCCGCTTGTGGTTTTAGGACAGCTGCTGGTAGCAATCAAGTTTACAAGTTGCTTGCTTACAACCCTTGGAAAAGTAACTTCCTGGGGCTTTCTTCAGAATAAAGAGAAGTTTTCCAAAGCCTCTGACAGGCCTCTCATTATGTCTCATTGTCTAGAAGTAGGTCACATGCTCAAGGCCAAACCAACCACTGACCAGGAGGAGTGGTTTAGCTTTAGCCCAGTCAGGCCTACCCCTGGATTTCAGAGTGGCGTCAAATTCTCCTGCGTCCTGTGATATGCATGATACAGACCTAAATGAAACTGGCATTCTCTTGGGAAGGAAGAGTGGAGAATGGGTGCTGGATTGCAACTAACGGCATCTACTACACTTTCCAGGTAGTTATAAAAGTAGATAGTTTTAGAAAATTTAAAAGCCATAGGAAAGAAAATATTTTGTATATTTACAAGGTATGAGGTTTTCCAGGGTGAGATTTAGCAAAGTTCATAGAACAATGGAACTCAATTCTGCCACTAGTAAGTAAGTTGCAGAGTTTAGTTTCAAATACAGGTGTATTTGAGTAAAGGCTTAAGCCTCCTCTTTAAACTTCCATTGCCTCATCTTTAAAATGGTGATAATACATAGTTTTTAGGGCTGTCAGGACTGGAAAGAATGAGTGCAGGGGAACTGGCACGTAACATGGGATCAGTTGATTGTAACCATCACTGTTTGTAATAACGGTGTATGTGTGTGTGTGTGTGTGTGTGTGTGTGTGTGTTGAGAGCTAGTACAGCAATTGACAATGTTTGGATGATCTCCATTTAGGGGAACAGCAAAGATCTGGTTTATTTAAACTGTTAAGCTTGGTATCAATCCTTGGCAAAATTCTGTATCTGGCTATATAACAATGGAAAATTAAAGAATTCAGCAATGGTCAGACAATGACAAGCATCCCCTAAGAAGGGATCATACAAACAGACTTCGTTTCCTTTTTGGATACCAAGTTGGTCTATATGGAGGCCATGTTCCCCAGAGTATGGTGTGTACACTATTAGAAGCATGTGGCTGTTCATTGATGTCACTCACTGAAATTGAGTGAGCTACTGAATTGAGCTGCTATTGGGATTAAATATACCACTGAAAATTCTAATTGTCAATGACCAAAAGATTGATCCTTTGGACACCTGAATCCTTTTTAAAGAAAGGGATTTTAGAGATCTCTTATTCTTAACAATAAAGAAAGGGATTTTAGAGATCTCTTATTCTTAACAATTGGTGGGAAGATCAAATTAAAAGAAGGAGCTATAATAGTGTCATGGCTACCCTTAAAAATTATCTTGACTAAGTCAAAGATCAAAAATCTGACCTAAAACAGTTACACTCAAACTGCCCACTTTGAACTCCATTCAGGATTAACATGGAGGCTAGTCCATTTTGTAGTTTGGTGGTTAAAATTCCCATCATGGCTTGGGTTGTCTTCCTAATGAGGAATCGGTCCCTTTTGGTTTGATATTTCTGTTGACTTGAAATATCAGCTGTTTCTCTCAGCTAAAATCTGGTAATAAATTACTTGAAAAAATTTTTAAAAAGAGTCCTACTGTTAGAAGTCAGCTTAATTAAAAGCTGATAGATTTATATAAAATATAAATATATATATTTACATATAAACACATACCTATACACATGCACATTTACATATAAAATATATATACATATACATATATAAATAAATATATATACTATATATAAATATATATATACACACATACATATATAAAATTTAAGTCCTTTCTGCTTTTTCTTTTTAGATCCTGTTTTGGAAACATTTTAGTGGACTAAAACATCTTTTTCAAAAAAAGAACACATGTGCTTAATGCCTCTGTTCATTTCCTTTCTTAAAAATTGTTCTCCCATTTTACTTTTACTCTTCCTACTTCTTCTTCCTCTTTGCCATATTCAGTATTGTTTGAAAAGATCTAGAGAAGACTCAGACCCCTTTAGGAACCCGGAAAAATGTATTACTCACCCCTTTTGTGGAGGTCTTCCATTTTCCTTGTGAAGATTCAAGAGTGATGGTCTTCTTGGGTCTAAAGCTCTGCCCTCTTTTGAATTGTTACCTAATCTCTTTGGCTTTTGTGGGGGGTGCCAGAAATTACATTATATTGTGAGAAAACTAGACTTTGGTGTGTGTAATGGTTGGGTAAGAGATACAGTTTTAGAGGTGGCTGATGGAAGTTGTTTATGGTAAATGGTCATTACTACAGAGGGCTACTTGCTTCTTGCACATTTGGGTTAAAAAAAATGTGGTTTAGGGCCTGGTGCAGTGGTTCATGCCTGTAATCCCAGCATTTTGGGAGGCCTGAGTGGGCGGATCACCTGAGGTCAGGAGTTCGAGACCAGCCTGGCCAACATGGTGAATGTCAGGCCTCTGAGCCCAAGCTAAGCCATCATAACCCCTGTGACCTGCCCGTATACATCCAGATAGCCTGAAGCAACTGAAGAATCAAAAAAGAAGTGAAACAACCAGTTCTTGCCTTAACTGATGACATTCCACCATTGTGATTTGTTCCTGCCTCACCCTAACTAGTCAATCGACCTTGTGTATCCCTCCCCTGGACAATGAGTCTCATGATCTCCCCACTGTGCACCTTGTGACCCTGTCCCTGCCTGCAAGAGATAACCACCTTTAACTGTAATGTTCCACTGCCTACCCTAATCCTATAAAACTGCCCCACCCTTATCTCCCTTTGCCCACTCCTTTTTCAGATTCAGCCCACTTGCACCCAAGTGAATAAACAGCCTCGTTGCTCACACAAAGCCTGTTTGGTGGTTTCTTCACACGGACGCGCGTAACAGTGAAACCCCATCTCTACTATAAATACAAAAAATAGCCAGGTGTGGTGGCTACTTGGGAAGCTGAGGCAGGAGAATCACTTGAACCTGGGAGGTGGAGGTTGCAATGAGCCGAGATTGCACCACTGCACTCCAGCCTGGGCGACAGAGTAAGACTTTGTCTCCATCTCAAACAAACAAACAAAAAAGTGCAGTTTAGGCCCTAAGAACTGCATGCTTTCTTTTCCCTATTCACTAAAGGGCTCCACCCAAAAGCCAGTAATCTAATAGAGAAGGAAGCCAAGCAAAAAAGCCAGGATTGCTCTGGAGGTACTTAGGGAGTCTAAAGTGAGGGATTATCTCATTGATTAGTACTTTTATCATCTCAGGGGCTTTCTCTGTCTGACATGAAATTGCTTCTACCTGGTTAGTGAAAATATCTATCCACACTAGGAGGACTGGATGCCTCTTGCCTTTGGCATATGAGTGAGATCCATTTGCCACTCTTTTTCTTAGTGGCCTACTGTCCTTTGGGTTCCTGGAGGAAGAAGCTGTCAATTGAGGGGATTATTTTTCAGGCAGTTCTCACAAGCAGTAACAACTCGTTTAACCATTTGTATTAGGCTTTTACCTGAGAACAATCTCTGGGCCAGTTGATAGGTTTTATCCTTACCTAGGTGGATGGCCTGGTGAAGGCTTTAAAAAATTTTCCACTGGTTGGCAGCAGGTAGATGAAGTTTACCGTGCTCTGATTGTAGCCATCCTGAGGACTGAAGGATGTATCCCTGAGAGGTGGCCCGTTCTATTTTTGCGGGAGAGTATTGCAGTTTTATTTCTCTGATGAGGCCCTCCCAGACCAATGGGACTTCAAGTGGGTCAGAGACCTGGGGACCCCCTGGCTGCTGTTTTAGCTGCTTAGTTTGCCAGCCCATTTCCCTCAGCTATTTCATCCATCCCTCTTTGGTGGCCTTTACAATGTATCACTGCCACTTCCCATGAGAGGAAGACTGAGGATAATAGGCTGTTAATTTCCTGATGGTATTCAATAGGAGACCCATTAGCTGTGAAGAAGTTCCTCTCTTTCCAGATAGTGGCATGGGTGTCAAGGACTAGGAAAGCATATTTAGAATCAGTAGATATGTTAACTGTCTTTTCTTTGCTTAGCTTAAGTGCCCTCTTGAGGGTGATTAGTTCGGCTGGTTGTGCCTGAGGAAAGAAGTGCATTCTCAATAATATCGTTTAGAGTAACTATTGCGTAGCCTGCTTTGTGGGTTCCTTGTTCTACAAAAGAACTCCCATCTGTAAAGACAATCTAGTCTGGGTTCTCTAAGAGAGTTTCCTTGAGGTCCTCTCTTGCTGCTCAAGTTTGTGCTACTATTTGTTTGCCGTCATGCTCAAGTTTCCCAGCTTCATCTGGGAGGAAGATGACTGGATTTAGGGAGGGACAGTTTCTTAATTGGACCGTAGATCCTTCTAACAATAGAGCTTGATGCTTGAGGAGACAGTTGTCTATTAGTCTTCTAGGAGACTATTGTCTCTCAGAAGACAGTAGTCCTGCCACATTGTGCAGGGTATAAACAGTTAAGTTATTCCCCATGGTCAACTTAGTAGCCAATGGTATCAGCAAGGCTTCTGCTGCGATTGCCTGGAGGCAGGCCAGCCATCCTCTGGCTACCAAAATGTGCACCTTACTTAGGTAGCCTACAGGCTGCTGGGCTGGACTCCAGGTCTGTGTTAGGACTCCCAGTGCCATTCCCTTTCTCTCTGTTACACAAAGATTAAACGTTTTCCCTGTGGGGAGACTGAGGGCTGGTGCCTTAAGCAAGGCTTGTTTTAGTTGATCGATGGCCTTTTTAGCCTCCAGCTCCCAAGTTAGACAGTGAGTTTTAGCTGCCTGAGTCTCCTTTATTAGATGATAATAATGAAATAGCTGAGCTATTTCACTGTGCCCAGGTATCAGTAGTCTGCAGATTCCTGTAATGCTCAAGAATCCCTTCAGTTGCTTGAGGGTTCTGGGGAGGGGAAAGGAGGAGATGGGTTTAATTCTCTCTTTGCCTAATGTTGTGGTCCCCTCTGACAAGACCAGGCCTAGTTACTTCACTCAAGACAGACAGAGTTGAGTTTTGGTTTTGAAACCTTATATTCTCTGTTAGCTAGAAAATTAAGGAGAGGCTTACTGCCCTCCTGAGAGATTTCCTCAGTTGGAGCACGGAAGAGAAGTTCATTACCTATTTCAAGACCTTCACCTAAGGATAAAGGAACTCAGAGAGGTCGCTCAATAATGCCTGCCCAAACAAGTGGAAGCTGTCTTGGAATCCTTGAGGTAACACCGTTCAGGTTAATTGGGTGGTTTGGTTAGAGGGATCCTCAAATGCAAACAAATACTGGGAGTCAGGGTGTAATGGTATGCAGAAGAAGGCATGCCTTTAGGTCCAAGACTGTGAGCCATTTAGTCCCCTCAGGCATTTGGGCTAGCAGGGTATATAGATTGGGAACCACCAGGTGCATTGGAACCACAGTCTCATTAATGAGGCAGAGGTCCTGAACTAGCGTCCATTCCATGTTGGGTTTTCATACCCCTAATATCAGGGTATTACAAGGGCTGTTGCAGGGTTTGAGGAGGCCCTGCATCTTTAAGTCGTATATCATGGCTTCTAGCACTTTCCTGACCTCTGGTTTCAGGGGATATTGTTTCTGGTTAGGAAAGGAGGTGAGATCCTTAAGATGGACCCGGACTAGTATGGCTGTCCAATTTTCCCTCAAGTTGCCCAAACTTCTGGGTTAATATCAGCCTCCATTAGGGGGAGACAAAGAGTTTGCCCAGGGGACATCAGAATGGTGTTCCCCGTACGGGCCAGGATATCCTTGCCCAACAGAGGAGTTGGGCTTTAAAGCATAATTAGAAAAGCATGAGTGAACAAAAGGTCTCCCCAGCTACAACTAAGGGGTTGAGAGAAATATTGGGTTAGACGCCTTCCTGAGCTGCCCCTCATGGTCATGCTGAGATAAAAAGGGAGCCCAGATTGGAGAGAATTGAGAGACTGGCTCTAGTGTCCAAGAGGAGGTCCTTTTTCCTCCCTTCAATTTCCAGAATTACCCAAGGCCCCTGGATGGTAATGGTTGTGTAGGCCACTGGAGCCGGGAAGAGGAGTGCCGGGACCCAGAAGTCATGCTGCTGGACCATTTGGGAGATTGGTTCTAGACCCAGTAACCAGCATCCCTGGGGAGAGTCCACTCTCCAGTGGTCTCCATTGCAGATTGGACAGGGTCGGGGTGGCTTCCTCATGCCAGCTGGGCAATCCATTTTGAAATCTGTAGCAGTTAACAGGTGCACCCTGGGAATTCTGGGGTTTGTGGGCTTGCCTGGCAGCCATTAAAGCCTCCATTTCCTGTATTTCCTCTCTCTTTCCTGGGCCTCCCTGTCTCTATTATAAAAGACTGAGGTGGCTACTTTCAGGAGGTTCTTTAAAATACTGTCTGGCCCCAGGGCCTGTTTTTGTAACTTCGTCCTGATATCAGGGGCTGCCTGAGTAATACATTTATTCTTCAGGATTAGTTGTCCCTCAGACGAATCAGGAGACAGAAAGGTGTGCTTTACCCAGGCCTCGCTTAGCCTTTCCAAGAAAGCAGTGGGGTTTTCATTGAATCCCTGGTTGATCATGGACAACTTAGTATAATGGAGAGGCCCGGTCCTAGTTCTACATAAGCCTTCCATTACACGCACCTGAAAGTGTCTCCTCTTCCAGTTTTCCATTTCATTGTTGGGATTTCATTTAGGGTCATCCACGGGTACTGCTTCTCTTCCAGTTGGATAATGTTCGCCCCCTTCTCTGATGCCATATGTGATACAAAGCGCATCCCCAAATCTCTCTGCTGCTTGCAGAATGGCCTGCTTTTCAGTATCCATCAGGGTTTGATTCAGAAGTAACATAACGTCTCTCCAGGAGAGTTCAAATATTTGAGTGAAATTCTGGAAAGTCTGTATATATCTATTAGAGTCATCTGAAAACTTGCCAAGATCCAACTTAATTTGCTTTAAGTTTTGTAGGAGAAGGGGACCTGGACCTTACTGGGCCCAAATACACTGGGCATCTGTTGGAGGGGCAAGAGGGAGACTGGGGCTTATTTAGGGTAAGGATTTCTAGGAGGGGGCAAGTAAGAGGCAGAAGCTGGATAGGGAGGTTGAGGTGGATCCAGAGGAGCAGGGCTTGAGAGAGCTGGCTCCTCTGCTGGGAGTGCCTCTGGGATTTGTATCTTTAATTCCCCGGGCTTGCCCCTTGCAGCCTTCCCTGAGACGGCAAACAGGAGGGCTGGATCAATCCTACACTGTTCGCAAAGGCCTGGATTGCCTTGCAAGGTATAGAAAGTCTGCACATATGGGGCCTCAGATCATCTGTCCTCATGTCTACAGAAAAGTTCCAACTGCCAGATGGAGTTGAAATGAATGGTTCCTTCCTGGGGCCAACCCAGTCCTTCATAATTTGGCCAAACCTTTGTACAGAGGGCTATGAGGCATTTTTTCCTCCAGATTCTGAGGTTAAAGCAGTGCCAGTGGTTCCGAATACACTCCAGAGGAGTATAAGCTGGGTATGGTGAAGCGATCTGGTTGTCCATTCTGAAAGACAGGGAATAGAGGTCTCCCTCATTCCCTTCCTTCTTTCAGTGAAAACTCAGAGTGTGATGGAGCGAGAAAACAAGCATTCCCCCTTTCCCTTCCACTTATTTTATCCTCGAGCCCGGCAACCTTGGCACGTGCTGCCCATAGATACCAATGTGGTGTGTACCCATGAAGCAGGGAAGACCTAGAGAACAGGAATTAACCACCCTCCCCTATGCCTCCCTTTCTCCCTGCTGTCGACAACCTTTGAGTTCCCTGGGCCTGTTTAGCCCACGGAGCATGGCCTCCTTCCATGGGGTGGGGGGTTCAGTCGGCAGGAATTGGTCCTGGCCATTTACATCATGCCTGTTGCCTGGCTTTGGATCCCTGACCTGGTTTTTCTTTTTAGGGCCTCAGCCTGAAGCTTGGAATTGAGTTTAGGACTGAAAAGGTATTTCAGAGGCTGTTTTGTATCCGTTTAGAGTGTCTCAAATGAGCCCTGCTGAATTTGCAGTTATCAGCCAGCCTGGGCTATTCCCCCATTAACTTCCCTATCAGAAACAGTGCTGGGAAGGGCGAGCCCTCTCACTTAGAAAAGGAAAAAAAGAAAGAAAAAAAAAAGAAAAATAGAAAAACAGGTTCAGGGGCAAAAGGGGAGGTCCTGGGGGAAGAGCCCCTGGCTCAGGGCAAGTGGGTTCCATTAATCCTTGTATTCTTCCCCCAGATCAGACTGGGTTGAATTCCTTGGCCAGGAGAGGAAAAGTTCCATTGGTGTGGCGGGTGAGAAGTGCCCACCCTTCAGCCCTGTGGGGTGCCACCTACTGCTGCAGTTTTCTCCTGCTTCCAGCTCATCCCAGGCTATGGAGGTGGAGGCAGCGTGGGCCATGGCGGCACTTCTCCTCCTGCCCCCTGATGGCTGTTGGGCATGACCTTTGCATGCCGTGAACATGCCCAGGCCCCCAACCTGGGAGGGGATAGGCTAATGAGAGGTGCCTTGAGCCATGGGTGCCTGCAGCTGTCAGGGCAGGGGAGGAGATTTTACCTCTAACAACTGTTGGTCTGATTTGCACCTTTGGTGGCTGAGCCGAATAATCATTTTACTTAGTAACATTGCCACAGCCTGTAGCAAAACTCTTAACATTATAAAGGAAGAGATAAGAGCCATTTCAAACTGTGAGACAGAGAATGAGAAAAGAGATGGAGTCTGGGGATTCTGGCGGCCCGTTAGGGCAGTTAAAACTCCATGAAGGGAAACAGAACGTTTTGCCTTCAGGAAAGAGAGACAGGTGGCAGGATTTTGGAAAAGAGGCAGATCCAACAGTTTCACTTTTGCACTCACCTTCCGGGATCTCAGGCAAGGCCCCAGTTGAAACAGGAAGAGTTTCCTTATTCCCCTCACAGGGTGTGTGACATGGGGACTGGCTGGCTTCTTCAGCGCCCTGCAGTTCAACCCCCTAGGGGGAGAATGCAGATAGGCAGGTCGTGGGGAACGTGGGCTCCAACCTCACGGCATCATCTAGGGCTGAGTGTTTACAGCTCCTGAAGCACCAGTGGGCATGTGTTACAGTGTCCTCTTTCAACTTAGCCATCTGCACTCGTCTTGTGTTAATCAGCTCAATTAGACCCTCTGTCTTACTGCAAGGACAGAGGGCTTTCTGTATCCCGGGGTTGCCCTAGTGTACTGGAAAAATCTGTTTATACGCGGGCTTGGAGAATAAGTCCAAGGTTTCATTGAATGGTGGAGGTAGCTCTCAGCAGGTGGATGGAAAGCCAGAAGGGGGATGGAATGGGAAGGTGGTCTTCCCCTGGAGACAGGCCACTCAGCAGCTGGGCTCTCCTCTGACCGCCCTCAGCCAAATTTCCCTTGGCATCCGCGTTGTTCTGTCATGGATGGCCTGTCAGTGTCTGTGTGTTCTTCTGCTGGTGTGTTCTTCTCGACATTTAGCCGCTTGTGTATGTACCCACTAGGGTCTCAGGGTTTTTATAGGCACAGGATGCAGGGAGTGGCAGGCCAGGGTTGTCTTGGAAAATGCAACATCTGGGCACAAAAACAGAAATGCCCGCCCTCACCTAGGTCCGTGGGCACAGGCCTGAGGGTGGAGACCTAGCCAGGGACCCCACCCTTCTCTACCCAGCACTTCCCTGCCTCCCTCTCATATCATAAGCACCCTCTCTGTAAGCCTAGGGGCTATCACAGAAGAGGTAGGCACAGGAGATTATACGGACTAGTTTCGAGGGAAATAATTAGTTCAGACCCTCCAAATCAAGGACCAACACACAGATAGCACACAGACACACAGCTGGCAAATTGAGGGACTTTGCCTCCTGAGTCATTATGTGACCTCCTTTTCATCTATCCAAACCATAAAGAATTTCCTGCTTCCCATAGACTGAAAAGAGAATTACCAAGAGGATACCAAGATACCTGGCAATAGAGCCTTCTGCATATAGTTGTTTTCAGTTATGGGGTTTATGCAAATAAAGATATGACAAAAAAATTTGTTGGCCACCTTAGGACAAATTACTAAAAAGGTGTCAAGCATTTTGGCATAACAAAAGCCTCTAACTTCTTAAGCTTAAATGGTTTTAGCAAAATGCTTATGTTTTGTACATCTCATTGCTACCAGTCTAACTAAAACCAAGATTATGGCAGCACAATGCATAGAATTTATAGATAAGCCAATTTTGTAACCTTTCTTTTTGGCTTTGATTTTTGGCTCTTACATTGCTTAAAAGGTTTTAAGGGTTGATAGATACCTGTCCACCTCCGTTCCTGTCTGGAATGATGAAATTGGCTGTAAGATTTTTGGCTCTAAGTCTTTTGACCACAGGATGGGTCATGGACAGGACGGACCTGGGGCGGGCAGCAACATCATTCTGACAATGATACGGGACAAAATAAAGGTTTGGCCATTGATGCTGTCTGTGGCAAATCTTCACCAAAAGTGGTGAATGAGAAATAAAAGTAAAATTTTAAGCCCCCAGTTGACTGAACAGACCCCTTTCTTGGCTGAAGGATCCTCAGAAAATCCTTCAAAGCTGAGTTCCTGGTCATAACCAGATGGGGGGTTCATAGGTCTCATTATATCCCCTCTCTTGCTAATGGCCAGTAGGGTTTCTTCCCTAAGGGCTGAACAGAAAACAGTCCTTTCAAAAGTCTCCACACTGATAATGCTTATTCCTAGCTTATCTCTCCAGGTAAGGAACAAAGACAAGATAAGATTAATGGGTCCTGCACCCCACCCTGAGACGTCTGCTTGTCTTGTTCCTCTACTCTCTTTTCTTCAAGGGCTTACATATCTATGTCAAATGCAGACTTATTGAGCACGAACTAAAGTCTCCAAGTATGTAATCATTTGCTTAACTGCTTCCTCTTTTTAGTGGAAAATGTGTAAATATTAAACCTGAGAGTCTCTTTGGAAAAAACAGCCACAGACACATCTATGATTTGCCTATTTCCCGATGTGCCTTCAAGCTGGCTCAGTAAACCTTGATGGATGGAGACACCTACCTCAGTCACTCATTTTGGTTGTCAACCCTCAAAGCCCACTTTTCTCTCCATGTTGTAGCAATTGTGGGCTTTGTCCTCTAACACAGAGTAAACAGATTGTCTCTGTTCTTTCCTGCTTTTTCCACTTTTGCCTGTCTTATCCATTAGTTTCCTTTAAAAACATCTTTATGAATATACAAAATAATTTGAGGCAATTTAAAGAAAAATATTAAATGACTAATAGTGCAGGTGGTATGCAGGCTTGGCACAAATTATGAAGAGAGTGCAAAGCTGACCAAAGTGCGGAGCAGGGCCGTAAATATAAAGTTAGAAAGTATCCAGAGAAGTCATTTTGGAATGATGGTAATGTACTTGCTGGAAGACAAAACTCTGAGGTAGAATCTCAGCCTATTGAAGGGTCTGTGTTAGCCTCAAAGGAGGAACTTACAGTTGTGTCTAAAAGACTGTTTCTAATCCTATTGTTAGCACTAGGGAACATCTTTGAGTCACACGACACCAAAGTATGTTAGCAGTGGCGAATCCATATGGGTCTGCAGCAACCTCAATTCTTGCGTGGTCAGAAGAAAGAATTTGACTGAGGGGCATAAGGCAAAGTGAGACAGAGGTAAGTTTTAGAGCAGGAGTGAACGTTTATTAAAAAGCTCTAGAGCAGGAATAAAAGGAGATAAAGAACCCTTGGAAGAGGGCCAGGTGGGTGACTTGAGATCAAGTGTATGGTTTGACCTTTTGACTTGGGGTTTTAAATTTTGGCATGCTTCCAGGGGGTTGTGTCTCTTCTCCCCTGATTCTTCCATTGGGGAGGGACTGTCCACAAGCGCAGTGGCCTGCCAGCACTTAAGAGGGGCCGCGTTTTCAATGTGTTTGCTGGAGTTGTACGCATGCTCACTTGAAGCATTCTTCCCTTACCAGTCCAGTGTTCCCAGAGGGCAGTCATTATATTAGTTCATTCTCACACTGCTATAAAGAACTACCTGAGACTGGGTAATTTATAAAGAAAAGAGGTTTAATTGACTCAGAGTTCTATGTGCTGTTCAGGAGGTATGGCTGGGTAGGCTTCTGGAAACTTACAATCATGGTAGAAGGTGAAGGGGGAAACCAGCACATCTTACATGGTGGGAGTAGGAGGAAGAGTGAGAAGGGGAAGGGGGAAGGGCTATACCCTTTAAAACAACCAGATCTCATGAAAACTCACTATCATGAGAATAGCAAGAGAAGAAATCCACCCCCATGATCCAATCACCTCCCACCGGGTCCTTCCCCCAACACTGGGGATTACAATTCAACATGAGATTTGGTGGGGAGCAAAGAGCCAAACCACATCAGCCATATCCCAGTTAAACTCCACCAAATTGCTTTTCAGTGTGCATGCTTGAGCCCACTTGCCTAACTCCTGAGATCTTATTGGGAAGCTGCTGGTCATCAGTTTCAGGTATTTCTATCTATTAGGAGACTGTCTTTCTCTGGTGCTGGCTGCAACCAATTAATATTTTAGAGAGACAGTTAACAACCACCTGGCCATCACCTGCTGGTCATCTGACATTCCTAGTTGAGGGAAGGGGGCCCTCTCGTGCCCTGCTCATGTCTAAGTAGCTACCGATTATAACACTATTGTCAGTAGCATAAAATATTTGACAACTGTCACTCAAAGAAAGCACTCATTTATAGCATTTTCTAATTTCCATAGTGCAAATGCTCTCAGGATGGTTGATTCCAAGCTAATGACTTGACATCACTATATACGGATTTGAGAAGAGAGGTGTATACCTAGCTCTCAAAAGCTTGTGCATAACATACCACTGTCTGTTCTGGTCACTATTTGATTTCTGGGATCCTCAGTTTCTTAAGAAAGGGAAATAATTATATTTATTTCACAAAATTGTTAGATAAATTAAACCACATAACAGGAGTACAATGCTTTGCACATGATGTTTTTTCTCTGTCTTGGGAACTAAATTGGGTCATTCACAGGCTTTGAAGACATTTTGCATAACCTGGCAAACATCAGACAAACTGTACCTATCAGTTGAAAAGAAAATAAACAAACGGGCTCTCTGAAGTTTTGTCCAGTCAGTGCTAGGGGAAGGAAGCACAGAGAATCAAATCTAAAACCCAAGTTCTTTTTCCTATCAGGATCCCCAAACCAGAGCCTTACGATTGGAAGACTAATTACTGCTCTTTTCTCCACTACTCCGTTTTCTCTGGGGTCATCGCCCAGTCTGGTTTTTGTGCTTTTTTCCTGCCTTATCCATTTGATTTCTTTTAAAAAACATCTTGCTTTCTCATGTGTGTGTATGTGTGTGTATGTATGTGTGTGTGTGTGTGTGTGTGTGTATCTATATGTTTATTATACAAATTGAGACAATGCAAAGACAACTATTAATTGTTCATTGTACAGGTGATATATGGGGGCCTTGACACATATAGAGTTATAAAGGGCCTTATTTATAACTGTTGTTCCTATATGACTAAAGTATTGAGAAAGCCAAATATAAGAGGCAGAGAAAGAAAATGAAGCAAACACTAGAGCTTGCTCTGTGTAAAATCACTGAAGAATTGACAGCATTCTAGACATAAGCAGGAAATCAAAGAGCCAGCTATAACATACAGTTCTGCTGGAGCATGCAATCAGCAGGACCTAAGATTAAGAGAGGAAATAGAAAGAGGAAGCCCATGCTTCTTAGCTAAAGCCTGCTGAGGGATTATGTAGGTAGAACATGGAAATTAAAGGACACATAAGCCTTTATATATGAGGTTAGGCAAATGGGTAAAAGAAGAAAAACAAGGAGATCATTGTTTCTCAGCTCTGAAATGGGAGGCATGTCACTTCTTGGAATTTGGGGCTATAGTTCTACTGAGTTACATAGGGGGTGAGTGATGCCTTCTCTTTCCTCACTAACAGTAGCAGAGGCAGAATAGAGGGCCAACCTTGAGTATTCAGGCCAGCCTTGCCTCATCATTTGAACCTCTGCCTTCTGATCCTAGATTAAGACTTGAAGACAAGATCAGCATGAGCCTCCACTATGCTGAAACATAGTGGACAAGCCACAGACAAAACCCCTCAGACACCAAGTTAAAGAATGAAGGGCTTTATTTGGCTGGGAGCTTCCGCAAGACTCATGTTTCCAACAACCGAGCTCCCCAAGCGAGCAATTCCTGTCCCTTTTAAGGGCTCACAACTCTAAGGGGGTCCGCCTGGGAGGGTCGTGATCAATTGAGCAAGCAGGGGGTACATGACTGGGGGCTGCATGCACTGGTAATTAGAATGGAACAGAGCAGGACAGGGATTTTCACAGTGCTTTTCTATACAATGTCTGTAATCTATAGATAACATAACTGATTAGGTTGGGGGTTGATCTTTAACTACCAGGCCCAGGGTGTGGTGCTGGGCTGTCTGCTTGTGGATTTCATTTCTGCCTTTTAGTTTTTACTTCTTCTTTCTTTGGAGGCAGAAATTGGGCATAAGACAATATGATGGGTGGTCTCCTCCCTTAAAATTAGTGCTGAGTGGGCCGGGCACAGTGGCTCACGCCTGTAATCCCAGCACTTTGGGAGGCTGAGGTGGGCAGATCATGAGGTCAGGAGATCAAGACCATCCTGCCTAACACAGAGTGAAACCCCGTCTCTACTAAAAAATACAAGAAATTAGCTGGGCGTGGTGGTGGGCGCCTGTAGTCCCAGCTACTTGGGAGGCTGAGGCAGGAGAATGGCATGAACCCAGGAGGTGGAGCTTGCAGTGAGCCGAGATTGCGCCACTGCACTCCAGCCTGGGTGACAGAGCGAGACTCCATCTCAAAAAAAAAAAAAAAAAAAAAATTAGTGCTGAGTATTTACTATGCTGATGTGATCTTGGCCAAATTAAACTAGTTGGAAAGCTCAAGGATGGAAACTTTGCCTAGATATGAGAGGTAATGCTCAGAATCAAGTTTATGACTTACTAAATGTCAAGTATATATGAACCTGAAGACATCATCTGTCTCCTGGGATTTCTGCTAAAGTGAAAGATATCCTAAAGCCAAAGATGTGACTGACCAACAGACAAGAAAGATTCATGAGCTCACAGCGACCCATGTTTGGGTTCTGTCCTCACTGTGTGTGGGGAGATACAAACAGCAGAACATCTGATCCTGTCTCCATATCCAAAACCAAGACACAACCCAAAAGGTGAGGGCAAGTAGACATTTATTTCAAGAGGAACCATGATAGTAATGAGTTTCATTGCAGTCAGGCTCAAGTTATTAATCCTCTGTAGCTTCATGTTTATTTATCTGCAAACTGTGGGCAATAATAACTATTTATATAGAGATAGTATAAAGATTGCATATGTTCATGGATGTCTAGACTTAATGGCTACCCACATTGAAAGTAGAGTTAACTCTCTGTAAATTTCAGTTATCATTCTCACAGTAAGACAAAAGCAAGGTAACTGGTGTGCCCTGGGGTATTCTAGGGGCAGGGGAGCAGCTAAGAGGATTGAGAATGTGGAGCTAAAATGTGTAGGGCCCTGAATGCCCAGTTAAAGATTGGGGCTTTTTTCATACTTCAGTCACTTGGGTAACATCTTTACAATTTTGTCAGTGTCTGCAGATTTCCTGTAATATTATCTATTAGTAATTTAAATAGAACTACCTTTTAAAAAATGCTACATTTCCCCCATCAATATGTGAGCTTTCCAGTTGCTTCACATTTCAACAACGCTTGGTGTTTTCTATTTTTCTTTTGTAGCGGGCCAAGGGAAAACTTCCTCTTTGCTCTCTGAAGGTTCATTGAAAATCACTTGACAAAAGGCAGATTAATAGGAGAAAAAGGATACACAATTTGTTAATGTGAACATGTGTGCATAGAAGTCTTATCGTATATGAAAAGCTCAAAGAAAAAGCCACATGGTTAAAGTTTTATATTGTCCTGAGGTTGAGGAAAGAACAGGGGCTTGGGGCAGGGACAAAACCACTTCTGGGAGGGAGAGGAGAAGAGGCCTGGCTAGCAAAGCATGTCTTGTTATGCAGATGAAAGCTTACAGTGAGCAGATCTCAGAAAGAGGGAGTTTCTGTCAGACCCCCAAAAGTATCAGACTTCAGTCTCTCTCTTCTAGGAGGTAGTCATGTCTCCATCCTGATTCCTGATCAGGGACAGCGGGTAGGGAAAACCTGGCTGTTTGTTTCACCAATGCAGAGTTTCTCTACAGATGCAAATCTGCTTCACAAAAGGCACCTTGCAGGAGAGCCTCTGAACATCCATCTCCAAATATGCCAAAGAAGTGTGTATTTTGAGGTGGAATATTCTTGGTTCCTCCCTCCCTCCTTCTTCCTTCCTTTCTTCCTTCCACTGAGGCACAAAATGTAATTTAAAGAGTTTACTTGAGCCAAAGTGAGGCCAGGTGCCTGGAAGAGTCAGATGCAAGTAGCCTTGAATATGAGCTCCATTTGGCCTTTGTTTCAAGCAAGTTTTTAAAGTCAAAGAAGAAGGATAGATACAAAGTTGTTTGTCAGAAATTCTCACTGTCTGATAGAACATTGATTAGTGATTGACTATACATTGTTAAGCTATAGAGTGTAGGTTATAATGTTCACTGTGGCATTATTAGGTGAATATATAGCTACTTGTGATAGCAAACAGTTCCAAGAGACAAATACATAGCTTAAAGCAGGGCAGGAGTGGAGGAGTAGGAAGTGAGTGCTGCCTCATTTTAGTGTCTCTCTGGAGGTGATAATTTAAAGGGACTCACATTCTTTAGATATAAGTTCTTTTCTCACTTTCTTTCTTTGACAAATAAAAATTTTATGTATTTATCATGTACAAAATGTTGTTTTGAAATATGTATACATTATGGCAGGGCCAAATTGAACTAATTAACATATGCATTCTCTCACAAACTTATCTTTTGGAAGTGAAAACACTTAAATCTACTCTCTTAGCAATTTTTATGAATACAATACATTGTTAATAAGTATGTCAATGAAAAGAGTCAAACTGTAAAATATTTGAAGAGATTTATTCTGAGCCAAATATGAGTGACCAGTGGCCCATGACACAGCCCTCAGATCCTGAGAACATGTGCCCAAGGCGGTCAGGGTACAGCTTGGTTTTATAGATTTTAGGGAGACATGAGACATCAATTAAAACGTGTAAGATGTACATTGGTTCATCCAAAAAGGTGGGACAAATCAAAGTGGGGTTAGGGGTGGGGACAGAGCAGGGAGCCCTCTAGGTTATAGGCACATTTAAAGATTTTCTGATTGGTAACTGGTTAAAAGAGTTATTATCGGCCATGCACGGTGGCTCATGCCTGTAATCCCAGCACTTTGGGAGGCCGAGGAGGGCAGATCAGGAGGTCAGGAGTTCGAGATCAGCCTGACCAACATGGTGAAACCCTGTCTCTACTAAAAATACAAAAATTAGCCAGGCGTGGTGGTGGATGCCTGTAATCCCAGCTACTCAGGACGCTGAGGCAGGAGAATTGCTTGAACCCAGGAGGCGGAGGTTGCAGTGAGCCGAGATCACGCCACTGCACTCCAGCCTGGGCAACAAGAGCAAGACTCTGTCTCAAAAAAATATATATATATAGTTATTATCAATACAAAGGAATGTCTGGGTTATGATAAGGAGTTGTGGAGACCAAAGCTTTATTATTCAGTTGAAGCCTCCAGGTAGCAGGCTTCAGAGAGAATAGATTGTAAATGTTTCTTATCAGACTTAAAGAGTCCGTTCTATCAGTAATTCCAAAAGGGACGAGAGTATAGTAAAGCATGTCTGGTTCCCCCTTCCCATCATGGCCTGAGCTAGTTTTTTCAGGTTAAATTTGGAATGCCCTTGGCCGAGAGGAAGGGTCCATTCAGATGGTTTGGCAGGGGGCCTTAGAATGTTATTTTTAGCTTACAACTACAGTCACCATGTTGTACAATAGAGCTCTTGAACTTATTTCTCGTGTCTAACTAAAATTTTGTATCCTTTGACCATCATCTCCGCAAAACCCCTTTTTTAGTAAAGAAATTTTAGTAGACAAAAAAATTATCTTTTTTTAGTAAAAAAATTTTTTAATAGTTTTATTAAGATATAATTCACATACAGCATTTGTCTGTTCTCACACTGCTAATAAAATCATACCCAAGACTGGTAATTTATAAAAGAAAGAGGTTTAACTGTCTCACAGTTCCACATGGTTGGGGAGGCCTTGTAACCATGTTGGAAGGTGAATGAGGAGCAAAGTCACATTTTACATGGCAGCAGGCAAGAGAGGGAGCATGTGCAGGGGAACTCCCCTTTATAAAACCATCGGATCTTGTGAGACTTATTCACTGTCATGAGAGCAGCATGGGAAAGACGCACCCCATGATAAAATTACCTCCCACTGGGTCCCTCCCATGACACATGGGAATTATGGGAACTATAATTTGAGATTTGGGTTGGGACACAGCCAAACCATATCACATACCATATGAAGTTTGGCTGAAAAGTCAACTCACATAAGGCAGATTCATTGAAGAAAAGGCATACAAATTTATTAATGTGTATACACAGGAGCCTTTAGAATGAAGACCTAAAGATGCAGGGAAAGTTGACCTTTTTTTTTTTTTTTTTTTGACATGGAGTCCAGCCTGTCTGTCGCCCAGGCTGGAGTGCAGTGGTGTGATCTCGGCTCACCGCAAGCTCGGCCTCCCAGGTTCACGCCATTCTCCCACCTCAGCCTCCCACGTAGCTGGGACTACAGGCACCTGCCACCGTGCCCAGCTAATTTTTTGTATTTTTTAGTAGAGACGGGGTTTCACTGTGTTAGCCAGGATGGTCTTGATCTCCTGACCTTGTGATCCGCCCGCCTCGGCCTCCCAAAGTGCTGGGATTACAGGCACGAGCCACCGCACCCGGCCCAAGTTGACTGTTTTTGTGCTTAGGTTCAACAAAGTGTGGACAGCTGGTAGAAATAGGACTGGACAAAATGAGTACGATCTAATGCTAATAGATTGGGTGGGGAAACCCAGCAGGGCCTGTTTGTCTAGATTCTACCTCCTGCTCCAAGAATGCCTTCTTCCTTCTTGGTGTGGGGAAGGACCATCTCTAGAATGGAGTCTTATAGCCTACAGTCAAATGGGGTAGGTCAGATAATTTCTTTATGACCAGTATTTATACAGAAAGGCAGAGTAAAAGTTAGAGTAATATTTTTAGCTTTTACGACTGGTTTGGGGAAAATGGGTTCTGGTTTCTATGACCCGCTGTAGGATGGAGGGATTCTAATTTGTATGGTTAGCCTTGGGGGAGAATGGGACTCAGAGATAGGAGAGCATGAGAAAGTCAGAGAAAAATGTTTGCTTCTGAGCCTGCTTCTTAGGCCCTTCATTTTGGGATATTGTTTTCTGAGCCCCAGCAATACAATTCACCCCTGTAAATTATATTATTCAATGGTTTTTTTTAGTATATTCACAGAATTATGCAACCATCTAATTTAAATTTAATTTTAGAACATTTTCATTACCATAGAAAGAAGCCCTTTATCCATTAGCAGTCATTACCCATTTCCCACAAACCTCCCAGCCCTAGGCAATTACTAATCTATTTTCTGTCTCTATAAATTTTTGTATTCGAGATAGCTCATATAAATAGAATCATGTAATATGTAGTCTTTTGTGACTGACTTCTTTCACTGCATAATGTTCTAAGGTTCATCTGTGTTGTGCCATTCCTTTTCACTGACAAATAAAAAATTTCACAAATCAAAACTACCATACTTATCAGTTGATGGATATTGGGAAAATTTCCACTTATTGACTATTATGTTTAATGTTGTTATAAATATTTTTGTGTAAGTTTTTGTTTGGACATGTTTTACTTTTTAAGTAGAGACAGGGTCTTGCTATGCTGCCTAGGCTGGCCTGAAACCCCTGGCTTCTTCCTGGCTCAGCCTCCCAGAGTGCTGGGATTATAGGCATGAACCACTGCACTTGGCCTTTTTTGTGGTTGTGTTTTTTTTTTTTTTTTTTTGAGACAAGGTCTTGCTGTGTTGCCCAGGCTGAAGTGAAGTGGCATGCTCATGGTTCACTACAGTCTCGAATTCCTGTGCTCAAGTGATCCTCCTGCCTCAGCCTCCTGAGTAACTGAGACTACAGGTGTGCACCACTTTGCTTAGCAAAGTTTTTGTGTTTTGTCTTTGTGAAAATGGTGCCTCACTCTATTGGCCAAGCTGGTCTTGAACTCCTGGCCTCCAGTGATCGTTCCACCTCAGCCTCCCAAAGCACTGGGTATTAGTCCATTTCATGCTGCTGATAAAGACATACTTGAGACTGGCAAGAAAAAGCGGTTTAATTGGACTTACAGTTCCACATGGCTAGGGAGGCCTCAAAATCACAGCGAGAGGCGAAAAGCACTTCTTACATGGCAGCAGCAAGAGAAAATGAGGAAGATGCAAAAGCAGAAACCCCTGATAAAACCATCAGATCTCATGAGACTTATTCACTACCATGAGAACAGTGTGGGGGAAATTGCTCCCATGATTCAAATTATCTCCCACCAGTTCCCTCCCACAACACATGGGAATTATGGGAGTATAATTCAAGATGAGATTGGGGTGGGGACACAGCCAAATCATATTATTCCACATGCGGCCCCTCCAAATCTCCTGTCCTTACATTTCAAAACCAATCATGCCGTCCCAAACGTCTCCCAGAGTCTTAACTCATTTCAGCATTAACCCAAAAGTCCACAGTCCAAAGTCTTATCTGAGACAAGGCAAGTCCCTTCTGCCTATGAGCCTGTCAAATCAATAGCAAGCTAGTTACTTCCAAGATACAATGGGGGTACAGGTATTGGGTAAATACAGCCTTTCCAAATTGGAGAAATCGGCCAAAACAAAGGGGTTGTAGGGCCCATGCAAGTCTGAAATCCAGCAGGGCAGTCAGATTTTAAAGCTCCAAAATGATCTCCTTTGACTCCAGGTCTCACACAAAGGTCGTGCTGATGTAAGAGGTAGGTTCCCATAGTCTTGGGAAGCTCCTCCCCTGTGGCTTTGCAGGATATATTCCCCCTTTTGGCTGCTTTCACGGGCTGGTGTTGAATGTCTGCGGCTTTTCCAGGTGCATGGTGCAAGCTGTTGGTGGATCTATCATTCTGGGGTGTGGAGGATGGTGGCTCTTTTCTCACAGCTCCACTAGGTGGTGCCTCAGTAGGGATTCTGTGTGGGGGCTCAGACCCCATGTTTCCCTTCCACACTGCCCTAGCAGAGGTTCTCCATGAAGGCCCTGCCCCTGCAGCAAACTTTTGCCTGGGCATCCGGACACTTCCGCACATCTCCTGAAATCTAGGCAGAGGTTCCCAAATCCAAATTCTTGACGTCTGTGCATTTGCAGGCTCAACAGCATGCGGAAGCTGCCAAGGCTTGGCGCTTGCACCCTCTGAAGCCATGGCGTAAGCTGTACTTTGGCCCCTTTCAGCCACTACTGGAGTAGCTGGGACACAGGGTGCCAAGTACCTAGGCTGCACAGGTCCAGGAAACCATTTTCTCCTAGGCCTCTGGGCCTGTGACGGGAGGGGCTGCTGTGAAGACCTCTGATATGTCCTGGAGATGTCTTCTCCGTTGTCTTGGGGATTAACATGCGGCTTCTTGTTACTTATGCAAATTTATGCAGCTGGCTTGAATTTCTCCTCAAAAAATGGGCTTTTCTTCTCTATCACATTGTCAGGCTGCAAATTTTCTGAACTTTTATGCTCTGCTTCCCTTATAAATCTGAATGCCTTTAACAGCACCCAAGTCAACTCTTGAATGCTTTGCTGCATAGAAATTTCTTCTGCCAGATACCCTAAATCATCTCGCTCAAGTTCAAAGTTCCACAAATCTCTAGGGCGGGGCAAAATGCCACCGGTCTCTTTGCTAAAACATAGTAAGAGTCACCTTTGCTCCAGTTCCCAACAAGTTCCTCATCTCCATCTGAGACCACCTCAGCCTGGACCTTATTGTCCATATCGCTATCAGACTTTTGGTCAAAGCGATTCGACAAGTCTCTAGGAAGTTCCAAACTTTTCCACATTTTCCTTTCTTCTTCTGAGTCCTCCAAACTATTCCAACCACTGCCTGTTAGCCAGTTCCAAAGTTGCTTTCATATCTTTTCAGCAACACCCCACTCCACTGGTACCAATTTACTATATTAGTCCATTTTCATGCTGCTGATAAAGACATACCCAAGACTCAGAAGATAAAGAGGTTTAATTGGACTTACAGTTTCACATTGCTGGGGAGGCCTCAGAATCATGGCAGGAGGTGAAAGGCACTTCTTATATGGCAGTGGCAAGAGAAAATGAGGAATATGCAAAAGTGGAAACCCCTGATGAAACCATCAGATCTCAGGAGACTTACTCACTACCACAAGAACAGTATGGGAGAAACTGCCCCCATGATTCAAATTATCTCCCACTGGGTCCCTCCCACAACATGTGGGAATTATGGGAGTACAATTCAAGTACACAACCAAACCATATTACAACAAAACCATATCATACTGGGATTACAGTCATGAGCTATCATGCCTGGCGTGCTATTTTCTTTATTTTTTTTTAATTACAAATTTATTCATATTCATTTATTTTTAATTTTTATTTATTATTATTATTTTGAGAGACAGGGTTCCTGCTCTGTTACCCAGGGTAGAGTGCAGTGGTGCAATCACAGCTCTCTGCAGCCTTGGACTCCTGGGTCCAAGCAATTCTCCTGCCTCAGCCTGAGTAGCTGGGACTACAGGTGTGTACCACCATGCTCAGTCAATTTTTAATTTTTTTGTAGAGATGGTATCTCATAATACTGCCCAGGCTGGTCTTGAACTCCTGGCCTCAAGTCATCCTCCTACCTTGCTTCTCAAAGCACTGGGATTACAAGCCTGAGCCACCGTGCTCAGCTGTTTTTATTTCTCTTGGATGTATACTCAGGAGTAGAATTGCTAAATCACATCGTAACTCTATATTTAACTTTTGGAGGTATTGCCAAATTGTTTTCAAAACCACCTGCACCATTTTACAATTTTTACCAGAGGTAAATTAAGTTTGCACTGTATATACACCCTTGTCATCATTTGTTATTATTTGTCTTTTTAATTTTAGCTTTTCTAGTGGGTATGAAGTGATATTTCATTGTGATTTTGATTTGCATTTTCTTAATGACCAAAGATGTTGAGCATGTTTTCCTTTTACTTATTGGCCATTTCTCTATTTTTTTTTTTTTTTGGAGAAATGTGTATTCAAAGCCTTTGCCTAATTTTTAATTGGGTCATCTTCTTATTGCTGTGTTGTAAGTGCTCCTTATACGTTCTAGATACAGGTCTCTTATCAGGTATGTAATTTGCAAATATTATTCCTTATTCTGTAAAGTGTATTTTTTCCTTCTTGATAGTATCAATTGTAGCACAACATTTTCAATTTTGATGTAATCCAATTTATTTAGGTTTTCTTTTGTCTTTTGTACTTTTGCTGTTGTATCTAACAGCAAGGAAATTAGATACAAAGAAAAATTTGAAAAGAAAACTCAACCCCTAGAATCACAGTGATTAAAAAGTAATGATACAAATAAGTAAAACACAAATATTTAGGAAACTATGTAGTCAGTCATTACTTTTAAAGTTCTGTTACTCTATGCTATAATTATCTCCCTCAAGGAGCCGCAGTGAGAGGCATAGTTATGGAGGCCAAGTCACTGGGACAACCCCGAAGAAAGAGTGGCCCATTGCGATGTGTAATGCAGCTCAAGTCACATGGACACCTTTAGTCACAGGCAGGAGCTAGCCTCAGCCAAACTGTGGAACAATGTACCCATTGAAACGCTCCCTCCTACAGTGCCCAACTTGATATCAAAATACTGCCCCTCGACTCTCATATCCCTTACACTGCTTTATTTTTCTCCATGTCACTTATTACCTACAACAAAGCCCATGTTTATTTACATAGTGCCTGTCTCTCGCATTAGAATATAAATTCCATGAAGGCAAGAATGTCTGTCTATTTATTGCTATACTTCTAGGGTCAATAGCATGACCTGGTGCTCAATAGATATTTGTTGAATGAAGAAATAAATTATAGTGCTGGGAATTGAGAATGCTGACTCTGCAGCCAAACTACTTTGGCTTGAATCTCAGGTTAGCATGATTAGCTGGTAAACTTTGGTAAGCTACTTAGCTGTTTCGTGTCTCAATAGCCTTCTCTGAAAAATGGGGTATGCCTATACTATGTGATTTGTGCGAGTATTGAAAAAAGATGATATAGGCAAAGTGTTTAGAACAGTGATAAGTAGATAGCAAATGCTCAATATTAGCTGTTGCTATTATTGGATAGTCAAAATAAAGTATGTAATTATATATCAACCATTCTATGATACAGAACTGGAAATAGAGATGCAGGTAAGTTAAGCAATCTTTAGAGTCAAACAACTGGTGAATGGGATACAGAAAAAAGGAGAAGGCCCAGGATCCAAAACCAGCTCATGTGGCTCCACTGTCCCATGAATTGGGCTGCATTTGGGGCTTGGGATTATGAAGACACAAACACTTCTTTTTTGTTGTTGTTGTTGTTGTTGTTGTTGAGATGGAGTCTCACTCTGTTGCCCAGGCTGGAGTGCAGTGGCAAGATCTCGGCTCACTGCAACCTCTGCCTCCCGGGTTCATGCCATTATCCTGCCTCAGCCTCCTGAGTAGCTGAGACTACAGGCACCCGCCACCATGCCTGGCTAATTTTTAGTATTTTTAGTAGAGATGGGGTTTCACCGTGTCAGCCAGGATGGTCTCGATCTCCTGACCTCGTGATCCACCCACCTCGGCTTCCCAAAGTGCTGGGATTACAGGTGTGAGCCACCACACCCAGCCAACACAAACACTTCTTAAAGGTAGGATGCTGTCCTTGCTCATGTCACTGTGGCAAGAGGTAAGGGTTAACATGGGGCTGGAACCTGAAGAATGTGATTTAGCATTTCCCAAAGTCTGTTGTGTGGACATTAAGTCCAATAACATGCTCAGAGCAAAACACAGTTAAGTTTCAGGAACACTGAACGCTCACTCTATCCCTCCTTAGACATCGTCAGTGCGTGTTATTATATTAAAGGCTCTGTGAAATCTTCCCATGAAGAATCCTGTTTAACTCTTTTACACATTCTCTTCAAAACATATTTCACTATAGAACCCTTTGTGTACATTATGTCTACCAACACTGCAGAGTCAAGGTTCTGCAGAACATATTTAGAGAGGCACCCATATAACTAAACCTGTCCAAAGCAGGGGTTGGCTGCTGGTGAGGTTGGTCAGACCAGTGGGCAGTGATACCTGGAGGATGGAGAGATCCACCCAGTGAAGGCAGCCAATTGGAAACCAGCCCAGCAGCAGGAGGCCAGGGGAATATCCACTCTTGGATGACTCTAGAACAAGACGGCAGTTGGTATGAGGACCTGGCAGGTAGTAGCACCCAGCAGACAACATCAAAGACTCCCAACACTGCAGAGCTTAGCACCTGGGAAAGCTGGGAAGAGGCCACATGCTGAGGTTCCAGGAAGGAGTCAGAATAATCCCTGGGGCCTGGTAGCTGGTAACTGGATCTCAAATATAAGCTTGGAGTTCAGGGATGGAGGCATAAAAGCAAAGAGAGATTTCCTCTCTAGGGGCTAAGAAATATTCAGGAATTCAAGAAGAGGCAAAAGTCGATCCAAAAAGGTTACAAGAAGTGAAGTTGGAGTAAGAGCGGCCAGAAGCTTGGTGTCAAAAAGCAAAGTCACAGTGTAGTTATGCCATGCAGGGGTGAAGATCAAATGTGATTCCTTAAATCCTTCATGATTTTGACTTCATCATGCGCACAGAAACTAAGCTGAGCCTATAGGTAAGGGATAAGGGGCTGCGGCTGTGGGGAAAACAGGGCCCAGGGGCTGGGTGCGTTGGCTCATGCTTGTAATTCCAGCACTTTGGGAGGCCAAGGTGGGTGGATCATCTGAGGTCAGAAGTTCAAGACCAGTCTGGCCAACATGATGAAACCCCGTCTCTACTAGAAATATGAAAAAAAAAAAAAAATTAGCCAGGCATGGTAGCACAAGCCTGTAATCTCAGCTACTAGGGAGGCTGAGGCAGGGAGAATTGCTTGAGCCCAGGAAGCGGAAGTTGCAGTGAGCCGAGATAGTGCCACTGCACTCCAGCCTGGGTGACAGAGCGAGACTCTATCTCAAAAAAAAAAAAAAAAAAAAAAAAATAGGGCCCAGGAGGCAAGGCAGTCATTACAGAGTGGAAACTAAACATACCCATCAGATGCATCCAAATAGCAGGTGGCTATAGTCTCACAGTTATTCCTGCTTCTTGTGTCCTAGGCGTCTGATCCCAATCCGAGTGTCCGAACGCTCTCTGTGCTATACTAGATTGCATCTTAAGCTGGCTGGTATCCCGGGATGCACTTTGCGGCCTCAGGGTTGGATTTTCAGCCCCTGACACCAGGAGGAATAATCAGCCTCCTATTTGGACTGTTCTGCACCATTTCCTAGGGACAGACTCCCCTCCCAGAGCAGTCAAGATATTCTGGAAATATAAGAATGCTACTATACAGATTTGGTTGATGTCCAAGTTAAGTTTTTAAGCAAGAGAACTTGTCATAAAATTACCCTGGATCACTGTCAATGCTTCGAAGCCAGTTAAAATTACTCTGCCCAATAAAGTTTTGGAGATGATGTTTGCCAAACTCTGGGCATATTTATGATTTTCTCATCTCAGTTCATGACAATGAAGCCAAAACTTTTTTCCCCCATTCTCTGCTGGGACTACATAAAGCGGTTTCATACTGGTATACTCTAAAACATACAGTTAGGAGATGTGGCAGGTATTTTCAAAAACTTTGTATTTAATACACTTAACACGTATCTAGGATATAAAGCAGATCACAGTACAAGGTAGAGATCCAGCAAATTACTGTGGGAACAAAGAAAGGAAAAAAAATGCCAACATGGTGAAACCCTGTCTCTACTAAAATTACAAAAATTAGCTGGGTGAGGTGGTATGCACCTGTAGTCCCAGCTACTCAGGAGGCTGAGGAAGGAAAATCGCTTGAACATGAGAGGCGGAGCTTGCAGTGAGCCGAGATTGCACCACTGCACTCCAGCCTGGTGACAGAGCGAGCCTCCGTCTCAAAAAAAAAAAAAAAAAAAAAAAAATGACTTGAATCAAAATGATAGTCAGGAAGTCTTCATGGAGGAGGAGACATTTGAACAGGGCCTTGAAAGACAAAGGAAACAATAGCATGTTGATGTTGTTCATTTACTTGCTGGGCTCTAGAGGGTTTCAATCTTGGGAATGTACGAAGGGAGAATCTCAGAGTTAAGAAAGGGATTGTCTTGCTTTCAGCTTTAATATTTTGACCCCAAGTCAACTATCACTTCAGTAAAAATGAGAGCAATTGAAAAATTGATATTTTGTTTCTCCCCTGGCCTCTCCATGTTCTCATTAGAAAAAGGAAAAAAAAAAAAGAAATGAACTCTCTCTTTTCTTAGTTTTGGACTTCCTTGACCAAAGGCAATAGCAGGTAGTGTATTTTGTTTTTATACGCAATGTGTTTTGTTATACATGTATGTATGTAATTTGTTTTGTATGTGCTGTTTTTGTATGTATGTTTTTGCTTTGTACGTGATGTGGGGGGAAGAATGGGAAGCCCCAGGTCAACTCTAAAAATACTTTGCTTACAGATATTGATGGAAATGAACACAATTGAATCTGACGAGGGGAAGGGACTGGAGGCTGGTGCAGTTGAACAGGAAGAGTTATTTGACCCAGAGGAGTTTGGTAGAGCTATGTAGAGCTGTAGAAAACTAGGATCCCACTTGAATAAGGCAGCCCAAAGACAGCAGGACCTCATGTGAGGATGGCCTGGTGGTACTGAAAACCTGCGTGAAGGTAGAAGCCAGTGACGATAACTAGAAGACACAGAGACCCATAGGTAGCGAAGAAACACTAACCCTCAGGGCATCAAATACCAGAACACCCTAAGACTGGGTTCCTCACCATTTCTATGAACCTAAGTAAGCCCAGTGTAACTGTAACAGGTTTGTTGCCTGCTGCTCAGCAAGTTAATGTCTTGAGATCTCGAGACCAGCAGGGCAAGGAGTTGCAGCAGAGAAAGAGTTTAACAATTATAGGACAGACAACCCAGGAGATGAGAGGAAACCTCAAATCTGTGTCCACAAGAGGTGGGGAGTTTTTTTTTCTTCTTTTTTTTTTTTTTGACAGAGTCTCGCTCTGTTGCCAGGCTCGAGTGCAGTGGCGTGATCTTGGCTCACTGCAGCTTCTGCCTCCTGGGTTCAAGCGATTCTTCTGCCTCAGCCTCCCAAGTAGCTGGGATTACAGGCGCACGCCACCACGCCCGGCTAATTTTTGTATTTTTAGCAGAGACTGGTTTTCACCATGTTGGCCAGGATGGTCTTGATCTCTTGACCTCGTGATCCACCCTCCTCGGCCTCCCAAAGTGCTGGGATTACAGGCATGAGCCACCGTGCCCGGCCAGGAGATGGGTTCTTAAAGAGGTCTGGACAGGTGATGGCTAAAGTGTGGGGATTGCTGATTGGCTGAGAAGTGAGGGGTGAAGTCATGGGATGGAGCCATGAAGAAACTGCTTTACTTGGTGGGGATTTTCACTTGGAATCAGCCATTCTGCTGGAAATCAGAATCTGAGGAACACCTTTAGAAATTCTTGGGTAAAAAGGTCCAGTGTCAGAATTCCATCTATAGGAACAATGGGAGAACAGGTGGCCCGTGTGCTATGTGACTGTCGGTTAGTTCGCAGCTGCAGGGGAGTGGCTGGAAGTACCCCAGTGCACCCTGGGCAGGGCCTAACCATAATTCTGCCTAAAGCCTGGCTTGCAATTCGCATTAACCTTGTGCGGGCAGTTTCACCAGTGGAAGAGGGGAAAGAAAGCCTCAATTATTACTCATATTGGACTCCAAATTGACTTTGGTGGGTGAGGGCTGTGAGCCAGATTTTAATTTGATTTACAAAATTTAAGAAATATGACATTTTTTCACCTCAAGTATCATGGAAAAATTCATGACTATCATATTTGAAAATCTGCAGTGATCCTTTAGAAAATCCCACAGCTAACTTCCAAGCTGTTCTGCAGAAAAGCAGCTCAAGTTTTTATATCCATCTTGCAGTCATTAAGAACAGTGTCTTTTGAATCAGAAGGACCTGAGTTTGAATAATGACAGTACTTCTTATAAGGCAATAAACCAAAAGTCCCTTAATATTTTGAGTTTCAGGTGCCTCATCTGGTATAGGGTTATCATGAGGTTACCAGGACAAAACAGTTCTATAAAGCACTTAGTTTATTACCTGGTGCTTAGAATGTATTCCGCAAATGGTCTCTTTTCTTTTCTTTTTTCTTTTTTCTTTTTTTTTTGAGATGGAGTCTGGCTCTGTTGCCCAGGCTAGAGTGCAATGGCATGATCTCAGCTCACTGCAGCCTCTGCCTCTCCGGTTCAAGTAGTTCTCCTGCCTCAGCTTCTCGAGTGGATGGGATTACAGGTGCCCACCATCATGCCCAGCTAATTTTTGTATTTTTGTGGAGACAGGGTTTCACCATGTTGGCCAGGCTGGTCTTGAACTCCTGACCTCAGGTGATCTGCCCACCTCTGCCTCCCAAAATGTTAGGATTATAGGCGTTAGCCACTGTGCCCGGCCCACAAATGGTCTCTTATTATGATATATTTGTGGTGCTGAGGCTGGAATCATGAGTATGATTACCTGGGCTCTACCAGCACTGACAGGGGAGTTTGGGTAGATCCCCTCTTGTCAGAGTTCTCCCTCATCCCAACTTTCCTTTTTTGTTTTTTGAGACAGAGTCTCACTCTGTCACCCAGGCTGGAGTGCAGTGGCAGATCTCAGCTCACTGAAACCTCTGCCTCCTGGGTTCAAGTGATTCTCCTGCCTCAGCTTCCTGAGTAGCTGGGATTACAGGCATGTACCACCATGCCTGGCTAATTTTTGCATTTTTAGTAGAGACGGGGTTTTGCCATGTTGCCCAGGCTGGTCTCTCAAACTCCTGGCCTCAGATAATCCACCCACCTTGGCCTCCCAAAGTGCTGGGATTACAGGAGTGAGCTACCATGCCCGGCCCCTACTTTTCTACCCATAACACTTTAAAATGACAAATGGCTGCATCCCATGTTTAGGAGGAAAGAAGAGTTCTTGTTTATGAATATAGATAGCTGTGAAAGAAAACAATGAAGTAAGAATTCTCTTATGTTTATTTGTTAGTTTATGTCAATTACACATGACATATTCTATATGCTTTCATAAGTTCTCTTCTGACAGCGTATATTAAATAACATGTAAAACATAATTTGGAACTAAAACAGTGACCAGAGGACAAAAAAAACAAACAAAACCACCACCACCACCAACAAAACCATTCTGTATTTCTTTATAGCAATGTAAGAATAAAAATGAAATTTAAAAAAATTCTGAAAAAACCATCTAAGACCATTATTTATTAATTTATTCGTAAAAAATTTTTTTTGAGACAAGGTCTTGCTTTATCACCCAGGCTGGAGTACGATGGCATGATCATAACTCACTGCGGCCTCAACCTCCCAGGCTCAAGAGATCCTCTTGCTTTAGGATCTCGAGTAGCTTGGACTACAGGAACCCACCACCATGCCTGGCAAATTAAAATAAATTTTTTTGTAGAGATGAGGGTCTCACTATGTTGCCCAGGCTGGTTTCGAACTCCTGTGCTCAAGCGATCCTCCTGCCTTGGCCTCTCAAATTGTTGGGATAACAGGCATGAGCCACTGTGCCCAGCCAAAATCTATTTTAGAAGCATTGAGTTACAACTTTTGAGAAGAGAGAAAGTGGGAAACACCGTGGAGAAACAGGGTAAACAGAGTGGAAAAATCCCTGGAATAAGCCATTCTAAGATGGAGCAGCCTCAAGGGCCATTTTAACTTTGGAATTCTTTGAGGAGCACTGCTTGTCTCTGCTCTCATCCCTATAAATCCAGAAAGCTGCTCAGACCTAACCTGTCATTGGGAGGGCCAGAGATGGGGCAGGAGTGGGGGTGGCAGAGGTCTGTCATTGCTGCCATCACATTGAGGAGAGATTCAGAGCCATGGTCTTCAAAGATAATTCCCTCTCTGATAGAATTTATTCCCTTTTCTGGGAAGAAGATGAATTCAGGACTCAACTTTGTTCTAGGTCACTCTTTTGCAAATGGTAGGAGAGGATCATTGAAATACTGCCTTTCAAACTTTAATGTGCACACAAATCTCTTGATGTTTTATTTATTTATTTATTTTAGATGGAGTTCCGCTCTGTCACCCAGACTGGAGTGCAATGGTGCGATCTCAGCTCACTGCAACCTCCGCCTCCTGGGTTCAAGCAATTCTCTTGCCTCAGCCTCCTGAGTAGCTAGGACTACAGGCGCCCACCACCATGCCCAGCTAATTTTTATATTTTTAGTTGAGACGGGGTTTCACCATATTGGCCAGGCTGGTCTCGAACTCCTGACCTTGTGGTCCACCCACCTGGACCTCCCAAAGTGCTGAGATTACAGGCATGAGCCACCATGCCTGGCCTTGGTGTTTTAAAATATGGTATATTAATAGAAAATTTGAGGCATAGAAAGGCCGACAGATTAGGAGACAATTGTCACTGAAAAGGTAGTTTGTAAGTCACAGTACCCAAGAGGTGGGGGGATGCCAGGCTATGGGAAACCACACAGGAAAACCCTGGGGTCAACCATGGGGCAGGGGGAGAAAGGAGAGAGGCGGGGAAAAAGGGGAGAGGTGGGCAAGAGCTGTTACTGTGGTTTCTGCAAAAAGGAATGGGGGAAGCAGGGTAAGCAGGCTTGGGATTGGCTAGTTGGAATAAGTTCAATGGGCTCTGGGGCATGGGGGCTGCAGCTCTGTTCTTAGTTGTCTGATCCCTG
This sequence comes from Homo sapiens, assembly GCF_000001405.40. Classification (NCBI taxonomy): domain Eukaryota; kingdom Metazoa; phylum Chordata; class Mammalia; order Primates; family Hominidae; genus Homo; species Homo sapiens. The sequence continues at coordinate 13,899,581 of NC_000017.11, read as the reverse complement.
GCCCTGGGATGATTAGGACAGGGGAGTACTGGCCCTGAATGTGACAGCTCTATAAAGGAGGTGGTTGGTGGTGGGCTCTTGCTGGGTTGGTTTGTATTTGAAAAACACACTCTGGTTGAGTTGCTTACCATCTCTAGGACTTGGCCAGCCCTGGGAGGAGCAGTGCCCCCAGGATCAGCAAGGCTCCACATGTTAAAGCCTCAGAATACAGAAAATCAAAGACATGGCTAATAAATCTGGGGATCTTGAGAAACACCAACTCCTGGGGCCCAGCACCATCTGACTCCCTGGGTCGGAGGTGAGGCTCATCATTCGCGTTTCTAACCAGCTCACAGGTGGTTTGTGGACCATGCTTTAAGTAGCACTGCTGTGAAGGAGATGAGCAGGCCATTGCTGGCATCCCAAAAATGTACTGTGTGTAGAGCAAGCTTGTTCTCAGACAGCTCCCATCACAACTGCCCCAGCTGCTCACCAGGCTGAAATCGAATTGTGTGGTTCAATGTAGAGAAGGGCAAACTAGACGTGGTTGAGTATAATTCAAAGCCATTGAGCCTGCCCCCAAACATACCCAGATACCTAAAGGGAAGTAGAGTTCTATAAGTTAACTGGTTGCCAACCATTTAAGTGAACTTCACCTATGAGAAGGCATAGGCTAGAGGCTGTGGAGATTTTATTTTTATTCAGGTATAACACAAGTCATAAGGATATAGTTTGATGAGTCTTCAAAATGTGAGACATGTAACATAACCCAGACCAAGAAATAGAATCTTTACTAGCACCACTGAAGACCCCCTCATTCCCCATCCCAGTTACTGAGCCACCCATAATCTTCTTACTATTTTGTTTTAGAGACAAGTTCTCACTCTGTCGCCCAGGCTGGAGTGAAGTGGCGCGATCTCAGCTCACTGCAGCCTTGAACTCCCATGCTCAAGTGATCCTCCTGCCTCAGCCTCCCAAGTAGCTAGGACTACAGGTGAGTATCATCACACTTGGCTAATTTTTTAAATTTTTTATAGAGATGAGGTCTTCTTATGTTGCCTCGGCTGGTCTTGAACTCCTGGCCTTGTGGGATCCTCCTGCCTTGGCCTCCTAAAGTGCTGAGATTACAGGTGTGAGCCACCACACAGGCCATCACTTGACTTCTGGTCCCCATAGATAAGTTTGGCCTGGTTTTGAACTTTTGTAGATTAAATCTTTTGTTTTTTAGGAATCTCTTCATATACTCCACAGTGTGGGATTGATCCATATTGTTTTGTGGAGCAATGGCTCGTTCTCATTGCTCTGTGGTGTTCCATTGCATAAATGAACCGCAGTTTGTCCTTTCTCCTGGGGATGGCATTTTGGTTGTTTCTAGTTCAGTGCACTGTTATGAACATTCCTGTACATGTCCTGTACAAGCTGTTGGGCATATACCCAGGAGTAACATTTGTAGTTCATAAGAATTTATATTCAGCCAAATAGATTTCCAAAGCGGTTATGCCGATTTACCTTCACAGCAGCAATGAACGGGTTTTTTTCAGTTTAACCATTCTGGTGGGTGTATAGTGACATCACACTACGATTTTGATGTGTGCAGGTGGACAATATGGGCAAGAAGCATAAGGTAAATGAGGGTGTGGAGGTGGAGATGTACATACTACATTTAGGGCAGCTCAACCAGGTTAAAATGCCTTCGTAAGTGAGAAATGGAACTGGATGTTTCAGCAGCAATTAGAGTGAGACAGGTCATAAATGCTCTCCTCCAGGCAGGCAGGGAGCACGGGCAATGTTTGAACCAGGAGGCTACAAATTGGACAGCTGGGAAGAATGTGAGAGTTGAATTAGACATTCAGAAACCACACACAGAGATCTCCACAGATTCTCCATAGTAAAAATGTAACTATTGAGCTTTTCCTATGTGCTAGAAGCTGTGTTAGTTACTAAGGCAGTGTAGGTATAAACATGAGTAAATCATATTCCCCATATCTCATGGAGACCACAAATATTGAGGAGAGAGGGGTAAGATATGAAATAAGTAAGGCGTTGGGATAAATACAGAGACTCACACAAGCTGTGCCTTTGCTCTGGAATCAAGGAGAAGATACTCATCAGTTTGGTCTAGTAGGGCTGGAGAATACTTCACGAGGAGGTGATATTGTACCTGAGTCTTGATCAATTAGTGGTGGTTCTTAAGAAGATAATGAAGGGCCAGGTGTGGTGGCTCACACCTGTAATCCCAGCACTTCAGGAGGTTGGGGCGGGCGGATCACGAGGTCAAGAGATAAGAGACCATCCTGGCCAACATGGTGAAACCCCATCTCTACTAAAAATACAAAAATTAGCTGGGCGTGGTGGTGTGTGCCTGCAGTCCCAGCTACTCGGGAGGCTGAGGCAGGAGAATCACTTGAACCCGGGAGGCAGAGGTCGCAGTGAGCCTAGATCGCACCACTGCACTCCAGTCTGGCGACAGAGTGAGACTCCGACACCAAATAAATAAATAAATAACTAAATGAATAAATAAATAAATAAAAAAGAAGATAATGAAGAGAGAAGAACGAGCAATGGTTTGAAGATGCAGAAGATTACAGCGTGGCTGGAGAAAGTCCAATAGTTTTGTGTAGAGGCACGAGGCTGGCGAGATCAGGCTGAAATTGTGTTTTGAGAGCAGATTGTAATAGGCCTTGTAAACACAACTGAACATGACTTTATATTACGGGCAATGAGCAGCCAAGTAAGGTCTTCAAAGAGGGGGTTGCTGTGATCCCTTGGAAGGATATTGCCATGACACAGGCATTGTGATCTAAGGTAGACAGCAGGGGAAATAAAAATAAAGTGACAGATGTGGCTTCAAATAAAATATGGCTCAGTTCTCTTGCAGGGCAAAAATCCTCATTTATTGGGAACTGGAAAAGTACTTAAGGTGAGGATTTTGTTCTGCTAGGGTGGGCCCAGTCTGAAGGTAATTTTTCAAAAGCAGCTGCTTTAAGTGCTAGTTAAATGGCGCCAGGGGATTCACTGGACACAGGTGTCATGTTCAATCTTATCCATCTATCAATAAAGCCAGACTCCCAGTGCCAGTTGGATGGCAGCACGGCACCTCTGAGACAGGAATTCTATTAACAGATGCATCTTGCTGCTTCATTTTAGGGCTGTAACTTCAGAGTATTCAAAGATATTCTGAAGTCCTTGATTTCTAACTTAGCTTCTCCACCGTCAGCTGTGGCTCTTGCCTGGATAACTCAAATACGTATGTCATATATGTTCTTACTATTGTTTTGAGTATGTTCCTACAGAACCTTCTTTTTCTGTGTCTTTAATACAGGTAAGGAATATCTAAGTAGTTAATTAATTTTTTGACTAGTTAATAGATGGTGTTAATGAATTTCTGTCCCACCCCTTTCACCAAGTCACTCAGTTTCTGTTTTCAGTGGCAGACACTCTCACCTCTTTCTTATTCCATGGGCCCTCCGTATCTGTGGGCTCTTCATCTGTGGGTTCCATATCCATGGATTCAACCAACTATGGATGAAGGATGTTTGGAAAAAAGATTTCACAAAGTTCCAAAAAGCTAAACTTGAATTTGGTACACACTGGGTACTACGTTGAATCCACACAAAGGAAGTGATATGTAGGCTTTGTATAAGACATTATAAGTAATTTAGAGATTATTTAAAGTATATCGAAGGATGTGTGTAGATTATATGCAAATGTGATGCCATTTTATATAAGGGACTTGAGCGTCCCTGGATTTTGGTATTGGCGGGGAGGCAGTGTCCTGAAACTAATCCCCATAGATACCAAGCAATGACTCTATATCATTTTAAAGATGTTCTATGCAATTACAAAAACTATAAGCACATGCCTTTTTTTTTCTTTTTGTAAAGCACAAATGGTAGCCCATTATATGCTTTGTCCTCTACCTTATGTGCCTCTTGAAAATGGTTTCTTACACTCTCTTATTTTTAAAGGCTTCACAGTATTCCATTGCGTGAATATGCCATCATTGATTTAGTCAGGCTCCTACTGATGAATATTTAAACAATTCCTAACTTTTTGCTATTTTAAACAGTCTTCAATGAGTAACCTTATTTCTTATTTAGACATATTTATAATAAATTTCTAGAAATAGAACTTCTGGGTTACAAGGTATGAATGTTTATAAATTTGAGAGATTTTCCAAACTCCATAGAGTTGTATATCAAACACCATGCAGGAGACACTGACCCCAAAATTCTCATGTGCTGCCTCTTTGTAATTGACTCCTCAACCAACCTCCCTCTTTGGCCATCATTGATGAGTGTTTTCATTCCTACAATTTTGTCTTTTCATGAATGTCTTATAAATAGAACCAATCAGTATATAGCCTTTCTATTCTGACGTCTCTAACTTAGCAATACCCATTTAAGATTAACCCATGTTGTTGAGTGGATCAATAGTGCATTCTTTTAAAAATAACGTGTCTATTGAAGTACAATTGACATACAGTAAACTGCATATATTTAAAATGTTCAATTCGATAAATTTTGATATAAATATACATACACAAGACCTTTACCATAATCAAGATAATAAACATATTATCTATCACTGTCAAAGTTTCTTTGTTCACCTTCGCAATTACTTCTCATGCCCTTGTCCACATTTCCCCTCCCTAAGCAACCACCTGGCTTTCTATCATTGCAGATAAGTTTATATTTTCTAGAATTCTATGTGTATGGATATACACTCCTTTTTGTCTGGCTTCTTCCTCTCAGCAAAATTATTTTGAGATTCAACCATAGTGTAGTATGCTTCACCAGTGAGCTCCTTTTTATTGCAGAGTAAATATTCCTTTGTATGAATCTAGCTCTGTTTATCCTTCACCTGTTGACGGACATTGTTTACAGTTTTTGGCTACAACAACTAAAGTGACCAGGATCATTCACACACTAGTCTTTTGCATGGATATATGCTTTTGTTTCTCTTGGGCAAATACCTAGAAGTGGAATGGTTGGCTCATATGGTAGGTGTATGCTCACCTTTTTAAGTGACTGCCAGACTCTTGCAGTAGTTACCCTATTTTACATTCCTATCAGCAATGCATGAAAGTTCTAATTTCTCCATGTTGTTGCCAACACTTGATATGGTCAATGCTTTTAAATTTTAGCCATTCTAATGGTTATATAATGGTAGTTCACTGTGTGTAATTTGAGTTTACCTAATGACTAATGATATTGAGCATCTTTTCAGGGATTTACTTGCCTGTTTGAATCTTATGTTTATGTTTTTAAAAATTTGTTTTCTTCTTACTGAATTTTGAGATGTCTAATATTTCGAATGCAAGTCTGTTATCAGATATATGACCTGGAAATATTTTCTCCTAGTCTGTCTGTGGCTTGTCTTTTTATTTTCTTAACAGTATCTTTTAAAAAGCAAAAGTTTTTAATTCTAATAAGATCTCATGTATCTGTTTCTTTTTTAAATGAATCATGCTTTTGGTGTTGTATGGAAAAAATCTTTGTCTAACTCAAGATTACAAAGGTTTTCTTCTGAATGTTTTATGGTTTTAGGTTTTACATTGAGGTCTCTGAGTTAATTTTTGGATGATTTTGAGTTAATTTTCTTTATGGTACAAGGTGTGGATTGAAGTTTATTTACTATGCTGAAAAGACCATCTTTCTCCACTGAATTGCATTTTCACTTTTGTCAAAAATCAGATTTCCATCTATGTGTAGGTTTATTTCAGGTTTCTCTATTTGTTTTTGGCCTTATTGTTTATCTTTACACCTGTACCACACTGTCTTGATTACTGTAGTTTTATAAGAATTCCTAAAATCAGGTAGCGTTAGTCTTCGAGTTTGTTCTTCTTCTGCAAAATTATTTTGCCTATTTCAGGTCTTTTGAATTTCCATATGAATTTTAGAATTAGTTTATCAATTTCTGCAAAAACACTTTTTGGAATTTTTTATTCAGGTTTCTTTGGATCTATAGATAATTTACAGGCAGAACTTGCGTCTTAACAATATTGATTCCTCAACCAATTAATGAACCTGTACATCTCTCATTCATTTAGGTTCTCTATTTTCTTAGAAAAGTTTTCTAGTTGCCACTAGTCTTTCACATCTTTGTTGGACTAATCTCTAAGTATTTCATAGTTTTGATGCTACTATAAATTATACTTTTGGTTATAATTTCGGTTTCTGATTGTTTGTTGCTGTTATATAGAAATACAATTTTTTTTTACATTGGTCTTGTATTTTGTAGTCTTGCTAAATTCTCTTATTAGTTCTAGTAGTTTTTTTTTTTTCAATTCCATCAAATTATCTACTTTGACAATTGTGTCATCTGAAAATAAAGGCAGTTTTATGTCTTCCTCTCTGAACTGGATGCCTTGAATTTCTTGTACTTGTCTCGTTGCACTGGTTAGAATCTTTAGTATGATGTCGACAAGAAATATTAAGAAAGAACGTCCTTGTTTTGTTTCTGATTTCAAAGGGCTAGTCATTCAGTTTTTCACTATTAAATATATTAGCTGTAAGGTTTTGGTTATTTTAAATGTCTTATATTAGATTGAGAAGGATTCTTTCTGTTTCTAGTTTGCTGAGAGTTTTTTTTTAATGAGGAGTAGACTTTGTCAAAAACTTTTTCTATGTCTATTGAAAAGACGAATGAGCAAAAAACATTCACCTACAATTCTACACCTAGCAAACATTTCTTTGAAAAATAGTGGTAGAATAAAAATGTGTTCAGGCATATAAGTGCTGGAATAATTTATTTTCAGCAGATCTGCATTGTAAGAAAAATGAGAAGAATTCCTTCAGGAAGAAGAAAAATGATACCAGATGGATATGTGGATCCACATAAAGGAACGAAGAGCACAGGAAATAGTAACTATACTGGTAAATATGTATTTTCTTACTATTTAAAACTGTATAAAAGATAATTATTTCAATAAAAGAACAACCATGTAGCATGGGGTTAATCATTGGTTGAGGAATCAATATTGTTAAGATGCAAGTTCTGCCTCTGAATTATCTACAGACCCAATACATGTATAAAAGTAGCATGTATTTCTATATAACAGCAACAATCAGAAATTATAACCAAAAGTACAATTTATAGTAGCATCGAAACTATGAAATACTTAGAGATTAGTTCAACGAAGATGTGAAAGACTGGTGAAGACTAGAAAACTTTTCTAAGAAAGTAGAAAGAGAACCTAAATGAATGAGAGATGTACATGTTCATTAATTGGTTGAGGAGTCAATATTGATAAGATGCAAGTTCTGCCTGTAAATTGTCTATAGATCCACTACATATATAAACGTAGCATGTATGAAAACAATAGCACAAAAATTGGCAGGAAGAAATGTAAGTATATTTTTGGAAGGTTCTTATACTGTACATAAAGTGGTACAATGTAGCACCCCATTTTTACAGCTAGATTGTGGTAAGTTAAAACGGTATTAATATAACATAAACTTTAAAACAATCACTAAAATAACAAAGAAAACCAATAAGCAACCAATGTTGTTAAAATGAATTCATAAAAAGATATTCAACTAATCCAAAACAAGGCAGGAGAAGAGTTTTTCTGCAGAAAAAGAAAATACGGACACATAGAAAATAAATAGTAAGGTGACAGATTAAAACCCACCGACATCAATAACATGTTAAATGTAAATAGTCCTGCTTGAGTACCAGTCACTGTTTCTTCTAATCCTTTCAGGTGGGTCTTTCCTCAGCCTCAGGTGGTTTCTTCACAGGCATTTGTTGATGATTGCTCACCTGAATACTACACAAGAATCTTCTGCAGATCTCTGCATTTCCGTCTCTTTGTAGCTGTCTTTTCTACTCTACTCTGTCTTGGGAATTCTAGCTGTCTTGGTTTGCCTGAATTCTCAGCTCTGTGTCTTCAACTCAGGGAGTCCACTGGACTCTAACTGAGTTCCTTCGCTCTGTGTCGTTGCTTGGAAACTCTCAAGGAAAAAAGTTGTGTTGATCGTAAGGCTTACCTTATTTCTCCCTTGTCTTATAGAGATCATTGTTCTTCCTTATTTGGTGTCCAGTGTTTTGCAAACTGTTGTTTTCATATATTGTTTTCATTTGTTTGTTTGTTTCATGTGGAAGGGCAAATTCAGTCTCTGTTACTCCACCTTGCTCGGATGTAAAAATCAATTTAATATTTTTTATTGTTGAGAGTATTCTATTGTATAGATGTACCACTGTTTGTTTATCCACTTACATATTCAAGGTCTAGGTTGTTTCCAGTTTTTTGCATTTATGAATGTATCTTCTATCCACAATTGTGTACAGCTTTCTGTGGGAACATACATTTCCAATTCACTTGGATTGATATCTAGGGCACTTGGATTGATATCTAGGGGTAATATGGCTTGCTCGTTTAGTAAGGTTATATTTAATTTTATAGGAAACTGCCAAATTGTTTATCAGAGTGGCTGTACTGTTTGGCGTTCCTGCCAGATAGCTAAGTGGGTTCCAGTTGCTTTGCAATTTTGCCAGCACTTGCCATTATAAGTTATTTGTTTACCTACTTATTCATTTTGAGTCATTTTAATAGATGAGTAGTGCTATCTCATTGTGGCTTTAATTTGCACTTCCTTAATGATAAATAACATTGAACATCTTTTAGTACACTTGTCATCTGTATATCTTCTGTGATAAAATGTCTGTTCAGAACTTTCACCCATTACAAAATATTGGGTGGTCTGTTTTCTTGTTCTTGAGTTTTGAATGTTCTTAATATATTATGAATACGTCCTTCATTAGATTTTATTTGCAGATAATTTCTCCAGTTTATGACTTGTCTTATGTTTCATTTTTAAATCTCTTTAAGAAGGATTTAATTTGTTGAAAAGACTGAGTTAGAAATGCAACTTTATCAATGTCCCCATACCATTTATTGACTAATAGGGAAAATAATTTTAAGTACACCAATTTTTACCCCCATTTAAAGTCACTTATATTGGTGTTCCTGAGCATAATTTTAGAGTGAATTTATTTTAGCAACAAAGATTTATGTTCTTGTTTGGGTTTCCCACTAGTTACATGATTTTAAATATGTCATTAGTTCTCCCGGCTCGATTTCCTCAGCAGCAAATGTTCAACTTTGAATATAAACTTGTCAAAGTTACTACATGGACTGCAGTAACACTTTCTGTTAACAACTTTGCTCTGAAGTTGTAGCTTTTTTTACATCTTCATAATAACATAATAGTACATTTAGTTCACAGTAATATTCATATATATTTTTTGATTGATACTATTCAAATAGTTTTAGGACTAGAAAATGTATACACAGATAAAAAGGGGAAGATGGTGCAAAGAGAAAGAGATTTTACATTTTAGCAAGAATAAACATCTACAATTTATTTTTAAAATCTCACTTAAACAAAATACGTTGGCCCAGCGAGGTGGCTCATGCCTGTGCTCAGCACTTTGGAAGGCCAAGGCGGGAGGATCGCTTGAAGCCAAGAGTTCAAGACCAGCCTGGGAAATAAAGTGAGACCCTATCTTCACAAAACATTAAAAAAAAAAAAAAAAAGCTGGGCATGGTAGTGCATGCCTATGGTCAGGAGGCTAAGGCAGGAGAATTGTCGAGCCTAGGAGTTCAAGACTGAAGTAAGCTATGATCACACCACTGCACTCAGCTTGACAACACAATGAGACCGCATCTCTACCACCATTTAAAAAAATTAATTTACTGACATAGGTAATAAATTACTTCAGATATAGTATACATAACATTTAGGGGGCATTGGAGTAATCAATCACCTATCAGTCATCTAATGATTATATTAGATGACCTCAACTTAGTCATTATTAATCATTATTAAGTTGAGGTATAGAGTTAAAATATAATTTTGAGGCAAAATTTAATCCTAGTGTCTTTAATCCCACCATTTCATTATAAAAAGTTTCCAACGTACATAAAGTTGCAAGAATTATACAACAAGGCTGGGTGTGGTAGCTCACACCTGTAATCTCAGCACTTTGGGAGGCTGAGGCAGGAGGATCACTTGAGCCCAGGAGTCTGAGACCGGTTTGGGCAGCATAGTGACACCCTGTCTCTAAAATAAAATGAAATAAAACAAAATAAAATAAATTAGTCGGGTGTGGTGGCGCATGCCTGTAGTCCCAGCTACTTGGGAGGCTGAAGTGACCTAGGCTTGATCCCAGGAGGTCAAGGCTGCAGTGAGCCACCTTGGTACCACTACACTCCAGCCTGAGAAACAGAGTGAGTCTCAAAATGAATAAATAAATAAATAAAAGCAACAACAACAACAAATATCCATGTACCTGCCTACTTAGATTCTACTACTAGCATCTTACTAGATTTCCTGATTCATCCATATATCCATCCTGTTACTCATCTATCAATCCACTTTATTTTCTGATGCATTTCAAAGGTAGTAAATTTTTAAAATTTGTTTCTTATCATGAGGAAACCTTTTGGTTATACAAGTAAAAATTGTGAGATAATTGTTTCTAACATATATTGGCCCATGCTTGCCCACCCCCGCCTCCCCCACTCAAAAACAACGACAACAAAAAAAAACCCATCACCATGTTAAATCCTACTAAGGTTCCCAAACTTGAGGCACCTTGCAAACCAACAAAAAGATTCCTGGGCCCAGCTCTGGATATGTTGAATCCAGATACAGGGTGGCACCCTAGTATCTGAATCCCCTCACGCCCCTCCTCCCTCCATCTCCACAAGTGGGTGAAGCACTAACTAAAGCTTTAGCTCAGACTCACCTTGAGAGAGTCTAGTAGAAAGAGCAGATGTGAAGAGGGGCCATAACATGCCTTAATTATGCAAGTCTGGGAAGGCCAAGAGAGAATGATATTCTAGAAGAAGTCAAATTTGATGAGGGTAAGATGTGCTCAGACAGGGCTGAAATTAGACTGGCGCTCTGAAATAGCCCTTTGCGAAGCTAGATGTCTGAAAGAATCATTTGAACGAACTTAAAAAGAAAAAGATGCTTGAGTCTTAACAAAGAGCTTCTGATTCGAAAGCTCTGGATGGGGGCCCGGTGTCTGTATTTTTAACAAACGATGCAGGCATTCCCGATGCCACTGGTCTCTAGCCAGTATTTATGAATTTCTCCAGAAATAAAGAAGCGGGGGGGGGCTACAAAAGAGCTAGCTGAGACTTGATGGCTTTTTAGTACAAGTTAAGTAATACTTTAGTATGAGTTAAGTAATACTAGTGTGTGTGAGGCAGAGGCTGGGTCCGCCAGCTTGAGTCTCAGCTGTGTCTATTGCCAGAATTTACATGTCTGCATTACCAGTAGGACTGGCCACCAGAAGTTGATAGCCATAAAGTGCCATGGAGAAAAACTTGGCCCAGTGCCAAGCCCATGTGCAGTGGAAGGGAGAGAGGAATCTGAGTTCCAGGCAGTGCTTTGCACTCAGATTTGTATCCTGATCCTGGCTGCTATCTGGGAACCAACAAGGACGATGTGTCTGAGCAAAAATCTAAAGAATTTTTGGCCAATAACAGTAAGATATGGAAACACAGGCAGCATTTTTTTGTTGTTCATAAGAAAGAGTGAGGTACAAAAGGAACAAAAGAAGGGAGAATTTTACAGGGAGCTTTGGTGCCCTATGGACCCCAGAAAACAGCATTCCCTGTCCTTCTGCATTCGTTGGAGAACATAGTGAGGGATGGCAATTCCTAGCAGAAGCCAGTGGCAAGGCTCAGAGGGGACCTTCATGCCTCAGGACATCATTGGTGTCAAAATATCAGAGCAAGAGAATGTTAACCACTAACCAAAGCAAAGCCAGAGGTGACACTGTTCTCCTTGGGAGCATACTGAAATTATCAATGGTTGGAGGTGATTTTCAGGGGACACACGTCTGCAGTTAGTGGCAAAGTTTGGGCAAGAGGCAGCAAAATATGACTTATATGGGTGCTGACTTTAAATAACAAATGCTTGTTAGGGGAAGCTAAGAACTTGTAAAGAAGGCCAAAAGAAATTAAGGCCTAAGGAAACGAATGAGGCAGCATATTAAGAGAGGGAGGAACAGATGCTTCGTAAATGCATCTTTGTCCTAATAGATATTACTTGGTTTATCTTTCTCTAATTAAAAGTTACTTCATTAATTCAAACTTAATAGGAATTAGTTATTTCGACTGCAGGCAGCCCAGGTTTCCTGATGCCTGTGACGGTCTGTGCTTCCAATTCTTTCCTCATTCTCTGACCTTGCTTTATGAATTCCTTTTCAATGGCCTTTTCTGGCTCCTTCTACTCTGATACCTTACAAGAACCTTCTTTCTTTCTTTTTCTCTGTCATACAAGAGAAGTGAATTGTCTGAAGTGGGATTTCAGGGTTGAATGGGAACTTTAATGTGGGTGTGTGTCCTATTGAGCCACCTCCCAGCTCCATGCTTGAAAACCCTCCATGTAGGTGGCTGCTTGTCCCTCTGAGCCCAGAGGGAGCTGATGCAGGTGACATTACTCTTCCCAACAAAAGCCTTTGCTCCTCACTCTGACAAGAGGCATAACGAACATCTTTTGCAAAGTTTCTGATGCGCTTCAGTTTTCCTCCGGAGATGCCGAAGGAATATTATGGCATACTGAAGAGCAAACTCTAGAATGCTGGGAATGAAGATTGTCATATTTGGAACTTGGTAAAATTGGAACTTGGCTAAAAACGTTTTCTCTCTGGTATGTGTGCCCAGGGCACACACAGGTGGTTAGGAAGAGGTTTGTATCCCTGTCATATTTTAGTCTAACAGGTGATCTCTCTGAGAAGCTATGGAGTTATGATAAGGGGAGGGGTTGTGAGGAAAACACTAAAAAGATGTTTAGGCTCAACTGAAAGCTTAATGTAGGAAGAGTTCTTGCAACATCAGAATGTAAATAATTTACTTTACTCATTCTTTCAGCAGGGTGAAGGGAGGGAAGATTAATGGGCAGTTTAAAAGAAAGTCCAGTTAAAACCTTTGCTGCCCTGATGTCATGGATGCAAGAGCCAGTTTAATCTAAACAAAAGGGGCAACTCACCCATTTGGGCAGGGCTGGGAGACCACACAGTGGCTGAGAATTGACCATCAGCAGGGTCCCGCTCTTTATAGACCATTTGTTTCCATTTGTAGTGAAAAAGGAGATGCTCTTGTAGAGGTTAAGTCACCCAGTTATTTGTTATAAACTTTCAGAAAGGAATGGTTTTGAAACAAGTCTTAAGTGTTTCAGTGACAAATATTTAATGTCACCCCTGAGATTTATGGCTCTTCTGTTCGCCCTTTGAAAGCTTTTAGTTCAGTGGCAAAGGTTACCAGGGGCTTGCCCAGCAGAAAAGAGGTCTTTTCTGTTGTTGTTTTATCATCTTAGCACTGGCTGGAGAGTATTCCAAAGTTTCAGTAATGACTAATCACCCTTTCTGCTCACATCGTCATCTGTCCTACGACTGTGATTGTCCTCGGAGACTAATCTAAGGCATGTAAGTGCTCCTGGCATCTGGTCTCTCTGCTTTCACACCTCCACAGCTGTGATACAGGGCGGGAGGGCTGATCCCAGGCCATCCCAAACCACAGCACTGCAGAGCAGGGAGGCCCTGGGTGTTATGTACCTGCTGTTCCTCACTGATGCCCTGTCTGGAGCACCTGTTGTGTTGGGATACTTATACTAGAATAATCCAAATGGTGAGGCCTCATCACTTTTTGGCCAAGGTAGAACTTACTTCCTTTTAATGTCTAAATTTTGATGGTGAACACCCCTGCTGGCTTAATTATGGGAAATTAGGCCTCCTGAAAGTGTGCCTAACATGTTTCTGAAGAGGATGCTGGATACCACATCATGCTGCCACATTGATATTAATAGACCTGCTAGAGCTCACCAGTGTGGGGCATAGTGACCAGCTGCTAGTGACCACGCTGCCTCCACCTGGCTTTGGGGCGATGGGTCAGGGGGTGAGATGGGGGGTAAGTCTTCCCTCCTAATGATACAAAGACAGAACCATAACTCTGATAGAGCCTTTACCAAAAGGCTGATTATGACTTCTCATATCTCTCTCCATCTGTCCAGCCCAATTCTGAGATTCTTTATCAGGCTTCCTTCTTGCTCCATGTAATAAAAGCAACAGCTGACATTTATCGTGTGCTTATTATGTGCCAGGCAGTATTCTAAGCATTTTGTGTGTATTATTCTGTTAATCCTCATAAAACTCTTTGTGCTATTATGATCCTCATTTTTTAGATGAGGACACTAAGGCACTGAGAGCTTCAGCGACTGGTCAAGGGCACACACTAGCAAGTACGGAGTGGCATCCGATGCCAGGCTGCCAGACTCCAGAGTCTTCTTTTTTCTTTTCTTTTCTTTTTTTTTTTTTGAGACTGAGTCTTGCTCTGTCGCCCAGGCTGGAGTGCAGTGGCGTGATTTCGGCTCACTGCAAGGTCCGCCTCCCGGGTTCACGCCATTCTCCTTCCTCAGCCTCCTGAGTAGCTGGGACTACAGGCGCCCGCCACCACACCCGGGTAATTTTTTGTATTTTTAGTAGAGACGGGGTTTCACCGTGTTAGCCAAGATGGTCTAGATCTCCTGACCTTGTGATCCACTCGCCTTGGCCTCCCAAAGTGCTGGGATTACAGGCGTGAGCCACCACGCCTGTCTGACACCAGGGTCTCTTAACCACCATACTCTCTACTCTTTTCTTCCTCACTGGGAAGCTCTGTGCAATTCTCTGCCTTAAAATTCAGGCTCAATTGCTGGAAGGCCCCCAAAGGGAGAAGGAAGCTTCCCTCTAAGCCAGTTTAAGGCTCATCCACCAAGTCTTCCTTTTCTATCCCAGGACTGATCTCTTTTAAATGACTGACAGCTCATTTCCTTTAGAAGAGACTCCACTTCTGCCTACAGAGGGGTGGCCTTACCTTTTTATTCTCTCCAAGATATCACTCTCACAAAGAATGCCATGGAATAATATATTTGCCAAGGTCTGGGCTGTTCAATCAGGATGCAAAATAGCCATTTTTGTTTCTTTAAAGGAGAAAAACAGGATCACAGCTGTATATTGCTGTGCTGCCTTCTCCTGGTTGTCTTTGAACTCCTAAGTAAACAAGAACATACAGGACTCTGCAATAGCTCGCAGTCACAGGGAGATACAGGGGATTCTAAATTCCTATGCAAGAAAGAAACTTTTCTTTAAATCAGTGAGTGTGGATACTGGAAATGAAAGCTTCTAGAAATAACACATACCAAGGCCTATGTATTTTAAAAAATGAAATCTCTGGCCAGGCACAGTGGCTCACGCCTGTAATCCCAGCATTTTGGGAGGCCAAGGCAGGCGGATCATGAGGTCAAGAGATTGAGACCATCCTGGCCAACATGGTGAAACCCCGTCTCTACTAAAAATACAAAAAATTAGCTGGGTCTGGTGGTGCGTGCCCGTATTCCGTTATTCGGGGGGCTGAGGCAGGAGAATCGCTTGAACCCAGGAGGCAGAGGTTGCAGTGAGCTGAGATCGCACCACTGCACTCCAGCCTGGTGACAGAGCGAGACTCTGTATCAAAAAAAAAAAGAAAGAAAGAAATCTCTATAGGTGATTCTAATATGCCATCCTGGTTGCAAGCCATGAGGTCAGGAAATTCATAGCAAGATATAGACCTGCTAAAAGATATACTTTATTTTACCAAACAGAACATCTGATTAGAGATGGAAACATACAGTCTAGTGAGTTTGTAAGCACTTGGGTCTTGTACAACCACAATGTCTGTGTGTGTGTGTGTGTTTGTGTGACATGTGATGTATTTGCTTTGCATTTGCTAACTCAAACGACCTGTCCAAGTAGTAATCCTGCCAACTCTTAGGTGGCATGAAATTCTCCTAACGTTTTTATACTTTAATAAAAGGTTTCAACTTTCATTTAAATGAACAAAGAGAAGACGAAGTAAATCTGAAGAAATTTTCACTGCACTAAACATCAGATCTCAATTTTTTTTTTTTGAATTTTAGGCAAAAAGATTTAGAAACCATAAAGAGAGAGAAATAGGAATAGTTTATTTTCTTCTCCCACAGTGGCTTAAGAGTGGCATATTATTGAGTTTTTTACTTGCTCTTATACTTGAGAATGAACTTGGCTAGATATATTCTTGTTTTATACTTTATTTCCCTCGTAACTTTTAAAGTATCACTCCACAGTCAATAACTCATGCTGAATTTTTTGTGGTAAAATCTTAAGCCAGCCTGACTTTTTCTCCTGCACTGAACTATAATTTTTTTTTTTTTTTGTCAGGAGGGATAAAAATTCTGTCTTTATCCTTGAAGTTAAATCATTTAATGAGGTTATGTGTTGATGCCAATAATTTTCTGTCACTTATTATTTCCCATATATGTTGTATGAATTTAATCTGTAGATTCTGTTTTTTCCATTTCATGGAAATTTTTCAATGCTGTATCTCTAAATATTTTTTTCCCAGTTTTTGGTCCTTAATGACAGGAGCCCCAGTTAGCTTTCAGTTGGATCTTCTTGGTCTTCTACATGAATCATCCACTCTGCGATTGCTTTAATTTGTCTTTCTCATTCATTGAGAATACCTGAAGCCCTTCTCTGTGTCATTAATTTAATATTTAAAACTATCTACTATATTTCTTGCTCTTTCTAAAATGTCATTAGGGTCAGGTTCTCTATTCTGTTCCATTGGTCTATGTGTCTGTTCTTGTACCAGTACCATGCTGTTTTGGTTACTGTAGCCCTGTAGTATAGTTTGAAGTTGGGTAGTGTGATGCTTCCAGCTTTGTTCTTTTTGCTTAGGATTGCCTTAGCTATTCAGGCTCTTTTTTGGTTCCATATGAATTTTAAAATAGTTTTTTTCTAGTTCTGTGAAGAATGTTAATTATAGTTTAATAAGAATAGCATTGAATCTATACATTGCTTTGAGCAAGTATGGCAATTTTAATGATATCGATTCTTCCTCTCCATGAGCATGGAATGTTTTTCCTTTTGTTTGTGTCATCTCTGATTTCTTTGAGCAGTGTTGTGTAGTTCTTCTTGTAGAAATCTTTCACCTCCCTAGTTTGCTGTATTCCTGGGTATTTTATTCTTTTTGTGGTCCTTGTGAATGAGGATTCATTCAAGATTTGGCTCTTGGCTTGACTGTTGTTGGTATATAGGAATGCTAGTGATTTTTGTACATTGATTTTGTATCCTGAGACTTTGCTGAAGTTGCTTATCAGCTTAAGAAGCTTTTGGTCTGAGGTGATGGGGTTTTCTAGATGTAGGATCATGTTATCTCCAAACAGGTATAGTTTGACTTCCTCTCTTCCTATTTGAATGCCCGTTATTTCCTTCTCTTGCCTGATTGCCCCGGCCAGAACTTCCAATCCTATGTTGAATAGGAGTGGTGAGAGAGGGCATCCTTGTCTCGTGCTGGTTTTCAAGGGGGGAATGCATCCAGCTTTTACCCATTCAGTATGATGTTGTTTGTGGTTCTTATTATTTTGAGGTGTGTTCCTTCAATATCTAGTTTATTGAGAGTTTTTAACATGAAGGTTGTTGAATTTTGTAGAAAGCCTGTTTTGCATCTTTTGAGATAATCATGTGTTTTTTGTCTTTAGTTTTGTTTATGTGATGAATCACATTTGTTGATTTGCATGTGTTGAACCAACCTTGCATCCCAGGATGAAGCCTACTTGATCATGATAAATAAGCTTTTATGTGTTGCTGGATTTGGTTTCCAGTATTTTGTTGAGGATTTTTGCATTGATATTTATAAAGGGTACTGGCCTGAAGTTTCCTTTTTCTGTTGTATCTCTGCCAGGTTTTGGTATCAGGATGATGCTGGCCTCATAGAATGAGTTAGGGAGGAGTCTCTCCTTTTCAATTTTTGGATATAGTTTCAGTAGGAGTGATACGACCTCTTCTTTATACATCTGGTAGAATTCAGCTGTGAATTTGTCTGGTCCTGGGCTTTTTTTTGTTAGTAGGCTATTTATTACTATCTCAATTTCAGAATTCATTATTTGTCTAGTCAGGGATTCAGTTTCTTCCTAGTTCAGTCTTGGGTGGGTGTGTATGTCCAGGAATTTATCAATTTCTTCCAGATTTTCTAGTTTATGTGCATAGAGGTGTTTATAATATTCTGTGATGTTTGTTTGTATTTCTGTAGAGTTAGTAGTAATATCCCCCTTATTGCTGATTGTGTTTATTTGAATCTTCTCTCTTTTCTTCTTTATTAGTCTAGCTAACCGTCTATTTTATTAATTTTTTCAAAAAACAAGCTCCTGCATTTGTTGATCTTTTGAATAGATTTTCGTGTCTCTAACTCTTTCAGTTCAGCTCTGATTTTGGTTATTTCTTGTCTTCTGCTAGCTTTGGGATTTGTCTGTTCTTGGTTCTCTGGTTCTTTTATTTAATAGTTGTCATGTTAGGTTGTTAACTTGAGACCTTTCTAACTTTTTGATGTGGACATTTAGTGCTATAAATGTCCCTCTTAGGCTAGATGCAGTGGCTCACACCTGTAATCCCAGCACTTTGGGAGGCCGAGGCAGGCAGATCATGAGGTCAAGAGATCGAGACCACCCTGGCCAACATGGTGAAACCCCATCTCTACTAAAAATAAAAAAATTAGCTGGGCATGGTGGCGGGCACCTGTAGTCCCAGCTACTTGGGAGGCTGAGGCAGGAGAATCACTTAAACCCAGGAGGCGGAGGTGGCAGTGAGTCGAGATCACGTCACTGCACTCCAGCCTGGTGACAGAGTGATACTCCATCTCAAAAAAAAAGACAAACAAAAAACAAAACAAAACAAAACAAAAACCCCAAAATTTCCCTGTTAATATTGCCTTAGCAGTGTCCCAGAGATTCTGGTACATTGTATATTTGTTCACATTAGTTTCAAAGAACTTCCTGATTCCTGTCTTAATTTCATTATTCAGTCAAAAGTCATTCAGGAACAGGTTTCTGAACCTGTTTTCATGTAATTCAGGAACAATTTTCATGTAATTATATGGTTTTGAGTGAATTTCTTAGTCTTGAGTTCTAATTTGATTGCACTGTGGTTCAAGAGATTGTTTGTTATCTGAGTTCTGTTGCATTTGGTGAAGAGTGTTTTACTTCTGATTATATGATAGATTTTAGAGTAAGTGCCGCGTGATGATGAGAAGAATGTCTATTATCTTGCTTTTGGGTGGAGAGTTCTGTAGATATCGCTCAGGTCCATTTGATCCAGAGCTGAGTTCAGGTCCTAGTATTTTTGTTAATTTTCTTTCTTTCTTTTTCTTTTTTTTCAGTCTTGCTCTGTCACCCAGGCTGGAGTGTGGTGGTGCGATCTTGGCTCACTGCTAGACTGGTTGGATCCAGGTGCTGAATTCAATTTACTCTTGATTTATCTTGTGTTTGTATTCAGAAGTGTGTTTCTCAGCTACTCAGTGTAAGAACTAATGTTTAAGCCAAGATGACTCTTCTGTTATTTGGAACACAAAGCAACTAGATTAACTTTTGCCAGGAGACTGACTACCAAACTCATATAAACACTGCACAGACAGCCCATGCCGGCCCCCCACAGACACTTGCTGTCACCTCCATGGTCTTTCTTGAGTTCTCTTAGACTAACATTCTGTAATTACTGCTGCCTTCCTTTCTTCCGAGGGCTGCACCCTCTAGCCCAGTACTCCTCACGCTGTCATGTACATTTGAATTACTGGGAATTTTACTGAAAAGCAGTTTCTTATTCAGCGGGTCTGGGGTGAGGCTTGAGATTTTACATTTATCACAAGCTTTCAGGTGATATTTGAGTAGCAAGGCTTTAGGCCACAACAAGAGTATAATTTTTATTCCAGCTTTTAAATAATTGGACCCTGTTAATGGCAGTGTATGGGAGACATAAGGTAAAGTGAGAAGAGTACTGGGTGAGGTCAAGATTCAATTTCCGATTCCCTGTTTACCAGTTGTGTGCTCTCAGCTTTAATTTTCATGTACTAAAAAACTGGGAAAATCAAATGTCAGAATGAATGTGTACATACTTTGCATAAGGCATTTAAATGAAAGGATTAAATAATCCTCTATGATTAACAAGAATGATTATCAATATTTCCCAGGTAACTTATTGTCATCAAAACAACAATATCAGTAGATATCTAAAAAGTTAGGATGAAAAGAGATAATTGCTGTAAAATGCCCATCACTGTGCCTAGAATGTACATAGAAATACATGTTAGCTATTCTTATTTTTTTTTTTTTTGAGACGTAGTCTCGCTCTGTTGCTAGGCTGGAGTGCAGTGGCATGATCTCGGCGCACTGCAACCTCTGCCTCCCTGGTTTAACCAATTCTCCTGCCTCAGCCTCCTGAGTAGCTGGGACTACAGGCACCTGCCACCACGCCCAGCTAATTTTTGTATTTTTAGTAGAGACAGGGTTTTACCATGTTGGCCAGGATGGTCTTGATCTCTTGACCTCGTGATCCGCCCGCCTTGGCCTCCCAAAGTGCTGGGATTACAGGTGTGAGTCACCGCGCCCGGCCAGCTATTCTTAATTTCATTCAATTTGGTAAGATTGGGCAAGGAGAAAGCTGTACTTTCCAATGGGTTTGCCAGCCTGTTCTTTCTATGCAGTCTCCATTTGATCTTGGGTGTTGTACATGTGTTCTCCTAATGATGGAACTATGTATTTAAAGAGACAAAGGCAGAATGAAGTCTGACCATCAACCTGAGAATGTTCATGTTTTTGCATCAGTGAGGGTACTTTAAGCTGCAGGGAACAAAACCTCCAAATTCAATTTGTTACAAGCAATGGGGAAAACTTATTATGTCACTTAACAAGAAAACCTGAAATAGGGCAGCTCTAAGGTTGGTTGATTGGGCAGCTGGGCAGGTTTTTCACCTCTCCCATTTTCCATTTTGGAGTAATGGCTCCTCTCATGGTCTCAGAATGGCTTCAGCAGTTCCAAGTATGGCATCCAGACAAGACGATCTCTAGGAGAGAAAGAGAGTTCTCCCCTGTATCTCTCTATTTCCAATAGAGGAAATAGCTCCCAGAAAATCCCAAAAGACTTGCTCTCTTATCTTAGCAAGATAAGCTTGTTAATCGGGGCTGGTTCATGTGCTCCTTCCTAAGCTGACCCCACTAGAATTGGCATTGGGATTGCCATGCTTCTCTGGATGGTCCATTCAGGAATTTTCTCTATATTTCATGGGAAAGGATTGAGACCAGAATACAGAGTTCAGAATGCAAGAAAGAATGGCTTTTGGACACTCAGTAGTGTAGATGGTGTTCTAAATATGAAGGGTACAGATGAAATCTTCCCAGGGGCAAACACCTTTGAATTTCCTACCCAGGATAGGATTCTCTTCCTGTTATAGCCATCTCAAATATGTTTCCATTGGCTTAAATTTTTAGTGGCAGGAAGCTTAATTATTTTGAGTATCTTTGACCTCTCCTTCTTGCTATTGACCCTTATTTGCACCCCCAGTTAAAAGTCGAAGGTGGCTTTAGCATCAAGAGTACCAAGCCTTTGTAAGGAGGTGTCACCCTCAGCTTCTGAGGTGGAGTGGACCCTGAGGCTTGTGCTGGGCATTGGCCAGGGTGAGAGCACATTTACAAAGCCTCAGCTGTGCCTGTTTCTCTGTGTGTCTCCTTATTTGACCCCTATGATTCAAGCTCGTATTGAATACCCTGACCTCCCTTTCACACTGCTTCCCCTAATGGTTTATCACCATTCTCTTAATAACTTTCACACCAACATTTCAACTGAAAGCTATTGAAAATGTGCCACTTTAAAAGACTGTGCTCACCTTGCTTGTCAGTACTATCAGCAAACATCCCCCACCCTCTTCAACCACCAAACACCACTGTCTCCCACTCTTTCAAATAAATGGAAAAACTTTAAGGTCTTGCAAGACCAGATTTAGGAGCCACTGAGAATATGACCCATTTATTTTGAACTCGCAGACAATCAATTGACCTTCCGTAGATACTAACGTTTAGATACGTCTGCAGCTAGAGAGATTTACATCCTGACCTTCCACTTGCTTCTAGAGTAGTTCACCTTTGCTCAACAACATTGGAAAATCCACACAACATTTATTTCTTGCTCTAACAACCTTCTTGGAGTCTTCAGAAATACTCTTTTATCTATTCCAAGATGGAGGAGGAATAACAATGGTTTTAACCTCACTGCAGAGCAATCTAACCTTTTAAAGTGGACGTTATTCAAAATGGAAGAATAAAAGCTCAGCTTCCTACTGACGGTGGATTATTTGTCATCATCATCGCTGTCATCAAAAAATGTTGCAAACAATCTTGTCATTTTAGGAAACCTCTGCTAAAAATGGTGTTTGCTTTATGCCTTTAAGTGTTTCTGTGTTTGGCTTTTTTGCATCATTGGCTCTGCCTGAAGAACTTGGCCCCGTTAAGATAAAGGGAGGAGAGGTGTCTCTGTGCTTAGCACGGGAACTTTGGCTGGCTGAGGTCTGTGGAAATGAGGAGAACATTACCAAGGTGCATGGCCTTGTTCAAGTGAAGCTCACTGCCAATCTGTGGTGTGCTGGGAGGCAAAGGCATCTCTGTGCTTCATGCTGCCTGCCTGGTGTCAGGGGATCTTCGAGGTCTCCATGGAAGCTTCCCAAGTCTGTCTTTCCTACAGTGTTAACTGTGTTTGAAGCCCCTGACAGGGCTGTTGCCATCTCCTCTAAGCAGGAGCTTCTCATCCCAATTTCCTGATGCCTGAGAGTAAAAGCCAGGTGTAATAATTTACTGGGAGGAGCGGTTTATCCATCCAATAGAACCTAAATCAGGCCTTACACTTAAACTTGAGTGCATACCCAAATTTCCTGGAGAGCTTCCTAAAAATACAGAATGGGAAAGCTAATCTCTGCTTTGATTCAGTAGGTTTGCACAGAGCTCTGAATCTGCATTTTATGCTTAAAACAGCAGAGGCGAATCTGAGATGGTGCTCAGAAAAATCTATTTGGGGAAAATCTTCTCTAAGCCATAGGCTTGAAAATCAGCAGTGTGGCTTCTCTGTGCTGGGTTTGTTGCACCCCTGAGCACCAATCCTCACTGGCCTTGCAAATTTATTGGCCCAGTTTACAGATGAGAAGAGTGAGGGGACCAGTGGTTAGGTCATTTGCTCACAGGCTCATTGCTGGCAGTGGCCTACTATTCCCTGGTGTGAGCTCAAGGCTACCTGATTCCAAAGCCTGTGCTCTTGAGTCTGGGCCATACCATGTCCCAGACAAATGCCTGGTTAGGCCCCAAACTAGCCTCTGAACATACAAAGATGAGTAAGACAGTCTTCCTTATTAGAACAGATTCTAGTGAGTTTTGAGGGATAGTTTTTCTCCCATTCCTTCCAGATGTGGAAAAGCAGTTTGTCCAGTGATGAGCAGAGCTGGGACTAGGAAGTAAGACCTCCTGGAGATTTTTCTCCTGTTTCAGGATGACAAATTAAGTGCGGCCGGGCTTGGTAGCTCATGCCTGTAATCCCAGCACTTTGGGAGGCCGAGGCGGGTGGATCATGAGGTGGGTGGATCACGAGGCCGGGAGTTTGAGACCAGCCTGACCAACATGGTGAAACCCTGTCTCTACTAATAATACAAAAATTAGCTGGGCGTGGTGGTGGTGTGCACCTGTAATCCCAGCTACTCAGGAGGCTGAGGCAGGAGAATTGCTTGAATCAGGGAGGTGGAGGTTGCAGTGAGCTGAGATTGTGCCACAGCACTCCAGCCTGGGTGACAGAGTGAGACTGTATCTCAAAAAAAAAAAAAAAAATTAAGTGCACTTGACAGTTTGGCTAATGAGCTACCTTGCTGCCTCTGAAGAACCTCCAAAAACAAGGGAATCCAAAATGGATTCCTAAATTCATGAAGAATTTGGATCATGCCCTATTCTATCCCATACCATGTATCTATTTTGATGATGCTAAAAGTTCTCAAGGCGTTCCTAATGCAAGGTATTGTGCGTTGAAATAAATAAGATGGTTGAGATGGAAACACTTTGAAATAAAAGCATCATAAAATGGGTTGTGGTAGGTGTTATTATCAAAGGTCCTATCTGATCTGCCTTACTAAAGTGGTGCTTCAACCTCACAAGGGCCATCGTGTTGCTGAACGTTCATCAGGCTAGCACTGCACCAGGGACTCTGCCTGTGTGGTCCCAGGTGTCTATACATTTATCCTCGCTGTTGTACAGAAGGGGGAACAGAGGCTCAGAAAGGACACTCATGGTGAGGATGAGGGTTGAGCCCAAGTCTGGAGCCTTCGTATTTAAACACCATCTACTGGGTTGCCTTTTGTTCATTCGTCATAATACATTCATTCTACAAATGGGAGCTAGATGCAGAGGATAGGGTCTTAGAGGTGAGGTAGCTCAACTTCATCCTGTTGTAGAAATGGGCTCTGTATCATCTCCTGAACACAGTGGTTGCCCTCTCTTCACACACTCTTAGGAGTGGGCATTCAACATTTCATAGGTAATCCTCAAAGTTCCCTTTTACTTAGAGGATTAAGCACAATCCACAAAGTTCCCTTTTACTTAGAGGATCAGGCACAGTCTCCCCAGGCATCCATATCTTGCCCCATTCAACCTCTAAATCTCTCTCCTACAACTCCTTGACAAACACCTTTGTCAACTACTGTCTGCTAAGCTGACCACATGCTTTTCCAATCTCTGCTACTGAGAGCAACTCCCACATGGGGTAGTTCCCTTTTTCTCTGTGTTTCTCTGAGTCTAGTCATCTTCAAGTCCGGTATGAAGACCTTGTCCTCAGCCCAAAGTGAGTTTTCCCAATTTCCCAGAGCACTGCTCCCCCACACTACTCATCTGGTTCCTAGTGTAAGCTGCTCCCTAGTGTTCACCCTTTTTGTTGTCTGTGGAACCATCCAATGAGATTGTGAAGCCCATGAAAGCAAGAGCTTCGTCCTATTCATCTTTATATTCTCAATGCCTTGTTTAAGTCATTTCCCCAGAATGATCTTTCAGTAAATATTTGTTGTAGGTAAAGATTACTCTCCCTAGTAGAAACTGCATCTTCTGTCCTGCATTAATTTCCATGTCAGTGGCTGCCTGGAACAGGGTTATCTGTCAGTGTTGTTTGATTGGCTGAATTTTTTTTTTAAGAGCTTATATGGTGATCATGCTGGAAGGAGAACTGAGTTTCACCTTTACTTCCATTTCCCACTTACATACTGGGACTGAGAAAATACTTATTGGAGCATTGTCTGTGATAGTGAATAACTCTAAACAGTCTAAAAGCCCATCATCATGGCATGGGTAAATACACTGTAGCACACTCGTAAAATGGAATACTATATAGCAATGAAAAAGCACCAGTGACAGCAGCATGAATGCACATGGATGAATCTCATAAAAATAACGTTAAGCAAAAGAGCAAGCTGAGAAGGATACACATGATGCAATGCCATCCATACAAAGTCAAGAAATGTCCAAAGCAATATTATATATTGTTCATGGGAAAATGCACGTTTAATACAATTTTAAAGCAACATGTACCAAAGTAGTGCTGTGGGAAAATGTATGAGTTTCCCGGGCCTGCCATAATAAAATACCACAGGCTGGGGGGCATAGGCAACAGAAATGCATTATCTCACAGTTCTGGAGGCTAAAAGTTCGAGATTAAGGTGTCAGCATGGTTGGTTTCTCCTGAGGCCTGTCTCTGTGGCTTGCAGATGGCTGTCTTCTCACTGTCCTCACACGGCCTTCTCTCTGTATGGGCATCCCTGGTGTCACTCAGGTGTCCTCATCTCTTCTTCCGATAAGGACACCAGTCAGACTGGTTCGCCATAGTGATTTTACTTTAACTTAATTACCTTTTTCTAAGGCTCTATCTACAAATACAGTCATATTCTGAGATACTGGGGACTGGAGCTTCAACATAGAAATTTTGAGGGCACACAATTTGGTCCGTAACAGCATACTCGGTGCCTCTGGAGGGCTGTGAGGAAGAATCTGTCCCTGGTCTCTCTTCTGGCTTCTGGTAGCCTGAGGGGTGCCTTGGCTTTAGATGGTGTTCTGTCTGCGTCTTCCCCTCATCTTCCCTCTGTGTGTGTCTCCCTGTGCGTCTGCACCCAAATTTCCCCGTTTTATAAGAACACCAATCATATTGGATTAGGACTCACCCCATCCCAATGACCTCATTTTAGTTTTGTTATTTTTATTTTTTGGCAGAGTCTCACTCTGTCACCCAGGCTGGAGTGCAATGACATGATCTCAGCTCACTGCAACCTCTGTGTCCCAGGTTCAAGCGATTCCCTTGCCTCAGCCTCCTGGTAGCTGGGATTACAGGCGCCTGCCACCATGCCCGGCTAATTTTTGTATTTTTAGTAGAAACGGGTTTTCACTATGTTGGCCGGGCTTGTCTTGAACTCCCGACCTCAGGTGATCCGCCTGCCTCAGCCTCCCAAAGTGCTGGGATTGCAGGCCCAATTAACTTATTTTAATTTGATAACTTCTATAGAGGCCCTGTCCCCCTATAACATGACATTCTGAGATACTGGGGGTTAGGACATCAACATATCTTTTTTTTTTTTTGAGAGACGCAATCTGACCCACAACAAAGTATGTAATTTTACAGGGTGAAGAATCGACTGCAAGGACTGGAGTTGTATGTGTCCTATTTTAGTTTTTAGGTGGACATTCCATAACAATAACAGTTACAGCAACAAACAAAAGAATTGAGCAGAACTGCCAGCCTGCTCCTGCAAAAGCCGTCAGAGACAGAGGAGGGAGAAGTCTTTTTCTGGTCCTACAGGTACAATTTTCCTCTCACAGCACAGTCCTAGGGAGGCTGTCACGATAAGGCCAGCTTGTTCCGCTGCTGGACAGTTTTAATCATTAGATATTTATTTATTTTTGAGACAGAGTCTTGCTCAGTCACCTGGGCTGGAGTGCAGTGGCGTGATCTCAGCACACAGCAACCTCCGCCTCCCAGGTTCAAGCGATGCTCCTGTGTCAGCCTCCCGAGTAGCTGGTACTACACATGCGTGCCACCATGCCAGACTAATTTTGTTGTATTTTTAATAGAGATGGGGTTTCACCGTGTTAGCCAGGATAGTATTGATCTCCTGACTTCGTGATTCGCCTGCGTTGGCCTCACAAAGTGCTAGGATTACAGGCGTGAGCCACCACGCCCGGCCTAGATATTTCTTAAAAGTTCCAGGCTTAAACCTTCACATTAACTTCCAGCTGTGGGTACTATGCTGATCTCTGTCTGAAGCCATGTAGACTATGCCTGTGGCCACTTTTACCTGGAACACTTTGATGTGTTTGAAGGCATGACTCGCCCTGTCTTCTCTCCTCCCTGTTTGGTGCCTGCTCCTTCTCCTTCTACTACCCCCATCTCCATTTCTCATTTCTTTAACTCCTCCTCATATAATAAGATGTTCTTGATTTGGGTGCACCTGGCAATGGACTAAACAGGGTATTGCTCTGTCCTCATTGAGCCTGTACTTTATTCAGCGATTGATGACTTAAGCAATTCTTTTTTTTTTTTTTAAACTGGGGTAAGTAGTTGAAAAAAAAATGATGATGCCAGGCTTGATGTGGGAGGCCAAGAAATTCCCTTCTTAGAGGAGCCCCAGGCAAAGGATAAGAATTTCCCAGATAAAGAGGAGCAACAGTTTTTCAAGGTGAGGAGGCAGCATGCGGCAAGGAAGGTAACTTGAGCATCTGAAGATGTGAACCAAGTCGCTGCGGCTTGAGGGTAGGGGGCCAGAAGAAGGGAGGCCTTTGTTGAGGCTGCTGAGGGGCTGATAGATTTTGTTGAAACTGTGGCTTTGATTTTCAGAGACAGTACGAAAAAGTGTTTAGTTGAGAAGCAACGTGGTCATATTTGCATTTTAGAAAAATCACCTTAGCTGCAGAGGTGAGGTAGGAGAGTGGGTGAGTGAAAATGAAATGAGAAGCCTATTGAGAGGCTATTCCGAAATGCAGCCCACGTGGGAAATAAAAGCAGTGTTGATCAGGGTGGTGATGGTGAAATGTTCAGAAGTGCATGGATTTGAAACATATTTAAGGTGTAAAGTAGAACAGGATAATTTATTAGAAGCAGAGAATGAAGGCAATACTATCCTTAGTTTGGGGCAAAAGAGATCCGACTCTGCGCCTTATATGTTATACCAGGGATTGGCAAACTCCAGCCCATGGGCCAAAGCTGGCCCCTGTCCTGATTTTTTCTTTAAATAAAGTTTTATTGAAACACAGCTGCAGTCATTCATTCTGTGGCTACTTCTTTGCTACAGTGGCCTTTCTGGCCTGGAAAGCCTAAAATATGTACAAAAAATTTTGCCAATTCCTGTTGTAGAGGACTACTCACTTCACAAACACTCACAAAAAATAAAGGTATTAATAAACAAATGCGTTGGAAGGACGAGGCAGGTGGATCAGGAGGTCAGGAGATCGAGACCATCCTGGCTAACATGGTGAAACCCCGTCTCTACTAAAAATACAAAAGATTAGTGGCGGGCGCCTGTAGTCCCAGCTACTAGGGGAGGCTGAGGCAGGAGAATGGCGTGAACCTGGGAGGCAGAGCTTGCAGTGAGCCGAGATCGAGCCACTGCACTCCAGCCTGGGCGACAGAGCGAGACTCCGTCTCAAAAAAAAAAAAAAAAGAAAAAAGAAAAATAAACAAATGGGTGTCTCTCAGCCCAGGCAAGTTACTTACCCATAACCTTAGACATCCACTTTCAAGACTAAGACTGCCCAGGTTCCAGGGAGACGCTTCTCTCCATCTCTTCAACCTGGCTCCTCTATACGAAAGTATCTAAATGTTGTGGAGACTTTGGCTTGTGCTGTTGCTAACACTGCTCTCCAGTGCAGGAAGGATCTGAGCAGAGCAAATGCCTCCATAAAAGAAAAGATGAATTAATGGACTTGTCAAAATCTTTATCTAGTCTATTACATGAGTGAAACGAAGTGCAATTTCTCAATGTGTTCAGTATCCCCCTTCATTGTTTTGCTTAGCGCTGGGATACTCCTAAGTTAGTGTGGTCTCTGGAGTGATTTTGCATGGCAGCTGAGGGATATTTTGCTACACTTTACAACTCATGCGACTCTGGTTTAGACCCAACATGAATGAAGTGTGACACTGATTCTTTACACAAACATAAAAGCTACACGTATGCATATGAGCGCCACACATATTCTTATTCTGGGCCCTGCAATGGTTAGCGTGGACCACAGCAAGGGAAGGGTCAAGGATGTCTCTTGGGTATCTGGTGTGATCACTTAAGCAGTGGAGGTGACAGCTAGTTTGGAAGATGTTTTGCAGAGATTTTGAGAATGCAGGTAGAAGAGATGGAGTCAGCATTTGGATATGGGCTACTCAGAGGGGAGGTCTGGGTGGGCTGAGGACATCAAGTGAGGGGTCGTTGGTAATTGGATGTGATCAAGCGCTCCTGAAAAGAAGAAGCTCCTGGTTAATTGTGCCACATAAGCTGAGGAATGGATTTAGCTACCTGGAAGTCATTAGTGACCTCAGCATGGTTCTCATGAGGTCAGAGGATGAAGATTTGGAAGCCATCTGTGTTGAGGTGGTTTGAAATATGCATGAGGCATGAGGAAGGCACACGGTGAATGTAGAGAGCAGGTTCAAGCCTTTTGAAGGGGATGAGGAAGTGGAGCAGTCCCTGGAGGAGGGAGTGGGACCAAGGGTAGATTTTTTATGTTTTATTTTTACTTTTAAAGATAAGAGGGACTTGAACATGTTTCAGTGCTGATAGGAAGGTTCCACCACAGAGAGGAAAGTTGATAAAGGAGAGAAAAGAATTTACAGAGCCACTCTAAGAGCAGATGATCCGTTTGTTTGCAGCTTCGACACACTGATGCACTCTTTGTTATGTCTCTGGTACTTCAAGTGGGCATAAAAAACAGCAAGATTGTTTTTGCTGGGAGAGATGGCAGCCTGGCAACAGGGAGTCCCTGAGGAAGCTGCCTCTGCGTCCTCACATTCCCCTGCCTCGCTGTCAGTATGGCTTATGGTCTTTTGGTTCAGGTGCATACAGAAGAGGCTCTTGTTACGTATCCCTCAGAAAATGAATTAAATTTAAAATAGATCTCATTTCAGATCCAGAGGCTGTAATGCTATCAGCCCACTAGGTAGAAATAGCTTGTTGCTCTCTTGGTTCACTGCAGTCTTAACAGCGGGATTGCATGCTTCACAAATGAGTGTATCCTGCATGGAAATCTGACACGCTCTCCATCACTGTTTCACCCAATTAAAAACATTGTACTCCACAAAGAAACAGCATTTAGGACACAGGGGTCTCCGAGTGGCAGAGTTTTCGGAAAAGCTGTTAGTGCAAAATGAAATTTAGAACCTTAGAGATGGCACCAAGCTGGGAAATTTACATACTATCAGGAAGCAGGACTAACTGTCTGGAATAATTGAAACTGCAATAATAACTTGAGTTGTCCTAGGGAGTAATGTTAGAAAATATAATAAACATTTTCCAAATCCAAGAGCTTTATTTGCCTTCTGTTTACTACACAGAGATGCTGTCACCTTCACAACCAAATATCTTTCTTGATATAGTTTAGACTCCCAAACACTGATTCCCATCATCATCAATGCCATTTGGAGCAATTATTGTGCTAAGCGCTTTATATATACATATATATATTATATAATATATAATATATATAAATTATATAAATATATATAAATAATTATATAAATATATAATATATATAAATTATATAAATATATACAAATAATTATATAAATATATAATATATATAAATTATATAAATATATATAAATAATTATATAGATATATAATATATATAAATTATATATAAATATATATATTTATTTATTTATTTTACCTTCATAACAATCTTGTGTGTCCTATTGTTATCTTCATTCAAAGGAGGAGGAAACAGGTTCAGAAGGTAAGTTGCTTGCCTAAACATCACACACTCTGTGTATGATTGGCAGAGTTTGGGTATAAACTCAGGCAGGATGACTCTGGAGCCCTCAGCTTTCCCTCCTTCATTCCTGTACGTAGAAATAAGAGATCTTACCTTTGGCCTTCAGGTAGCTTAAAATCTGATTGGAAGTATATGATGAGGGTACTCATAACTTTTCCATAGACAGAGTTTGTTAAGTATAATAAGGGGTGCTTTGGAGTTAAGGAGAGTGAGGAATTACTCCTGGGCATACAGAGGGGCATGCTATCAAGGTTGGTTCACCATCAATCGTTAGAGCTAATGGATTGGTGGAGTTGTGATTGATTGAGGTGGGAGTGAAGGATGGTTAAGGTGGGAGGAATAGTAAGGGCAAAGGCAGAGTTAGATTGGAGACAATGTCTAGGGAGCAATGGGTAGTCCTGTTTAACTGATGTGTGTGTGGAACAATAACAGCAAAGACTGCGTGGGTCAGAGCATGGGAATGCCTAAATGACAGTATGGCTATATTCTCTCCATGCATTCTGGAAATATTATAAAGGCTGGAGTTGAGTTGAATAAAGAGACAAGTGCACTAGGAAAGCTGATTGAGCTTCTGCCATCCAGGGAATATATATTTAACTCAGATGATATCACTAAGAAGTAAGTGTATTTTTTAAAAAAGTTTTGACTGTTTTCCTCCCATCACACAATCAGTCATTATATGCTGCTCTTTCTGTGTCTAGCACAGTGACTTTTAATTCTTGCTGAAATTAGAAACCACCTGGGGAGGGGATAAAACTCTTACTGCCCAGTTGGGATACCAGACCAATTAAATCAGAATCTCTGGGGTGGGAAATAAGCGTCAGTATTTTTTGAAGCTTCCTGTGTGATTCTCATACATAGCTGAGTCTGAGTACCACTATTTTATCAGATCCCTCACTTGCTAAGTGAGCTAATTAATTAATTACTGCTATAGGCATGGCCGGGCAACTAAAATGATAGTTGTGCTGGTAGCAGAAAAAGAAAGATCAGGAAGAAGAATTGACTTGGGAAAAGGTGAAATATTTTGAAATTGGCAGATCCAGTGTTTCTTGGTGGAGATTTGTGGGCTCTCCTTGTCTTTGCAGCCTCTTCTCTAGACTCTATTTCCCGAACATAGCAGGTGCAGTATAAATGTTTGAATCTAGAAGTCAGTGGGCATTTGGAACTAGGGTTTCACATGCTCTTGAGGGACGTCAGTGTTGCTGAGACTCAGATGTTTGAGTTATCTGCATATAGACAATAATGTAAGTCATGCAGATAGAAAACAGAGAAAAGATCTGATGACACAATATTGGGAAATATCAACATAAAGGGAAAAGGAAAAAGAACTAAGGAAGAGAGTTTAAGAAGGTGGAAAAGGATTCTAGAGAGTTAAGTATTTAATATATAAAATGTTACAGAAAGGTAAAAAAGAAAAAATAAAAAGGTGACGTCAAGGCGAAAAAATCTGAAGGCTTTGGTGCATATAGTGTAGAGCAAAGTATTTGTTAAAGCATACAAATAGTATTATTTATCATAGAAAAAATTACAAATTACAAAAAAACACTTATAATACCACCATTCAAATATAAGCACTTAAAATTTATAATTATTTTTCAAAAAATATAAATCTGTGTTTTTGTAAACAAAAATGGGACATCATATATATAAATATGAAATCAGTTTTTCATATAACAATATATCATAAAATTTTTCCATGTCAATGAATATACACAAATGGTAATTTAAAATGACTTCAAGTTATTCTGGTTGTAATAGAACTGCTATAATTTATTTGACCCATTCCTTATTGGTAGTTTTTAATTTTTTGAGATTTTAAAGTTTTGTTCATATGTGGTTGTACATATGTTTGATTATTTCCTTAGGTTAAATATCTAGGCATAAATTCCCTAGATTCAAGGATATGTACATGATATAATCTTTGCCTTCTAGAAAGCTTCTACCACTTCATACTTTTACTAGCAAAACATACAATTGGTTACTTTATCATATACTCAACAATACTGGATATATTCCTTCTTTATTTTTACCAACTTTTTGGGTAAAAAAATGATCGTTCAATGATATTTATTTGCTTTTCTTTGATTACTAATTATTCCAGTTGTTTTCTACTTAGCATATTTTGGTCTTCTGGGAATACTGTTCATTTGTTACCCAGAATGCTTTTTCCTTCACATGCATAGATTAGAGGAATGCCTGATTATTACCTCCTGCTGGTTCCCCTCCCTTGATTTCTGGAGTTCAAATTATATTATACCTCATTTTATCTTTCTGTGGACATTTAAAAGGAGATGTCTCAGGATGAGTTCCCTGTCTCAGGAGAGATGTCTCAGGATGAGTTCCCTGAGCAAAGATGCTAAGACAGAGTATGGTTTAGAGATGCTTTAGTGGTTTATCCCCCTCCTAAGGAAGAGAAGGAAGCAGGATTGTGGAGAAGAAAAAGGCAAATGCAATGCTGGTGGGACAAAGCTTTGCCAACCCTTCATGGAGGTCTGGAGCCAGTGTTGCCCAACACAGCTGACCCTCTTTGGGTCCGAAGGTCCTGGCCCTTCTGCTCTTACCTCACTGAGTCATTGGATGGGTAGAGTTGCCAGATATAGCAAGTTAAAATACAGAATGCCCAGTTCAACTTTTCAAATAAACAATGAATATTTTAAAAATAGGAGTATGTCTCAAATATTGCCTGTGGTGTACTTATCATAAAAAATTAAACTATCCATTGTTTATCTGGAAGCCAAATTGAACTGGGTGTTTTGTGCTTCATCTGGCCACCTTAGATGTGGGCTGCCTGAGAAAGCTGTGATCTTAGACAGGCGGCCCAGCTGCAGCAGGTTCTGAAAGAGCTGACAGCTGGGAGAGGCTGGTGGACCACATGCCCCATGTATGCACAGGAAGTCCTCTTTGGTGGCGGATCTGGGTGATTAATTTCCATGTTCAGGGGAGTTAAACACAGGATTCCAGTTCTGAGCTTGAACTGGACATTCCAAGGGAACAGCTTCAATTAATCAGGAGTTAATTCTATTATCTATGAACTCCTTGACTTTTCTCATTCTTGAGTTCTTTCATCAGAACCCTCTTGAAGTTCTTTTATCAAAACTCAAATTGAGAAAAGTCAAGGAGTTCATAGATAATAGAAGAGAGGAAGTAGTGAGTGAGTACATACTATTTTTAAAAATTGGCTTTGGGGAAAGCTTTTCTAAGGAAAACAGTAAAAATGCTAACAAAGAAAAAAGTAGGGAAACTTGTGATGTTTATAGCAGAAGCAGGATGGATTGAAGATACTGGGCTAAAAAGTAGAGTAACTGTTGAATCAAATTCCAAAAGGAAGCAACCAGTTTTGCCAAGAAGAAACAAGCCTTCTTCTGAAAAAAGCAGAGGAGGAAAATAAAAATCATGAAGTGGAGTGGAAGGGAATTGTGGGAACTTAATTTGTGTGAACTCTATTTTTTTAGGAAAAACAAAGGAAAGCAAGGACATCTACTAAGACTGAAAAATAAATGGTAGGGTTTGAGGCTTGGGAGACTTGCAAACATCTTCACCATGGTGAGCATAATTTGGAACACAGGATTTTGGAGACAGAGTTCAGCCTCAATATCTCCATCTTCTTCCTATGCCACTGAACTTGGATGACATATGACATGTAAGACATGGTTTCTCTTTTTAAGGAGTTTTTATTGTAGTTGGAGAGAGAATTTACACATGAAAAGAAATAACCATTTAGGAAATATATAAGCTCAATGCAATTTTGTGGTCTAGTCAAAATCCATGATAGTTCAGAAGGTCAAGGATTGCTATGAGCTGGAGAATCTGAGAATTCACCAACAAGGGGAAACTTTCGCTGGGTCTTGGGTAGGAGGCAGACAATGCAGACAAAGTGGGACAGGCACTCAAGGCAGGAACATTGTCCTTTTGAGAAATAGCAGTTTGGCTGGTGTCTTTTAGGTCGTATCTGTTCCTTGGATGAACTCTGTCACAATTGGCACCGTCCATTTCCTTCATGTGCTAAGCCTACAAGAGCCCTGAGTCATTGTGGTATCATTGGTTGGATTTTTACTGCAGTCTAGTGACTCTTGAATGAGAATTAGAAGACATGGGCCCCTATTCCTTCATTTTCATAAGAGTGGATGAGATTTAAACTGTTTCTGAAAACAGGACAATGGGAGGATCAGATGGCATGTGGGCTGTTGGCTGACAGTGCTCATTGGCTGCAACAATGGAACAGCATGAAAAGAAGTCTTCAAGAGGTCCCTGGACTGCCTGGAGACTTTGAGTGCACTGTTACGGAACTTGTTTTAACATTCATGAATACCAAATGAGAGCAAAGAAGTAATTTAACTTAATAAGCTGAGAAAGTTTTGCAAGACTCTTTGAGTACTTCCCAGTCTATGTGCTACCTTAACTGCCTACGAAAAGTAGAAGAGATTTGATGCTTTTCCTCTCTCTCTCTTTTTTTTGTTTTTTTGGTGGTGGGGTTGGGGGGTTAACTCATTACTAATTCTATTTTTGTTTTTTATAAGGAACTTAAGATAGATCTTGCCCTAATACTGCCAGACTAATCTTCCTTAATTACATCTTTTATTGCATTGTTTTCCTGCTTAAAAACCTTCAGTGGCTCCCTATCTCCCACTACAAATTCTTCTTGATTTACAAAATTGCCATAATCTCTCTCTTTTTTTCATATTCCAACTGTATGCTTTTCTAAGCTCTAAACATACCCAGTTCCCTTTACAAGCTGCCCTAAATAGAGGCGCTATTTTAACAGTGGAGAACATTCGCAAGGCATGTACACTTAATTATTATTTTGTCATGTTTTCACAAGGGACAACCTTATAACTTAGATTAGCTCTTATCTCAGTGATGTAACTGTGGTTATATTTTTATGATCTTGTGAATTCCCTCCTGCCTTCCCAGGGATATTTCTTATTGGCTCTCTTGCTTATCAGCTGGAATATTTTCCAATAAATGGGGCTTCGATTCTGGATATCCAGTAAAACTTCTGTTTTCAGTAGGAGATTTGATAAGCCTTTGCAAAAACTAAACAGCTTGTGTTTTGTCAACATCAATTCCCAGTTCAGATTAGAATCATTAGTGGCAGAGCAAGTGCTATTTGGCTGAGAAGGGATAATTAAAGCAGCAAACAGGGATCTGTGTAATTCTGCCCATGATTTGCATAGATAATGGAATGAAGACATGTCACAAGGACTTCTGAAATATATGACAACATGATTTCAAAGATACGTCCCTACCCCGCATTCAGACACCAAGTTAAATTACCAAAGGGTCATGAAGATTAGGAAAACACAGCATCTGCACTGAAAATGAAGAAAAGGTTCCATCAACATGTTACAAAGTCGGAAGAAGTTTTGAGACAGCACAGAAGAAGTGGCAAAAGATAACGTCATAATTTCTCTTATTTAGAAAATTCCTCCCCTCCCCTTTCCTCTCCTCTCCTCCATTAGAAAATGTGGGTATTGGCAGAGGTGAGCTGGTAAACTGGCTTTCTGGAAAACTAAAGCCCGAATTTGGGGCACTTACACTAAGTGGTGTAAATGCACCTGCCTTGGCCAATTTCAAGCTACCAGTGCAGAATTAGGACTGGCCACACAGATTCAACTTTTCAGAGCCTACCTTATTTGGCTCATCACACTGTTGAGTATTATGGGAAGTCTGTGTAAATGGGAGCTTGGAATAAGCCCCTAAACTGTTTATGTGGGTGTGAGGGTGTGTGGCAGGGATTGGAGGCCATGAAGAGTTGGATGTTGGCTCCATGGATCCCTTTAAATGCCAGGATCCATAGCTCCCAGGAGCATCAGTGCTGGGAGGTGCAGGGACAAGTCAACAGGAGAAAACAGCTAGGGTGGACCTATTTTTCTTTCTGAGACATTCTCTCAGCTACAAGGCTCTTTCTCTGTAAGGCAGGTAGGTGGAATGTGGAAAGACCAGGTAGAAGAAACAACTAGATCTAGAAAGATGGCCAAAGTATGAAGATGCTGTTACGGGTTAAATGCTTGTGCGCAACCCCTCAAATTCATATGTTGAAGCCCTAAACACCCATTGTGATGTTATTTGGAGGTGGGACCTTTGAGAGATAATTAGGCTTACATGAAGCCACAAGGGTGAGGCCTTCTCATGAGTCCTTATGAGAAGAGGAAGAGACACCAGCACTTCCTCTTTCTGCCATGTGAGAAACAGCAAGAAGGCTGCTGTCCATAAGCCAGCAAGAGGACCCTCCCCAAGAACCCAACCATGCTGGCTCCCTGGGCTTGTACTTCCAGCTTCCAGAATGGAGATAATAAATAAATGTTGTTGAAGGCACCCAGTCTATGATATTTCTGTTATAGCAGCCTAAGAAGACTAAGACGGACACTCATAAAATAGAAAGCACATAATACTGTGGCGAACATGTGCCCAGATTTACTGGTTATCACACTGAGAATACACATAGATTAAACTTCTGATTAGAAGACAGAATTCTCAGATTGGGTAACAAGGCAAATTTCAACTACATACTGTTTACAGGAAAGACAAAAAACAAAATGGCACAGAACAACTAAAAACAATGAGATGGGAAATGATATCTCGGAAAAATGCGACAAAAATAAACCCAGAGTTTAATACAAATATCACACAAAATGAAATTTAAGACTAAAAGCATTAAATGGAAACAAAAGTTTATTTGTTATTAATGAAAAATTCAAAACAAGAAAAATTAAGTCTGGACAGGAGTTCTAAAACTTTATGTAGCAAAAATATATAATATTGAGAAGTATAAAGCTTAGCTACTTAAAAGACGAGAAGCCGTTGATACAACCTTGATGTTATAACCTTAACAACATGTGACTTTCAGAATTTAGTCAATCAGACCAAAAAAGGCTGCTATATGCAAAAGAATAGAATAGTTAATTATTACATTTGAATTAGTAGTTATATATTTTTATAATTTATTATTTTTTTATTTTTTAAAAAATAACAAGATGATATATTTTTAAACCTAACAAAGCAATCACATTAAATATAAGTGGTATAAACCAGGGGTCAGCAAACTAAGCCCTATGGGCCAAATCTGGCCTGTAGCCTGATTTTGTATGGCCCTTGACTAAGAACGGTCTTTCCATTTTTTTTTTTTATACTTTAAGTTCTAGGGTACATGTGAACAACATGCAGGTTTGTTACATATGTATACATGTGCCATATTGGTGTGCTGCACCCATTAACTTATCATTTACATTAGGTATTTCTCCTAATGCTATCCCTTCCCACTCCTCCCACTCCACAACAGGCCCCGGTGTGTGCGATGTTCCCTTTCCTGTGTCCAAGTGTTCTCATTGTTCAGTTCCCACCTATGAGTGAGAACATACGGTGTTTGGTTTTCTGTCCTTGTGATGGTTTGCTCAGAATGACAGTTTCCAGCTTCATCCATGTCCCTACAAAGGACATGAACTCATCCTTTTTTATGGCTGCATAGTATTCCATGATGTATATGTGCCACATTTTTTTAATCCAGTCTATCATTGATGGACATTTGGATTGGTTCCAAGTCTTTGCTATTGTGAATAGTGCTGCAATAAACATACGTGTGCATGTGTCTTTATAGTAGCATGATTTATAATCCTTTGGGTGTATACCCAGTAATGGGATCTCTGGGTCAAATGGTATTTCTGGTTCTAGATCCTTGAGGAATCGCCACACTGTCTACCACAATGGTTGAACTAGTTTACAGTCCCACCAACAGTGTAAAAGTGTTCCTATTTCTCCACATCCTCTCCAGCACCTGTTGTTTCCTGAGTTTTTAATGATCACCCTTCTAACTGGTGTGAGATGGTATCTCCTTGTGGTTTTGATTTGCATTTCTCTGGTGACCAGTGATGATGAGCATTTTTTCACATGTCTGTTGGCTGCAATAAATGTCTTCTTTTGAGAAGTGTCTGTTCATATCCTTTGCCCACTCTTTGATGGGGTTGTTTGATTTTTTCTTGTAAATTTGTTTAAGTTCTTTGTAGATTCTGGATATCAGCCCTTTGTCAGATGGGTAGATTGCAAAAATTTTCTCCCATTCTGTAGGTAGCCTGTTCACTCTGATGGTAGTTTCTTTTGCTGTGCAGAATCTCTTTAGTTTAATTAGATCACATTTGTCTGTTTTGGCTTTTGTTGCCATTGCTTTTGGTGTTTTAGTCATGAAGTCCATGCCCATGCCTATGTCCTGAATGGTATTGCCTAGGTTTTCTTCTATGTTTTTTATGGTTTTAGGTCTAACATTTAAGTCTTTAATCCATCTTGAATTAATTTTTGTATAAGGTGTAAGGAAGGGATGCAGTTTCAGCTTTCTACATATAGCTAGCCAGTTTTCCCAGCACCATTTATTAAATAGGGAATCCTTTCCCCATTTCTTGCTTTTGTCAGGTTTGTCAAAGATCAGATAGTTGTAGATGTGTGGTGTTATTTCTGAGGCCTCTGTTCTGTTCCATTGGTCTAGATCTCTGTTTTGGTACCAGTACCATGCTGTTTTGGTTACTGTAGCCTTGTAGTATAGTTTGACGTCAGGTAGCATGATGCCTCCAGCTTTGTTCTTTTGGCTTGGGATTGTCTTGGCAATGTGGGCTCTTTTTTGGTTCCATATGAACTTTAAAGTAGTTTTTTCCAATTCTATGAAGAAAGCCATTGGCAGCTTGATGGGGATGGCATTGAATCTATAAATTACCTTGGGCAGTATGGCCATTTTTATGATATAGACTCTTCCTATCCATGAGCATGGAATGTTCTTCCATTTGTTTGTGTCCTCTTTTTTTTTGTTGAGCAGTGGTTTGTTGTTCTCCTTGAAGAGGTCCTTCACATCCCTTGTAAGTTGGATTCCTAGGTATTTTATTCTCTTTGAAGCAATTGTGAGTGGGAGTTCACTCATGATTTGGCTCTCTGTTTGCCTTGTTATTGGTGTATAAGAATGCTTGTGATTTTTGCACATTGATTTTGTATCCTGAGACTTTGCCAAAGTTGCTTATCAGCTTAAGGAGATTTTGGGCTGATATGATGGGGTTTTCTAAATATGCAATCATGTCATCTGCAAACAGGGACAATTTGACTTCCTCTTTTCCTAATTGAATGCCCTTTATTTCTTTCTCCCGCCTGATTGCCCTGTCCAGAACTTCCAACTCTATGTTGAATAGGAGTGGTGAGAGAGGGCGTCCCTGTCTTGTGCCAGTTTTCAAAGGAGTTTTTGCCCATTCAGTATGATATTGGCTGTGGGTTTGTCAAAAAATAGCTCTTAGTATTTTGAGATACATCCCATCAAAATAGTTTATTGAGAGTTTTTAGCATGAAGGGCTGTTGAATTTTGTCAAAGGCCTTTTTTGCATCTATTGAGATAATCATGTGGTTTTTGTCTTTGATTTTGTTTACGTGATGGATTACATTTATTGTTTTGCGAATGTTGAACCAGGCTTGCATCCCAGGGATGTAGCCAACTTGATCGTGGTGGATAAGCTTTTTGAGGTGCTGCTGGATTCAGTTTGCCAGTATTTTATTGAGGATATTTGCACCAATGTTCATCAGGGATATTGGTCTAAAATTCTCTTTTTTTGTTGTGTCTCTGCCAGGCTTTGGTATCAGGATGATGCTGGCCTCATAACTCATAAAATGAGTTAGGGAGGATTCCCTCTTTTTCTATTGATTGGAATAGTTTCAGAAGGAATGGTGTCAGCTCCTCTTTGTACCTCTGGTAGAATTTGACTGTGAATTGGTCTTGTCCTGGGCTTTTTTGGTTGGTAGGCTATTAATTATTGCCTCAATTTCAGAGTCTGTTATTGGTCTATTCAGGGATTCAACTTCTTCCTGGTTTAGTCTTGGGAGGGTGTATGTGTCCAGGAATTTATCCATTTCTTCTAGATTTTCTAGTTTATTTGCATAGAGGTGTTTATAGTATTCTCTGATGGTAGTTTGTATTTCTGTGGGATCAGTGGTGATATCCCCTTTATCATTTTTTATTGTTTCTATTAGATTCTATTTATTTTGTTGATCTTTTCAAAAAACCAGCTCCTAGATGCATTGATTTTTTGAAGGGTTTTTTGTGTCTCTATCTCCTTCAGTTCTGCTCTGATCTTAGTTATTTCTTGCCTTCTGCTAGCTTTTGAATTTGTTTACTGTTGCTTCTCTAGTTCTTTTAATTGTGATGTTAGGGTGCTGATGTTAGATCTTTCCTGCTTTCTCTTGCGGGCATTTAGTGCTATAAATTTCCCTCTACACACTGCTTAAATGTGTCCCAGAGATTCTGATATGTTGTGTCTTTGTTCTCATTGGTTTCAAAGAACATCTTTATTTCTGCCTTCATTTCGTTATTTACCCAGTAGTCGTTCAGGAGCAGGTTGTTCAGTTTCCATGTAGTTGTGTGGTTTTGAGTGAGTTTCTTAATCCTGAGTTCTAATTTGATTGCACTGTGGTCTGAGAGACAGTTTGTTGTGATTTCTGTTCTTTTACATTTGCTGAGGAGTGCTTTACTTCCAACTATGTGGTCAATTTTGGAATAAGTGCGATGTGGTGCTGAGAAAAATGTGTATTTTGTTGATTTGGGGGGGAGAGTTCTGTAGATGTCTATTAGGTCTGCTTCGTGCAGAGCTGAGTTCAAGTCCTGGATATCCTTATTAACCATCTGTCTCATTGATCTGTCTAATATTGACAGGGGGGTGTTAAAGTATCCCATTATTATTGTGTGGGAGTCTAAGTCTCTTTGTAGGTCTCTCAGGACTTGCCTTATGAATCTGGGTGCTCTTGTATTGGATGCATATATATTTAGGATAGTTAGGTCTTCTTGTTGAATTGATCCCTTTACCATTATGTAATGGCCTTCTTTGTCTCTTTTCATATTTGTTTGTTTAAAGTCTGTTTTATCAGAGACTAGGATTGCAACCCTTGCTTTTTTTTTGTTTTCCATTTGCTTGGTAGATCTTCCTCCATCCCTTTATTTTGAGCTTATGTGTGTCTCTGCATGTGAGATGGGTCTCCTGAATACAGCACACTGATGTGTCTCGACTCTTTATCCAATTTGCCAGTCTGTGTCTTTTAATTGGGGCATTTAGCTCATTTACATTTAAGGTAGATATTGTTATGTGTGAATTTGATCCTGTCATTATGATGTCAGCTGGTTATTGTGCTCGTTAGTTGATGCAGTTTCTTCCTAGCATTGATGGTCTTTACAATTTGGCATGTTTTTGCAGTGGCTGGTACCAGTTGTTCCTTTCCATGTTCAGTGCTTCCTTCAGGAACTCTTGTAAGGCAGGCCTGGTGGTGACAAAATCTCTCAGCATTTGCTTGTCTGTAAAGGATTTTATTTTTCCTTCACTTATGAAGCTTAGTTTAGCTGGATATGAAATTCTGGGTTGAAAATTCTTTTCTTTAAGAATGTTGAATATTGGCCCCCACTCTCTTCTGGCTTGTAGGGTTTCTGCCAAGAGATCCACTGTTAGTCTGATGGGCTTCCCTTTGTGGGTAACCCGACCTTTCTTTCTGGCTGCCCTTAAAATTTCTTCCTTCATTTCAACCTTGGTGAATCTGACAATTATGTGTCTTGAGGTTGATCTTCTCAAGGAGTATCTTTGTGGTGTTCTCTGTATTTCCTGAATTTGAATGTCTGCCTGCCTTGCTAGGTTGGGGAAGTTCTCCTGGATAATATCCTGAAGAGTGTTTTCCAACTTGGTTCCATTTTCCCCGTCGCTTTCAGGTACACCAATCAAACATAGATGGTCTTTTCACATAGTCCCATATTTCTTGGAGGCTTAGTTCATTTCTTTCTACTCTTTTTTCTCTAAATTTCTCTTCTTGCTTTATTTCGTTCATTGGATCTTCAATCACTGATACCCTTTCTTCCACTTGATCGAATCGGCTACTGAAGCTTGTGCATGCGTCACGTAGTTCTTGTGCCATGGTTTTCAGCTCCATCAGGTCATTTAAGGTCTTCTCTACACTGTTTATTCTAGTTAGCCATTCATCTAATCTTTTTTCAAGGTTTTTAGCTTCTTTGCGATGGGTTCGAACATCCTCCTTTAGCTCGGAGAAGTTTGTTATTACTGACCTTCTGAAGCCTACTTCTGTCAACTTGTGAAAGTCACTCTCCATCCAGCTTTGTTCCATTGCTGGCGAGGAGCTGTGATCCTTTGTAGGAGAAGAGGTGCTCTGGTTTTTAGAATTTTCAGCTTTTCTGCTCAGGTTTCTTCTCATCTTTGTGGTTTTATCTACCTTTGGTCTTTGATGATGGTGACCTACAGATGGGGTTTTGGTGTGGATGTCCTTTTTGTTGATGTTGATGCTATTCCTTTCTGTTTGTTAGTTTTCTTTCTAATAGTCAGGACCCTCAGCTGCAGGTCTGTTGGAGTTTGCTGGAGGTCCACTCCAGACCCTGTTTGCCTGGGTATCACCCACGGAGGCTGCAGAACAGCAAATATTGCTGCCTGATCCTTCCTCTGGAAGCTTCGTCTCAGAGGGGCACCTGGCTGTATGAGGTGTCAGTCGGCCCCTACTGGGAGGTGTCTCCCAGTTAGGCTACACGGGGGTCAGGGACCCACTTGAGGAGGCAGTCTGTCTGTTCTCAGAGCTCAAACCCCATGCTGGGAGAACCACTTCTCTCTTCAGAGCTGTCAGACAGGGACGTTTAAGTCTGCAGAAATTTCTGCTGCCTTTTGTTCAGCTATGCCCTGCTCCCAGAGGTGGAATCTACAGTGGTAGGCAGGCAGGCCTCATTGAGCTGTAGTGGGCTCCACCCAGTTCGAGCTTCCTGGCTGCTTTGTTTACATACTCAAGCCTCAGCAATGGTGGATGCCCCTCCTCCAGCCCAGGCTGCCACATTGCAGTTTGATCTCAGACTGCTGTGCTAGCAGTGAGCAAGGA
This sequence comes from Homo sapiens, assembly GCF_000001405.40. NCBI lineage: Eukaryota > Metazoa > Chordata > Mammalia > Primates > Hominidae > Homo > Homo sapiens. The sequence goes on along the minus strand of NC_000017.11, from coordinate 13,855,848 downwards.
TCTGTGGGCATGGGACCCACTGAGCCAGGCATGGGATATAATCTCCAGGTGAGCCATTTGCTACGACCACTGGAAAAATGCAGTATTAGGGTGGGAGTGTCCCGATTTTCCAGGTACAGTCTGTCATGGCTTCCCTTGGCTAGGAAAGGGAAACCCCCCAACCCCTTGCACTTCCTGGGCGAGGCAACACCCCACCCTGCTTCAGCTCACCCTCCATGGGCTACCCACTGTCCAACCAGTCCCAGTGAGATGAACCAGGCACCTCAGTTGGAAATGCAGAAATCACCTGTCTTCTGCATCGATCATGCTGGGAGCTGCAGAATGAAGCTCTTCCTATTCGGCCATCTTGGAACGATCCCTATATATTTTTAGATAGATTTGATACCTCCAAAAGAATATTACTTTTAAAAGATGTCCAGTGATGCATTGTAGCATTAACTCAAAAAGTATTTATTAAGCATCTGGCAAATGCCTGGCCTGGGTAGGGGATGAAGTTTGAACAGGCCAGTCACAGACCTGCCACATGGAGCCCCAGTACCAGGCACTGTTCTAGAAGTAGGGGATGCCGCAGGGGACAAAATAGACAGAGGTCCCTGCGCTCACAGCTTTATTCCAGGGGGAGGACTCAGATGATAGCAAAGACACACAGAATGTGCCAGGGGAAGGATAATAAAGCAGAGGTAGAGAGTGACGGATAGCAGAGGGAAAGGATGCTATCTTAGAAAGGGGCTAAAGGGAAAGCCTCTCTGATCAGGTGGAATTTGGGCAGGGACTTGAAGAAAGTGAGGGCAACAGGCATAAAGATGGGTGGAGAGCACAACAAACACAGAGGCCCTTTATCCTTTGGGTCATTTTTCTCCTTGACTTTTCTCATTTAAGCCAGTCTTTCTCATTTAAGCCTCAAGCCTATGATTTTTTTGGTCTTTGAATTGCTGTGATCATTTTCTCTCCAAGTTTTTAATTTGTTTTTAATGTCCATAAAGTTGATAGCTGCAGGTTTCATGTACTTATTGGCCCAAGACTTATTTTACAGAAGAATTTAAAAATTTTCCTATATGTGTTCAGGACACACTACCCCAAAATAGGGCATTTTGGCCTATTGAATATATCAAGCTGAAGGAATTTATAATAACGGCAGAATCAGGAAGGTCTCACTGACCTTCCCACATCATTCTCCCCGGAAGCAGGTCATACAACCGGGAAGGATTTTCTGACCTTCCCCTGAACCAGGTCACAAAACCCTCATGTGAGAGGTGCCCTCCCTATACCTCTGAATGGATGAGCATCCTTATCCCTGAGGACACAGGGTCACAGAGAAGAATCTGAACAAATAGGCCCTGCTAAGTTCCCTCAGTTTATTACCATTAGATCACACCCTTTCTGCTTTATTACGTTTCCCCTCCACTCTCAAGTCTTCATCAAAACCAGCACAAAGCTACTCAAGTGTACCTGTTTCTTTGGATCTTCATTTTCTTGTGAAGACTTCTATGTCATGTTAAATCTATATTAAATATCTTTTTTATGCTTCTCTCTGTTAATCTGTCTTTTGTTATAGGGTCCTTGATCATGATGGGTAGAACAGTATCTTTCCTACTCTACAGTGGCTTTATATATATATTTTGACTACCCTTTTATTATATTATAATTTCTTTTTGCTTTAATCCAGAGAATGTAGCATGAACAATTTCTTATTTATAAAGTCCATCTAAATTTTCCTTGTGGCCCAGTATATGATAAAACACAGTTCAATGTCTCTATACGACTGAACTCCATGGGCACTAGCCCATGTATTCTATGGGTGGATATAATGGGGTGGTGACCACTGGGGCTGTGATACCTGGTGGCCCCACTGGTTACTTAACTTTGCTACTTAAAACACACAATGGCTTCCCACTGCTCACAGGACACAGCGCATGCTCAGGAAGGTTTTCAGGATCGTGAACAACCCGATTTCTTCCCATCTGTTCAGCCCCACTCTTTACCTCATTTCTTCTCTTCCTCTATATTGAACTTTCATTTGCTTGAAACTGTTCTTTTCCTCTAATTTGGGGACTATAAATTATGCTATTATAGAATATTATTTTTTCTCCTGCTCATTGAATTAGTCAGGGTTCTTTAGAGCAATAGAACCAATAGGGTTGTGTGTGTGTGTGTGTGTGTGTGTGCATGTGTATACATATAAAGAGATTTATAAGAAATCAGGTCATACGATCATAGATGCTGAGAAGTCCCAAAATCTGTAGTTGGCAAGGTAGAGGCCCAGGAAAGCTGATGTTGTAGTTGTAGGACCAGTTCAAAGGCCTGAGAACCAGGAGAACCAAAGTTTCAGTTCAAATTCAAAGACAGGAAAAGACTGATACCCCAGCTCAAGCAGTCAGGCAAGAAGAATTCCCTCTTACTCAGTCTTTTTGTTCTATTCAGATCGTCAGTGGATTGGATGAGGCACACCCATGTAAGAAAGGGCAACCTGCTTTACTCAACCTATGAATGCAAATATTCATCTCATCCAGAAACACCTTCACAGATACACCCAGAATAATGTTTGACCAAATGTCTGGGCACCCCATGGCCTGGTCAAGTTGACACATAAAATTAACCATCACACAGGTGTAACTTTTCTTCAAGGTCTCAGAATAAACGTTGCTTCCTCCCAGAAGCCCTCCTCACCCCACGTCTGTGACCACATTAGGCGATCCTGCCATGTGCCCCTCTAGCATCCTGCTTATTCTCTATCCTGGCAATTTAGTGTACTACTTCCAGTTGCTTATTTAATTTATTAGACTGTGCCCTCACTTCCTTCAAGTTTCTGCTCAAATGTCACCTGATCAGAAAGGCCTTCCTGAACCTCATTTCTAAAATGGCACCCTACCCTGACACTCTTTGTCTTTGCTTTCTTATCCTTCACCTGACATATTTAAGTGAATTTATTATTATCTTTGTCCTCCCACTAGAATGTCAGCTCCATGAGAGCAGGAACTTTTTTCTATTTTGTTGACTGCTGCATCCATTACTTCTACAAGTGTGCCTGATACATCATGAGCATCCAATTAAGGTTTGTTTAATAAAATCCAGGAATAAATAAAAATGGCTGGCTGGGTGCAGTGGTTCACACCTGTAATCCCAGCACTCTGGGAGGCCAAGGCGGGTGGATCACCTGAGGTCAGGAGTTCGTGACCAGCCTGGCCAACATGGTGAAACCCCATCCCTACTAAAAATACAAAAAAATTAGCTGAGTGTCGTGGCAGGTGCCTGCAATCCCAGCTACTCAGGAGGCTGAAGCAAGAGAATCGCTTGAACCTGGGAGGCGGAGGTTGCAGTGAGCCAAGGTTGTGCCACTGCACTCCAGCCTGGGCTGCAGAGTGAGACTCCATCTCAAACAAAACAAAAACAAAAATAAAACTAAGTAAAACTCATATAGGGATGTAAGAGTGGTTTAATACTAGAAAATTTGTAGAACATTCTAGAGAAATTTAGCATCTATTAATTTAATTACTATGTAACAGATTTTTAAAACAATGATCTTGATTGAAGTCAAAAATGAATTATCAAAAAAGAGAAAAATTTTGCAATGTAGAATTGGAGGAATAATTTCTTAAAATAATAAATTAGTAACTAAAATCATAGTAATGGCAAAACATTAAAAGCCTTGCCATTAAAGTAGAAAAAGGTTCAGTAAACCATGTTTATCAGTCAAATCCAGCTACGTTCATTTTTTTATTTGTTGGTTGTGGCTGCTTTTATGCTACCATGGCAGTATTGAGTAGCTGTGACAGATGGTCTGGTTCTCAAAGCTAAAAATATTTACAATCTGACTTTTTACAGAAAAAGCTTTCTGACCTCTGATAAAGGAGAGAAAAATATCCTTATTCAAAGATATTATCAACCTTATTCTGGAATTTCCATCTAAAACAGTAAGATATGAAATAGAAATGAGGCATTCATTAGCAGAAAGAAATACATAAAATTACCATTATTCAGCACCATTTACTTTTGACTTAGGGAACAACAAGCTCAATCCAAAGCTATTAGAACTATTAAGAAAATTCACCAGCATGTCCAGTTGCAGAATAATTAAAAATCCTTATAGTATGGGAACAAACATAAATAAGAAATAGCAATACATGCCTAGCTCTTAGTGTAAACTTTATGAAATATATACAACCTTATTCAGAATAAGAGACATGAGTGAGGAGTCATATCACATTCTTGGACACGGGAAGATTCAATATTGTGAAAATGCTAGCTCCTCCAAAATGAATCTTCAGGATTAATACAATTCTAATCAAAATCCTAATGAGATTTGGGGCAGTTTTTGAAAACATCAATTATTTTGCTGTGTATTAGTCGGAATCAACTCAGTTAGGACGCAGTAACAACGCTTTCCTTCTCTGCCCAGCTCAATGACTTAAAATAACAAAGCTTTATTTCTGATGCTGTGTTCATTGCAGGTTGATGTCTTTTTGTTTCCTTACTATGAATTCGAGCTGAAGTAGCAGCCTCCAGCTCAGAGGTTGGCAGGTACTGCAGCAGATAAAAGAGATCTTTAGAGGGTCTCAAACTGATCATTAAGTACTGTGGCCTGGAAATAGCACGTCACTGAGTTCATGAGGTATGGCCAGAACAAGTCATATGGCACTCCCCAACCAAAGGGATTTGGTTGTGAATCTTACTTCTTTCTCAAAGAGAGGAGAATCAGGTAACGGTGGCAGCAATGACTCCAGCAGTAGAGCAGGTGTGGAGCACAGAAAGGAAGAAGCATTTTCTTGGGCAGATTTAAAGATATATTTTAAATTTTAAGAATTCAAAGTGTGGTACTGTTTTATGGATCGTTAGACCCATTAATGCAACAAAACAGAAAGGCCCGAGGCAGAACAACTTAATAAGAATTTAGTCTGTGATAAAAGTGCCATCGGTGAATTGATTATATATAACTCCTTATTTATTAATAAATATTACAAATTATGTAAAAGAAAAAGAAACTACTTTGTACAATGATTGGTTGATGCCATTATTTATTTGTCCAAACCCACAGAATATACAATACCAAGAGGCAACCTTAATGTAAATTATGGACTCTGGGTGACAATGACGTATCAATGTTAAGTCCATCAATTGTATAGAATGTACCACTCTGATGGGGTATGTCCTTACTGGAGGAGCTGCGTATGTGTTGAGGAAGTGAGCATATGGGCTATCTCCGTACCTTCCACTCAATGTTGCTATGAACCTGAAACTGCTCGTTAAAAATTGTCTTTATAAAAAGAAATTGCAAAACAAAAATAAAATATGTTGATATTTATCAGTGTCAGGAATATATGTAAAATGAGAAAGGCATACTGAGTATTGCTTAGAAGCTTTACTAAGAAAACTATATTAGCATTTTTAAAGATAACGGCTTTAGAATCAGCAATTACTTTTATAAGGGGTTATTAGGAAATCATTTTTCCTTAATACAAAAGCCGACATGAATCCAACATTTTAGTAGATACATTAAAACTACCATAAATCTGTTTAACAACTTTATAGCTCCTTTTAAAATTTTTTTAGAGAGATATCATAAGGAGCTCCTTTAGAAATTTCATGCATTGCTAGTTAATTTCCATCATAGTCTATGTATGGGCGATTGCTAAAGGAAATGGTTGAGAACTGTTGAATTTTTAAATTTTATGTCTGTAACCTCAAAATAGAAATACATGTTTATGGATATTGAAGTCTCTCTTTTGTAAGGATACAAGGGAAAATTATGTGTTTATATTATGAAAGAGAAGTCAGGAGAGTTGACTCAAATGAATTTACTATCACCTCATCTACAGCTTTCTACTCTGGTCTACTGCATTGAAGCTTTAGCAGATCTAAAAGAGTATCTGAGAATTGTCTGTTCTCTCTTCCTGTTGCATCTGTTGTACCTGGGCAGAGAGGAAAAAAAAGAACAACTAATGAACATGTAATGAAGAAGGCTCCTCAGATGTCATTGATGAGAAAGTCTAAACCTTGGGCTTTTTCATCATGGAGCTATTAGGAAGGCAGAAAAGTTAAAAATCATAGCAGTTAAATGAGTGAATAATAGCATAGCATTTTCTAAAACCTTTTCTGTTTCTAGCCAGGAAGGTGACAAACCATTTTGCAGGTTTACAGAGAAAATAGACTGTCAAAGCAATTTCCTTTTGCTGAAAATGGGCAGTAATGACACCCCTGTGGCAGTGGCTGTGAGACCTTTCTAGCCCTGGCAAGATATCAGAAGTCAAAGCAGTTGAGTCAGAACAGCCAAGTGGTGTCCTAATCCCACCACCCGGTTATCAAGGATCCAGAACAGCCAACGAATGGCAAGGAAAGAACAGGTTAACCAAGTAAAAATTGAAAACTGATGGCATCAAGCAGAAAAGGTGCCATCTCTCCCTAAGTGTTAAGCATATTTACATATCACTTCAGATTTTTCAGAAACTATTTTTCTGTAGGCATGGCAAAACTCTACCTCCATCATCTTAGAGTCCTAGCTGGGCCAGAGAATTAAATTGACATAAAACAGATTAACAAGACAAAAGCATATATGTTTATTTAATATGAGTTTTATGTGGCAAGAAAGCGCTCATAAGGAAATGAAAATCTGAAGAAATAGTTCAGTTCGTTACTTATATACTTAATTGAACAAAGAATAGTAAGTTGTGAAGATGTGATAAGGCAAAGGACTTGGATGAGGATATTTAATTGGGCAGAAAAGTGACTAGGAAGATAAGGGTTAGTTTAACAAGGTTAGTTTATATAGAATTCCTTTGGCTTAACTTTTCTAACCTTCATCATAAGAATGTTGCTTTTTTTTTTTTTAATAGGGAGACTATCTTTCACCTGAGAATTTCATCTTCTACTTTTAAAAAGCAGTGTGAATGTCAGAGTGATCTTCTTGCACTTGGTGTTTTTCAAATATCTTTAACTTAAATAATCAATATGCCAGAGTGATATAATTTTAATTCCTTTAGTAATTAATGTTGAATCCATATTTTACACTCACGTTTTGAAACAATGGTAGTAAATTTTATCTAATTAAAAAGCATTTTAATTTAAATATAATATACATACAGAAAAGTATACAAGTTACAAGTGCACAGCTTGATGAATTATCACAAAGTAAGCACACCTGATTGATCACCACCTAGTCATTATCAACATTACAGAAGACTCCTCATATTCCTTCCAGTTACTATCTACTCCCTCCTATTTTGTATAGACTAATTTGGCCTGTTTTGAACTTTTATCAGTGTGATTATCCAGTATAAATTATTTTTCAACTGGATTTTTTTGCTCAACATTGTTTATGAGATTCATCCATGTAGAAATTGTTACTTATTTTCAATGTTGCAAAAAAAAACAAACTACAGGTTTTAAAATCTAGATTATCATTGATGGAATTTAATGGATTAGGGCTATTTTAATTTTTTTGACCATTACAAATAATGCTGCTATTCTTGTTCATGTGTTTTGCTGCACAGGTCTTTGATGAATATCTGTTGGCTGTATAAGGAGTAGGATTAGTGAGTTATGGATTATACATATATTCAATCCGTATATTCAACCCATATATTCATGGATTATACATATATTCAATTAATGCTCAAGGATCTTCTAAAGCGGTCACTCCAACTTCCATTTCCTGGTGTAGGGAAGTTTTTGTTGCTTTATGTTATTGCTAGGACTTGATAATAATAGTCTTTATAGTGGGTGCATGGTGGTATCTAACTGTAGTTCTAATTTTCATTTCCCTGATGAAAAATACAGCATTGAGCATCTTTATTTGTGTTTATTGGCCATTTGAATTTCCTTTGCTAAATTCCTCTTCAAGTTTATGGCCCAATTTTCCTTTAAGTTTTCTGTCCTTTTCATTGATTTGTAAGAGCTCTTTGTATATTTTGGGTATAATCCCTTTGTTTTATATATATATGTATGTTTTGCAAATGTCTCCCACTCAATAGCCTGCATTTTCACTCTCCTCTAGTACCTATACTGTATTTGTAATTTCAGTGCAACCCAAGTTATTATTTCTTTTATAGTTAGCTTTTTTGTCCTGTTTAAGTCCTTTCCTACTCCCATGATGATAAAAATCTTCTTAATGTTATTTTCTAGACCTTCCATTGTTTTAGTTTTCACACTTGGAACTTCAGGACTTCAGTCTACCTGGAATTGATTTTTGTGTGTGGTGTGAGGTAGGGGATCATGTTTTACTTTTTCCCATTTGGCTATCATATTTTTAATGACAGGATATCTCTTGTTCATGTGAGATAAGATTCCATATAGTAAAGATGTCAAATATCTCAAATTCATTTCTAGATTTAGTGCAATCCCAACCAAAACACCAGCAGGTATCTTGGAGGAAATTGGCAGCCTTATCCCTAAATTCATTAGGAAATGCATAAGACTGAAAATAATCAAGACATCCTTAAAGGGAAACAATGTATAAATTATGTTCTACTAGATATCAAGATTTATTGTAATTAAGGCTAGGTGGTATAGACATAAGGACAAACAGACCAGTAGGGTAAAAGGAAAGTCCAGAAATAAACACATGTATATGGTCAATTGATTCATGATGAAGGTGACATTACAGAGCACTAAAGAAGAAACAGATTTTTTTAAAACTTTAATTTTAATTAAGTATAATAATTGAAGTTAGAAAGGTAGTAAATTGTACTTAGATATTTTATATATGTGCCACATTAAAGTATGATGTCCTGGAATGTTTTGTGATTTTAATAATTATAGAGTTAAGGGAAAGGTCTGCTTAAGGTTCAGATAAATGTAGTATATTAAAGCATGTTAATTAGATTAAAGCATATTGCTCTAAACATCTGCCATCTGGTTGAGTTTCTACCATTATTATAGTAGCTTATCTTGATTAGTGACAACATGTTTAACCAACCAAGCAAGGACTTGAAAACTTATTTTGAGACTAACACTGAACAAAGACTGTGGGGCTACTGAAGATGTAAAATATTATTTATTTTTCTAAGGACTATAGAACTTATATGTGATAAGCAAATTGGCATACAGCAAATAAGGAGGAAAAAAGGTGCTAGAAAAAAGGATTGATTAGATGTGTGAGCAAAAGGATATAGAGCAAAGTTAGCAAAGAAATTTCCCGAGAAGGGGTATTTTTGTTGAGACTTCAAATCTGGGTGGGATTTAGAGAAATGAGTAGGAGATTGTAGAGTTATCAATAGTATAGGGGAACATGAAAAAATGAAGCAACGCGGAACTGAATATTATATTTGTCTATGTGAACATACTGGTGAGGTATGCATGTATGTATGTGTGGGGACAAACAGCAGAGTAGGTTAAAATACACTGATGAATAGTGGAAAATAGTTTGGGTTGATAGAATGGGGCCACATTATGGAGGAACTTAAAAAAAAACAGGAAGGGAATCAAATTTATGTAAAAGATAGGAGAGGGCTGAGACTTATCTGTCCTGTTTATCACCTTCTCAGTGTATAACAGAATGCATGTCACAGAATTCATACTCAACTGAATGGAAAAAACAGTAGTGTTCAAAAAGGGACAGGAAGTCCATGCCTTGGTTTAGGGCATATGATAACTCCTGATAGAGCTATCGTCTCCTTCTACCTGAAAGCTTTTCAGGGCACTGGTAACACTGTTAAGAATAATTGAAATCATACTGCTCAAATAATTATTAGCTTCTTAGGAGAAATGTTTCATTGAGCAAAATACCAGTCATTAATTTCCATTTTAAAAAGCCCAAAAGGAAAAGCCCCCTCTCTAAATCCTATTCTCTGGCTCCAGTTGTGTGTTTTAAGAGACTATGAATAGTTTCAATCTGGGGAAATATTATGGGATTGACCTCTTTTTTTTTTTTAAGAAAGAAAAGAGAATCAATATTAATATTTTTGGCCTTTAGGGTTTAGGCTTTTGCCTGTTTGCACATTCAAGGTTAAGTTAATAAAATGTTCGTGAAGGTCTAAGGCTCCATCTGTTCATTCTCCTCCTGTAGAGAAGGACAAAGTAAATACCTCACCCTGCAGGTTCCACCTCATCATGTCTTACTAATCACCATTCCCCTCTAGTCGCCACCTGTCTTGGCTCCAACTCAAAGACCCTAGTGGAAACCTTCAGGGAAAGGTGAAATCCTTCATTAGAGCCTCCCCACGCCCCAGCCCCTGTTACTGGGAGAGGGCAGCCACTCCTCCTTGCCTGATATTTCTCTATGGGAGGAAGAATGTGGTATATCAAGTCCAGTTAGGCCAAATAGCACTGTTCTCTTGTCCTGTATGCACAGACACTAACAGGGCCCCGCAACTGCTTGTGGAATCTCCAAGCTGGAAGAGACATGAGAGGTGATGGTTCAACTCCAGCACTTTGCAGATGAGGAGACTGGGTCTGACAGAATGAATTACCCAAGGATATGCAGCCAGTTAGGGGCAAGAGTAGTTCTAGAGCGAAGACCTGTGTTTCCAGCCTGCTACCTTTGTTCTTCACCATCCTGCCTCATTCCTATCTTACTGCCCATCACTTTGTAGCCATGACTTTTGCCTTAATTTCAAATCAAAGCCACAGATTTGTTATAAAATAAGTTGACAAGCCTGATTACCATGGCATTACACATTGTATAATCTCTCTGATGGTGGTTCCCCTGTTTGTCAGGCAGGCAAGGCAGCTTCCCAAAATGAATCAAAGCTGGAATGACTTGTGACTTGAAGCACTCTTGGTTGAAAATGACTCCTCTCCAAGACATGTGGCCCCCAGACGACGTTTATGCTGAGGGTCGATTCTGAAACGTAAAGGCTGTTTCTTTTCTCCAAACTTCGTTGCCAATTTAGAGTTTATGGAAAGAGCTGTCAAGCCGACAGGCTATCAAAGCGATGGGCTGCATTGCAGGGAGCAAGGCAGAGCATCTGGGAAATCAAAGACCAGGAAATGCAAATGCACACACGTTCATCACCTTGATTAGTGTGAGCAAGTTTGTCTCACCCTGGCCAACATTTGATGGACCATTAAATCTGGAAAGGATGTGGAGTCCAAGTTCTCTTTATTCCCAGGCAAACCAACCAAAGCCCATAGAGGGTAGGTGACTTTTAATGGTTGAGTTGGGACTGCTATCTTTTCTCAGGTCTAATGCTCTTTTCATTGTATTTGTGTTAAAAATAAAAAGCTTATATGAAAGTGACACTGAGTTGTTTACAGGCTTTGCCATCTGTTATAATAAAGTAAGATCCCTCAAAACCTTAACTACTTTTAAAGGTAAACTCTTGAATTTTTCCTAAACAGAGTGTGACTGACATTACTAAATTCCCGGAACAAAGGCATGTATTATGTTCTCTGTGCTGTTTTTGAGAATTTTTCTGCCTCAAACCTCAAAAGAAAAAACAGAGAACAAAGAAAGGAAATGTGGTTAAATGGGATTCCTGGGAAACAAAGACGGATGGTACTTGGCATCATTGTTTATTATCTGCATTAAAAAAAATGATCTCATAGCATATATGAGGACTCTGTCACCAGAAAGAAGTAACCCCAATTTCTAAAGAATGAGTAGCATTGCTAGAAGTGAACTAATTCATTTTCTTTCTCCTAAAGAGCTCTCCATGTCACCATTCTGGATAAATTCGTACTTTCTATGTTGTTAAAACCCTTCTGAGAGGAGCTATATTTTATTGGACAACACAGATTTCTAGATTCCCAGATCTACCTCCCACATTGTTAAAAAAAAAAAAAACAAAACAAAAAAAGCAAACACCAAAAGCCCCAGAGTCTCATTCTTCCATTTTTCTCCATCTTGACAAATGACATCATTATTTTCAGTTGTTTAAGACAAAAAACTAGGACTCAACCTCAATTCCTCCCTTTTTCCTACCACCTCCCCTTTCCTGCAGATCATCCTTACCTCTGTCTCTAAAATACGTCTTCATTGCATTCACTCCTCTCCCTCCCACCCATCCTAGTCCATACCACCATCAATCTATCTCTGACCTTTATTTCCACACTAGCTTTCTAACTGGCCTCTCTGCCCCATTAAAACCCATTCTCTCCACATAACAGACAGAAAGATCTTTTTAAAATATAACTCAGATTCTCTCTTACTCCTGCTGAAACACTTCCATAGGCTTCCCGTCACACTGGGAATAAGGACATCCCCACCTCAATACCTTATACTTTCTTTTTCCAGTATTTCCTGGGTCGAAACACACTTTCCCCAACTCTTTACATGGTTGAATCAGTTTAAATGTCACATCCTCTAAGACGATCTCCTGGTTTAACCTATTTATGAGTAGCCAAACCCCACTCTGTTCCAGTTTCTCTGTAACATTTTATTCATATCTCTGAGCCTTACTGGCAATTCTTTTGTTTCTTAAATATGTCTTTCTTCCTCCATCGTAATGCAAGTCCCAGCCCTAGTACCTAGCTTAGTCCCAACTAGACATATAGTAAGCACTCACATATACGTTTAATGTTGAATTAAACTAGGTCATACGAAGCGTTTCTTATGTGCCATGCACAGGCACTTTATAAATCATATTCCATTTCATTCTCACAATAACCCTAAAAGATGGGCTCAGCTGTTCCCATTTTATGGATGAGAAAACTTAGATGAGATTGGTTACAAGCAACTTGAAAGTGGCACAGGTGGGATTTATATTAACAAAATGAGTGAGACTTGGGTAAGTTTTTCTATTTGACCTCCTTTAGTGTCTTCATAGATTAAAGAATAAAAGAGCTCACTAGAGATTACGGAAAAAAGAGGACAATTATACCCTTGGGGCCTTCCCAGTGAAGCTAGACCCTATGGTTTTACATGTAATTAATCACTCTATTCCTCTCCTGTGGTCGTCTCTGCTCAGGGCTTCAGCTCCTGGTAATTTCTGCACTCTCTTCAATTTTTGCATCTCTGTTAAGGGCTGTCTCCTCGTAGGAGAAGTGGATCAGGAAGGGATGAGGAGTAAGAAGGGGTGGGGTCTGCCAGTAACTACAGTGGAATCATGAGTCTCATTTTCTTCACCTGGAAAATCCCAGGAATGATGTCCCAGGTTCATTTCTAGGTTTACAGCATTTTGGCTCAGAAGGTGTTTTACATAGAGCTCAATGGAGGCTTCCCCAGATCCTCTTCGGAACTCTTCCCTTTCTGTCCTTTTACTCATTTCACAGGTCTTATATGTATCAAGATGAGAACAACATCATACAAGAGAACAGGCACATTCTGATGCTGAGGAATTTGGCAGAGGTGGGTTAGGCCCTGTGATCTTCCTTCCCCCTGGAAATGTCTAATAAATGACGTATTCATTCATTGATACTATATAACAAATATTTGACTTTTTTGGGGGGGTTGGAGGACAGAGTCTCACAGACTGGAGTAAAGTGGCACAATCTCAGCTCACAGAAGCCTCCACCTCCTGGGTTCAAGTGATTCTCCTGCCTCAGCCTCCCGAGTAGCTGGGACTACAGGCACGTGCCAGCATGCCCAGCTAATTTTTGTATTTTTAGTAGAGACGGGGGTTTCACCATGTTGATCAAGCGGGTCTCGAACTCCTGACTGCAAGTGAACCACCCGCCACAGTCTCCTAAAGTGCTGGGATTACAGGTGTGAGCCACCGCACCCAGCCAAATATTTGTCATTTATCTAACAAATAATTACTGAGTACCTGCTATGTGCTAAGCCCTATGTCAAGCATCAGGATTATATGTGGTCTAAATCCTCAGGCAGCTACAATAGATACTCTCATTAATAAAGCAAAAATATCTCAAATAAATGTAAGATTAGAGCAGTGACAGGTACCATGAAATGGGAGCATATGTTGGTATGTTACGAAACGTTAGGAGAGGTTGATTTGATTGGGAAAATCACTGTCAGGCAGGTTAACTTTTTTTTTTTTTTTTTTTTTTTGTGAGATGGAGTTTCACTCTTGTTAACCAGGCTGGAGTGCAACCTCCCCCTCCTGGGTTCAAGCAGTCCTCCTGCCTCAGCCTCCCGAGTAGCTGGGATTACAGGCATGTGCCACCATGCCCGGCTAATTTTTCTATTTTTAGTAGAGACGGAGTTTCTCCATGTTGGCCAGGCTGGTCTTGACCTCCCGACCTCAGGTGATCTGCCTGCCTCGGCCTCCCAAAGTGCTGGGATTACAGGCTTGAGCCACCGCACCCAGCCAGTTATCTCTTTTTTAAAATGTTTATTTAATACATGATTGTTCATACTTACCAAAAAGGCTGAATTTCTTCCCTGAGGAAATATAAACTAAGATATAAATAATGAGTGGAGCTCACTAGAGAAAGAGGGGTAGTTAGAGTGTCTCAGACAAAGGGAATGGTATGTGCCAAGGTCCTGTGGCAGGAGGTAGGATGGCATAGTCCAGGACTGAAAGATCAGTGTGACCGTTGTACAGAGAGCAAAGTGACCTCTTCAAAGAAGGCAGAAAAGGCTTCCCTGAAAAGAAGAGGACAGAGTTGAGCTCTGGCAGAAAAGAAGTCAGTGGTCCAAGGTGTCTTGCCTTTCTGCAGAAGACTATTTCTTTTTCTTTTTTTTTTTTTTGAGGCAGAGTCTCGCTCTGTTCCCCAGGCTGGAGTGCAGTGGTGCAATCTTGGCTCACTGCAAGCTCTGCCTCCTGGGTTCAGGCCATTCTCCTGCCTCAGCCTCCCGAGTAGCTGGGACTACAGGTGCCCGCCACCACACCTGGCTAATTTTTTGTATTTTTAGTAGAGACAGGGTTTCACCGTGTTAGCCACGATGGTCTCGATCTCCTGAGCTCGTGATCCGCCCGCCTCGGCCTCCCAATACAGAAGACTATTTCTGCCCAACTGGAGCTCTTCAGACATGGTTCTTCCCTAAGCAGCATGCAAAAGCTTTAGCTGGGAGAAGGGGCAATTGAAATCCATGAAGGTTTTTCATCCTTTCTGTGCAACTGTGCTGGAGAGATCTCTTTAGAATCAAGAAGTAAGTCTCCACCACTTGTCAATTGGCACCAAGGCCTGGGCATGAAGAATCCAGCAAAGAATTCACTCTTGCCCTGCCCTGGGCTGGCCATGCCACAGAGTTTGGCTGTGTGTATTGTGGCAGACTTCCTGCTCCCAATCAACCAAATGAAGATGTACAGAGTGAATACAAAGCATTTGCTGAAAAACAAAACAAAACAAAACAACCAAACAGACGATCAGATACAGGACCAAATGCCAGAAGGCACTGCCTTCTAATTACTTTGAGAGATAAGTCAAAGCTTGTTTTTCCCCTGTAAAAATAACACAATCAACAGAGGTTGTGGGTTCCAGAATCAAGTTTAGAAACAATAAAGGAAGTGATTCAAAACAGTGATAATTACCTATTTTTCCCCATTCTAGATGACTCACACTGGATCAATAAACCAAATGACTTTTTTCTCATTAGTCCCTAAATGGAAAACTTTGACATGGTTGTAAGGAAGAGAGTTAATGTGTATTAACTGAATTCTGCCTCATAGATGCTAAGTGGCCCCACAAGCCTAGAACTAACTACCTGTTTTACAGACTCTCCATAATTCTCCATGGCAGAGGAGATAATTGAGAGGGTTATTGGGGACTTCTAAGCAAAAAAGCACTTCTGCCTCCATCGTTGGGAAATTTAACATGCAAAACAGGTCAGACCTTTTTTTGAAGTATTGATGATAGTGTGTTAAATAAACATGTAAGAAAAAAAAAACAGAGAACCTGCCTGACAATTATTTTTAAGAGTCTGGCATATATATATTTTTCCTTCATTCAAAGACCTCAAAATTGGCTTAAGTGGAGTTTAATTGAAAAAGTTCACCTCAAGAGTGTGATTCAGCCTGGAAAATTTTAGCCAATAGGGAATTTTTTATAAAATTATGACAGAGTGGAAATAGTGTTATAATGGAAGTCTATGTGTAATGAGTACTATTAAAATTATATACGTATATATTTGAGCATCAACAGGTAAGTGAGTTACAAGGTTACAATTCTGTGACAGGTATCCAGTGATATTATAAGCTGCAGGCGCAAAGCTCAAGTTATCCAAATTCCTAAACAGAATTACAGTTAGATTCAAAAATATTCCTGTCATAATCATACACCAGACATGGTAAAGACCTTCCCTGTGCATGAGCTTTGCCTGCGTAGTTTTTGGTAATCTGATTGGCATGTAATAGAATCCTAGAATATTCAAATAGGAAGAACCTTCTAGTTTTCTAGTTTGTCTTCGCCCCTAAATTCATAAGGAAGACAAACAAAAACCAGCAATCCTGCCAACACTGATAAAAAGGTTCAGGATGGAGATTTAAAATTCAGACCCCTTAGTCCAATACTTTTCCTAGTTTTATACATTGATTCTTTTTTGATCTGCTTCTAATCTGTGGTTCATAGGGAAGTCCAGAATTTTTATGTAAGAAGGATGCAGGGGTATCCATTTGGTTGGGGCAAAGGAGAAGGCAGCTGGAGAAATACTTCTCAGATTTTCATGCAAACCCGGGGATATTTATTTATTTAAGAGATGGAGTCTCACTATGTTGCCCAGCCTGGTCATGAACTCCTGGGGTTAAGCGATCCTCCCACCTTGGCCTCCCAAAGTGCTGGGATTACAGATGTGAGCCCCCACGCCCAACCTTTAACCTGAGGATCTTGCAGGTACAGATTCAGGCCTGTTAGGTCTATGATGTGCCTCTGAAAAGCTCTCAGGTGATGCTGATGTGCTGGCCCTTGAATCTCACTTTGAGGAGTCAGACATTGGAGACTTGTCTTACAGCTGGGTTTGCATGTAGACACTGAGTATAACACAGGACTTTTTTTTTTTTTTTGAGATGGAGTCTTGCTCAGTTCCCCAGGCTGGAGTGCAGTGGTGCAATCTCGGCTCACTGCACTCTCTGCCTCCTGGGTTCAGTCCATTCTCCTGCCTCAGCCTCCCAAGTAGCTGGGACTACAGGTGCCCACCACCACGCCTGGCTAATTTTTTTGTATTTTTAGTAGAGACGGGGTTTCACCATGTTAGCCAGGATGATCTCGATCTCCTGACCTCGTGATCCGCCCACCTCGGCCCCCCAAAGTGCTGTGATTACAGGCGTGAGCCACCAGGCCCGGCCAGGACATTTTTTTTTTTAACTCTGCTTCTGGAATGCCCAATGACACAAATGTGAAACTTTTTGTTACGGTTGCAAGGGTCCCTGAGACTTTGTTCATTTTTTTCTTCCATTCTATCCTCTCCTATGTTCAGAATGGATAATTTCTATGGTTCTATTTTGCAGTTCACTGATTCTTTCCTTTGTTCCGTTTATTCTGCTGTTGAGCCCACTGATCGAGGTTTTTATTTCTGTATTGTTCCATATTTTTTGTAACTACCGTATGTTTCAGTTTTAAAATCTCCATTTGGTTCTATATCTTTGCTGCCACTTTTTGTCTGTTCATTCCTAAGTGTGTTCATAATTGCTCATTGAAGCATCTTTATTGTGGGTGTTTTAAATTTTTGTCAGATCACTTTAATATCTCTCTTGTCTTAGTGTTGTCTTTTTTTCACTCAGTTTGAGATCTTTCTGTTTCTTGATAGGATAAATTTTTTTTATTGAAACGTGCATTTTTGTAGGGTGTTATGTGACATTGGATCTTATTTAATTTTTTTTTTTTTTTTTTTTTCCGGACGGCGTCTCGCTCTGTCGCCAGGCTGGAGTGCACCGGCTTGATCTCAGTTCACTGCAACCTCTGCCTCCTGGGTTCAAGCGATTCTCCTGCCTCAGCCTAGTGAGTAGCTGGGACTAACAGGTGCACGTCACCACGCCCAGCTAATTTTTTTTTTTTTTTTTTTTTTTTTTGTATTTTTAGTAGAGACAGGGTTTCATCATATTGGCGAGGATGGTCTCGATCTCTTGACCTCATGATCTGCCCACCTCAGCCTCCCAAAGTGCTGGGATTATAGGTGCGAGCCACCTCGCCTAGCCTAAATTTTTTGTTTTAACCGGTTTATTCTGACACTGCTCTGGCAGAAGAGGGGGGTTGTCAACTTGTTTGTGCCATAGGGAGATAAAAGTCCAGGTTTCCCACTTGGTCTCTGTTGATACCTATGGGATCAGATGGGCTCCTCCTTACTGTGGGGTGGGGTGGGAGTTTCAGCACCTATCCCATGCGGTCTCCATAGACATTGTGAGGGGCCAGGGAGCTCCTTACTGGCTCATGGGGATGAAAATCTCAGTCTCTTACCTGGCCTTCTCTGGCACCGCCCTGGGCCAGAGTGGGGGCGTTCGGCACTTTGTTACAGCTTCGTGGGGTGGGTGGAAGTCTAAGCTTCCCACTCGGCCTTTGATGATGGAGATGGCACGGCAGGCGGGCCACAGTTTTCTTTTGCGGTGTTTGGCTAGAGTAGAGCAGTTACTCCTACAGGTTTTCTGTTGCTCTAGGCTGCCCCGTCCCTCGGTCTGTGGTTAGACTCAGCAGAATTTTACCGGGATCTTTTTGTCTGAGCCTGTTGGTGTTTCCTGATCACAGGCTACCTTTGCTTCAAGTCTGGGATATATGAAGTTAAAAAGAAAACCTATGGGCTGGGCGCGGTGGCTCACGCCTGTAATCCCAGCACTTTGGGAGGCCAAGGTGGGCAGATCACCAGGTCAGGAGATCGAGATCATTCTGGTCAACATGGTGAAACCCCGTCTCTACTAAAAATACAAGGTGTGGTGGCATGCACCTGTAGTCCCAGCTACTTGGGAGGCTGAGGCAGGAGAATCTCTTGAACCCAGGAGGCAGAGGTTGCAGTGAGCCGAGATCACACCATTGCACTCCAGCCTGGTGACAGAGGGAGACTCCATCTCAAAAAAAAAAAAAAAGCTATGGAATCCACCACCATGCCATTCTTCTGGTTCCAACAGCCACTAGGCTGTTGACCTCCTTCTCTTCACCTTTCAAAGTCTTTTTATATGTTAGCTTTAGATCTAACATCCAGTGTTTTTTTTTTTAAGTTGTACTTAGTGGGAAGAATAGGAAAAAATACATTTACTTCATCCTCCCAGAAGCAGAAGTCATTATGATCATTTTACATTCATTTAAGGGCAACGTGCGGTATATAATACATATCAGTTTACAACTTTTTTTCACTAAGTATTATGAGTTTGAGAAATATATTGTTATGTGAATATCTAAGTTTACTTTTGATAGTTCCTGGTTCAGGTATGGGATAAATGAGCTGGTTTAGTGGAGCGCACATACAGACATGAACTAAGCAGCTTTCATAATTGGCATTCACGTGACTCATAGGCACTATATAGAATTTTCTTAACTGAAGTGCTTTCCTTGTGAGTGAATATATATTTAAGTGGCCTATGAATGGTGAACTAAAATATATTTAAAATAGGGTAGGAATGGGGGTAGGTTGTAAGTTATGATGAATAATAGCACTGGGCTAGGAACTGCAATAATAACAACACAATGACAATCACTATTACTACCATCATTGGACTGTTCCTTGCTGATATGTTTTGAATCTGTGTCCTTGGCCAGATCTCATGGTGAATTGTAATCCCCACTGTTGAAGGCAGGGCCTAGTGGGAGGTGACTGAATCATGGGAATGGTTTCTTATGAATGGTTAAACGCCATCCCCCTTGGTGCTGTTCTCATGATAGCGAGTGAGTTCTTGTGAGATCTGCTTGTTTAAAAGTGCATAGCACCTCCCTGTCCCCTCTCTCTTTTGCTCCTGCTCTGGCCAGGTAAGAGGAGCGTGCTTCCCTTTTGCCTTTTCCGTGATTCCTTTTTGCCTTCTGCCAGAAGCTGAGCAGATGCCAGCATCATGCTTCCTGTACAGCCTGTGGAGCCGTGAGCCAATTAAACCTCTTGTTTCTTTTTTAAATAAATCACCCAGTCTCGGGTATTTCTTTATAGCAGTGCAAGAATGAACTAATTCACCTGTCGTGTGCCAAATATTATTTATTTCTCACAACATGTGTGTGAGGTGGCATTGCTCTTATTTTATAGATAGGAAAATATGCTCACCAAAGTCAAATACCATTCTCAAAGTCATCTAGTTAATACTTGTCGATTACATGTATTCTGCAAAATCTTTAAGGAAAATTCCATCTCAAATGGTAAAAACAAAGCAGAAGGTTTATTATCTCACATGACAAAACACTCAAAGGCTCATTCATTCAGCAGCTCAGTGGCATCATCAGAATTTAGGTTCTTTCCAACTTTCTGCTCTGTCAAGCTTGTAAGCTTTGTTTTGCTCAAGGGTGCAAGATGGCTGCAGGAGTTCCAGGCATTGCATGCGTAAGAAGAAGGCCGTGTCTTTGTGCGTGTATATGTGCATGTGTATGTTTCCTGTCAATAACAACAAAGAAAATATTTATTAAAAGTTCTCCAACAAGCTTCCCCATGTCATTTTCAACAGAATTGCACCATATGCTTAGGAACAGTTACATAATTTGCAGGGCTCAGTGCAAAATTAAATTCAGGATCTCTTGTTCAACAGTTACTAAGAATTTTAGGATGATGACAAGCATTGAATGAAACATTAGGTCCTTCTGGGCACAAGACTCAGCATGGACTGGCTGCATGCCCATAGAGCCAGTACTGCCCATGCTCATGGCTAAGCTGCATTTGGCCCTTCGACAATGCTGTGGTTTGGTGGTGCCGATCTCTGCACAGTCAAAACTTGGTGTATAACTTAACCACTAATATCCTACTGTTGACTGGAAGCCTTACCAATAACATAATAGTCAATTAACACATATTTTATATGTTATATGCATTATATACTGTATTTTTACAGTAAAAGCTAAAGAAAAGAAAATGTTACTAAGAAAATTAAAAGGAAGAAAAAATATATTGCCTATTCACTAAGTGGACATAGACCATTGTAAAGGTCTTCATCCTTGTTGTTTTCACATTGAATAGGCTCAGGAGAAGGATGACAAGGAGGGGTTGATCTTGCTCTCTCAGCATTGGTGGAGGCGGAAGAAAATCTGTGTATAATTGGACCCATGCAGTTCAAACCTGTGTTGTTCATGGATCAACTGTAATTATAGACAAAAGGAATAGGGCCACTATCACTGGCTTAGCTGAACTGAGATTTATTCCTCAAACTTGGGGTAGGGGCCGCCCTTCCTGGAACCATAGGGAGAGGAGTGGAAATTGAAATGAAATTGAAATTCTGCCACGCAGGGAGGTAGAGGAAGGGAAGGGTGTTTATTGGTAATCAGCAGTGTCGGATTGCAGTGTGTGTATCTCCAAGGTTTCTGTTTGCCTTCCTATATTTTGCTGCCTCCCAATAGTCCATATTTCTGGGATCTAGCTCAGTTCTGCCATGATGTGGCTTTCAGCAAATGGTTTCATTTCTTCAAAACTTCAATTTCTTTATCCGTAAAACTGGAATATATGGGTGTCTCCACATTTCAGGGTGTGATCCTCATGCCTCTGCATGTTCATCACCAGAAGGTGGAATCCTGGGCCCTCTCCCTAGGTGATATTCACAGCAAGTTTGTAACAATTCCCACTATATGTGGTCAGACATCTCCTTGGACTGACAGGTCTCTGGGAAATGTTAGCATGATGCTTCCTGCATTTAGGGGCTGAGGGAGAAGAAGGTAGGGAAAGGGCACTGTTTCTTGTTTTGGCCATAGTATGAGAAGCACTGGGAGCAGAGTCAATGCTGTCGTTAAGTCCTAGATGTACAGTGAAACTCAGTCTTCCATTCCACCCTAGATGCAGAAACTGGAATGATGCCTTTCCCTAGCAGGTGTTTTTGGTTCACACACTGGGCTCCTTCTCAGATCATGCAGTAGATTACAAGATGACCACAAATATTTCTCCTCCCACTCCCTTGCCCTTGCTTGTTAGATTGCAGCTTCTCTCATCAAGAGGTGGAGTCTATTTTTCCTCTCCTGAATCTAGACTAGCCTTAAGACCGCCTTTGAGCAGTCAAACAGTAATAAACATGGCTAAAGAGGAGATGTAAAAGCATTTGGAAATGAAAATGTGTCCTCTATTTCTGGATTTTGGATCCTTGAGCCTATTACGGGAAGAAGCTCAGACCTGCTTGTTGGAGTTGAGGGGCCATGAGAGTTGAAGTTCCCTGATCAACAAATCTTCCAGCCACCAGATATGTGAATGAGATGCTCTTGCATTCGTTTTCTATTGCTGCCATTAAAAAGAAAAATACCACAAGCTTAGCAGCTTAAATAGCGCACATGTATTATTTTACAGATCTGCAGGTCAGTAGTCCAACATGGTTCTTACTGGGCTACAATCAAGGCATTGGCAGAGCTGCATTCCTTCTGGAGGCTCTGGGGGAGAATCCATTTCCTTGCCCCTTTCCATCTTGAGGCCACCTGCTTCCCTTGGTCCATGGTCCGTTCCTTTATCTTCAAAGCAAGCGGTGTCTGCTCATCTCATTCCCATAGCACAACTCTGACATTGACACTTCTGCCCCTTTCTTCCATGTTTAAAGTTCCTTGTAATTATATTGAGCCCCCTTGGGTAATCTGGGATAATATCCTTATTTTAAGATTAGCTGATTAGAAATCTATCCATATGCAATTTTGATTCTCCTTTTCTTTTCTTTTTTCTTTGAGACAGAGTCTCGCTCTGTCTCCAGGCTGGAGTGCAGTGACACGATCTCAGCTCACTGCAACCTCTGCCTCCCAGGTTCAAGCGATTCTCCTGCCTCAGCCTCCCAAGTAGCTGGAACTACAGGTGTGTGCCACCATACCCAGCTAATTTTTGTATTTTTAGTAGAGACAGGGTTTCACCATGTTGGCCAGGATGGTCGTGATCTCTTGGCCTCGTGATCCGCCTGCCTCAGCCTCCTAAAGTGCTGGAATTATAGGCATGAGCTACCACGCTGGGCCTAATTCTCCTTTTCTATTTCATGTAACATACAGCTTCTGGGGATTAGGACATGAACCTTTGCAGGGGAGTGATATCTGCCTACCATGAAGCCCATGCTGTAAACCACTATATTAATTAAATCTTCTTATCCCTACATCTTAGCTGGAAAGATCTGCATAGGGACTCAAACAGTCTTTGAAAGAATTCATCCCAGTACTCCTGGTTTGATAAATATACATTTTTTCCCATCCCCAATCCAGGTAAGAATGGGCATTCCTTGCTTATTTGGGTTGTTGGGAGAAATCAGTTTCTTGTAGTTGTATGGTTGAGATCTTTATTTTCTTGCTGGTTGTCAAGTGATGATCGTTTCAACTTTGAAAATCTACCCATACTCCTTGGCTTAAATCTCTCTTGTTCTCGCTTCCAAATTGATAATGGCAGGTCATATCTTCTCATGCTTTGAATCTCTCCTCCTCCTTCTTCCTTCCCATTTCTTACACCCAGTTGGAAAAGGTCCTCTGTTTTTAAGGACTTGTGTGATTAGACTGGGTCCACCCAGATAATCCAGGATGATCTTCCATCTCAAGGTCTACACTCTTCATCACATCTACAAAGTATTTTTTGCCATGTAAGATAACATATTTATAAGTTCTGAGGATTAATTCATGGACATTTCTGGGGACCCTTATTCTGCCTACCACATTATCCTAGATCATCCAACTGACCTGCCAGCAGACCAGGGATGTCTGAGCAAGGCCAGCAGACAGTAACTGAGCTGGATCAGACCAGAAGACCTACTCAGCTGACCCATAGAATCATGAGCTATATAAATGGTGTTTGTTCTAAGCCACTAAGTTTTGGGGGTGGTTTGTTATGCAGCAATAGATAACTGATGCAAACAGCTAGCTGGTTCATGGTTGAATCAGTTATGCCCGAAATCACAGATATAGGGTCAGTGTCCTGTATTCCTCTACCAGTCTTCCCTGGGGAGATGGGCAATGTATCTTTTAAGCCCTTGGCTCACGCCTGTAATCCCAGCACTTTGGGAGGCTGAGGCGGATGGATCACGAGGTCAGGAGTTCGAGAGCAGCCTAGCCAATATGGAGAAACCCTGTCTCTAATAAAAATACAAAAATTGGCTGGGCATGGTGGCTTGCACCTGTAGTCTCATCTATTCTGGAGGCTGAGGCAGGAGAATTGCTTGAACCCAGGAGGCGGAGGTTGCAGTGAGCCAACATTGCAGCACTGCATTCTAGCCTGGGCGACAGAGCAAGACTCTGTCTCAAGAAAAAAAAAAAAAAATTAAAATATGTTGTTGTCCTGAATTTTGGGCCCATATTCTCTGAACTCAGTATTTTTAAACTAAAGCTTCTCTACAAGGGATTGATCACAGGTTGCTTTTACATCTCTAAAAGGGGCTAGTTTTATACAGCTTTGCCTGGAAAATGGGACTACTAGCCCTATATTCACTCTTCTAAGTGCAATCACCTCCATGTTTCTAATGTGTTCTGACCCTCCATTGTACCTTCCTGGTCCCCACTTTCTAAGGGAGTCTTCAATTAGTTAATTTAAGGCACCTTTCTCATTGAAAAATAAAGAAAAAAATAATCTCTAGAAGGGTACCCTGCCATGGGGAAAGCAATGCATACTTTACAAAACTGTTAAGGATGAAGTGGTAACACAGAAGTATTTATCACAGTGCCTTGAACATTGCAGATGCCCTATCAATGTAAATTTCATTCTTGTCCCATTTTGACAATAACTGTTTGTCTAGGCTTCGCACATTATTAATTTTTGGAGGGTGTCATCTTTCTTATTTGTAAAATGAGAAAGTGAGAACAAAGAACTCCTAGAATGCATTTTTTCTCTAAATTTATAAATTGTGATTCAATTTTTGTTTTTAAATTTAAAAACATTCTGGTGAAAGTAGAGTTGTAGATATTTTAATATGGTACTAAAACATCAACTAATTTTTACTAATAATGACTGTGTTTGGGTGTCTGATAAACAGAGATGAAGCAACAAATGAAACAATAAAATACAATTATAAATGAATATATATATATGTGAGACATTAATAATACATTTTGGTTGAGAGTCACAGTCATATTGAGGTAGGAAATATGAGGACTCATTTTTTTTTTTTTGAAACGGAGTTTAACTCTTGTCGCCCAGGCTGGAGTGCAATGGCGCGATCTTGACTCACTGCAACCTCTGCCTCCCAGATTCAAGTGATTCTCCTGCCTCAGCCTCCCGAGTAGCTGGGATTACAGACATGTGTCACCATACCCAGCCAATTTTGTATTTTTAGTAGAGATGTGGTTTCTCCATGTTGGTCAGGCTGGTCTCAAACTCCTGACCTCAGGTAATCCATCCACCTTGGCTTCCCAAAGTGCTGGGATTACAGGCGTGAGCCACTGTGCCTGGCTATGGAGACTCATTTTTAAGTCCCCTCATTTTAAGAAATATGGGGAAATTTTGGGATTGATAAGGAATACCAGAAGGAACCCTGAGTTTTTCTCTAAGTAGTCCCAAATGTCTTCATGGAAGATGATAGTAGGATGCCAGAGAATGCTATCACCCAGGAAAGGACCCCTGTATTATTCTTCTATTACGGTGTAACATATTAGTACAAACTTAGTGGCTTAAAACAACACACACTGATTATCCCATAGTTTCTATGGGTAGAAGTCCAGGCACAGCTTAGTTGGCTCCTCTGCTTAGTATCCAACAAGGGTGTAATCAAGGTGTCAGCCAGGACATATTTTCCTGAAAGACAGACTGGGGAAGAAACCACTTCTCAGCTGGGAAAGAAGCCACTTCCCAGCTCTCTGAGGTTCTTTGTATCATTTCATTTCCTTGTGGTTGGGGGACTGAGGCTCTAGCTTTTTCCTTGGCCGGAGGCTGCTCTCAGCTCCTAGAGTCTGCTGCCTGTATTTTCTTGGAGGACACCTATGGTTCTTAGAGACCACCCATACTTAGAAAGCACTCATACTTCTAAACCATGTGGGCTTTCCCAACACGGCTGCTTCCTTCATGAATCCAGCAAGGAGAGCCTCTAGGATAAATCTGCTAATAATACAGAGTATTTTATAACATACCATAATCATGGGAATGACATCCCATTACATTTGCTATATTCCATTGCTCAGAAGCAAGCCATTGGTCCTACCCACACCCAAGAGGAGAGAACTGCACAAAGGTGGGAACATCAAGAGGTAAAGATAATGGGGGAATCACCTTAAAGTCAGCCTGCCACACCCTCATGCAAGTAGATGGTAATCATACACAATTTGCCTTCTTTATTTATTCTATTGTCTATAGAAGTCTATATTGTCTATTATTCGATAGACAATATTTATTCTATTGTCTATAGAAGTGACTTTTAGCAAGTCACATCAGCTCTTTCCCGAGGCTTTCTTTCCATTCCAGAATGTCTCTGAGACAGCTGACCATTTTCAGGATAAGTCATTTGTCATTTGAATCAAAATTAAAAAAATGTTTATTGGCCATTTAAAAAAATGATGCGGAGTCGAGCGGAGATAACTTTAGTCAAAATTTCCCTCATTACACCTCATTAGAAAGTATAAGTCTTGCCTGACGTGGTGGCTCATGCCTGTAATCCCAGCACTTTGGGAGGCTGAGGCGGGTGGATCACGAGGTCAAGAGATCAAGACCATCCTGGCCAACATGGTGAAACCCCGTCTCTACTAAAAATTAAAAAATTAGCCAGGTGTGGTGGCACGCGCCTATAGTCCCAGCTACTCGGGAGGCTGAGGCAGGAGAATTGCTTGAACCTGGGAGACGGAGGTTGCAGTGAGCCGAGATTGCGCCACTGCACTCCAGCCTGGTGACAAAGCGAGACTCTGTCAAAAAAAAAAAAAGTATAAATCTCTCTCTGCTTTTCTTTCAATATCTCTAAGAATGAGGCTTCCCCAAGGCCCTCAGAAGCTTGGAGATGTGTTGAATTTGTGTAAAGCAGTAGGGTAGCACTGGTACAAAGGGGCAGGTAGGAACTTACATTGCTCTTGCTTGACAGACTTTGGGTCATTGAGGAAAATAAGAATTTTCTTAGCAAAGAAAATTTGTTCAAATGTGAACTAGAAGGCAAGTTTCATAAACAAACCCTGGAAAGGAACTGAACCAAGTCACAACTTTCCAATTTTCATTACAGTTTTGAAAAGCACAGAATTAAATTTAAAACAAATGTTTTCTCTTGCACACACCTCCATCCAACGTGGGACAGTATCGAAGTGGATGAGAGTCCACACTTTTTCCTGTCTGCTCAGATTGCCTTAACAACAGAGCATCTGTATGTCCAAACAAATGGGCAAGTGAGGAGATTAATGAACTGACCTTTAACCTTCTAAGTATTTATTCGAGGGCTCAAGGGGAATGCATTTCTGTGCCAGGGAAAATCCCAAAACTGTCTCTGATAATTTGGTATTAAAGACAGCTCTGTCAAATGCCTCTCGAGACACTGAGTGTCGCCCTTCTCCTGACCCCAAGCTTCTTCGCCCTCACATTCCTCTCTCCTCATTCAAATGGTTGTACCCTCTTCCTTCACCATTCCTTCCTCTAAAAGAGCTTCTCTTCAAAATATTAGCTGTCATTAATTAAGCACCTACTACATCAGACTCTGTGGTAGCAATTTTAATCATCCTCATCATCATCTGATATTTTTGAACATTTACTATATTAAAAGAAATCTCATATTCTGTCATTTAATTTTGTCCTGGGCTTATAAAGTAAGTATTTTTTTAAAAAGAGAGCCAACTGTTTACTTAGGTATTAGTTACTTAATATCAGAAGATGAAGTAGGAATTAGGTTTCTTAAAAACTTGATTACATAGAGAAATAGGAATGCTTTTACACCATTGGTGGGGGTGTAAATTAGCTCAGCCATTGTGGAAGACAGTGTAGTGATTCCTCAAGGATCTGGAAACAAAAATATCATTTGACCCAGCAATCCCATTACTTGGTATATACCCAAAGGATTATAAATCATTCTACTATAAAGAAACATACACATGTGTGTTTATTGCAGCACTATTTGCAACAGCAAAGACTTGGAACCAACCCAAATGCCCATCAAAGATAGACTGGATAAAGAAAATGTGGCACATATACACCATGGAATACTATGCAGCCATAAAAAAGAATGAGTTCATGTCTTTTGCAGGGACATGGATGAAGCTGGAAACCATTATTCTCAGCAAACTAACACAGAAACAGAAAACAAAACACTGCACTTTCTCACTCATAAGCGGGAGATGAACAATGAGAACACATGGACACAGGGAGGGGACATCACACACTGGGGCCTGTCGGGGGGTGGGGGACAAGGAGAGGGAGAGCATTAGGACAAATGCCTAATGCATGTGGGGCTTAAAACCTAGATGACAGGTTGATAGGTGCAGCAAACCACCATGGCACATGTATACCTATGTAACAAACCTGCACGTTCTGCACCTGTATCCCAGAACTTAAAATTAAAAAAAAAAACTTGATTAAAGAGATGGCTCTTGCACATTTTCTATATATGTCCTTGTCATAACAACATGGGGAATAATTGGTATTCAAAACCAAAAGCTAGCATGAAGCAAGTCATTCTTTCCAGGCTTCTGATGACTCTTTCAATTCATATAGGTATATATGATCAACACATACACATATATGTAATTGCAGGAGGGCAAGTCATCTCTTTCTCATCCGTTGCTCTTGCAATATGACAGTGCTTTAGAGAAAGAAACACAAATATGGATCAAGAGCATAGAAATACCCCCAGAGTGGTAAGATGTGGAGTCAAATGACAAGTTTATTATGACTATTACCCTCCAAAGGCAGCCTTCCCACTGTGTATATGCTACTCCTTACATCACAAGAAAGCTTATGTTCCTTCGTCTTGAATCTAGGCTGGCCCTGTGACTGCTTTTCACCGATAGAATATAGTTAAAGTTACATCCCAATACTTTCAAGCTCAGGTTTTAAGAGATTGGCAATTTCTACTTCCTTCTTCTTGAATGCTTCTTCTTGGAAAGAAGGTGCCATGTTGTGAGGAAGACCAAACAGATATGTGGAAAGGTGTCCATAGAGGAGAACCAAGAACCTCCACCAGCAGCTCCTTCTGAGCTTACAGTTAGCAGTGAGCATAAATTGCTAGCCATGGGAATGTGGCCAATTTGGATTTTCCAGTCATTCTAATACCCCAGCCAACAACAAAAGAAGTAAAAAACCTACAGAATAAAAAATAATAAATTGTCATTTCTTTAGCAACAACAATAATAAATTGTTGTTTCATTTTGGGGTGGGTTGTTATGCTGCTATTGATAATCAGAACACTTTGATTTCTTCACACAAGGTTGTTTTCTGAAAGCCCTTTGTTGGGAACATCTTTCTTTTCCTTTCTAATTTTCTCCCCCTTTGAATTCATGTCACAGAAGCATCAGGGCTAACCCAAGACTCTTTTCTGCACAGGAAGTGGTCCAGCCACCCTTTTCATCTCTACCGTGGAAGACCTTTCAGGACCGACCTAGATGGGGTTCAGGGGAAAAGAGACGAGCAGCCAGTGGATCAGGTTTTACAGTTTTGTTTATTTGTTTTGTTTTTTAACCTGGTTTCAATGTTCTACGTCTCTACTTGACAGCAAAAGTGGTTCAATTTGGAGATCATGATCAGGTGTGGACTCGTGCAGTCCTCCAGTGGGGCTGCTTTTGCAAATACGCATTATCTGCAATGTTTCTCTGACTGACTTAGTGGCTTTCAGAAAGGCTGCTAAAGCTGTATAGGGAGTCACTGGGAAAGGTTGCTATGTTCACCACGCTGCAGGAGGCCCCGTATTTTCACTTACTCTTTAAGATTTCAGGAGCTGTGATACACCATAAGGACAGCTACATATCATTTGATTTTATGTCATTTTCAACCTGATTATGCTATCATTGTATTAATTTGTGTAGACTCTACATTGCTTTTTAATGGTCTGGTTTGCATTCTCCCCCTCAATTTTTCTGGCTGATAAAATTTTAAAAAGGACATCTGTTGTGCTAAAGATGGCTTTTTCTTTAGGATGCAAAGTCACTGGAATGTGGAGTAGCAATTTTTCTTAGGTAATAACCTCCCTCCCCTATCTTATCAAAGCAGGCTTTGGCTGTGGAAGGTCTCTCTTAATTCAATTGTTTAACTTTGCCATTTGTTGACTGGCTGAATGAATGACACCCTCTCACACCTCATTCTAGTCCCTCAAACATTTGTCTTCAACTCTGAAGAAGGAGTCTGGAATCTAGAGGTCTGGCCAGAGACTAATGAGAAATTCCAAGGCTATTTTACAAGGTTTTAATGAAGAATGCATTTCCTTTAGTGCACAGGGGAAGGCAGAAGGAAGCTGTGTGCCAAGAGATAGTTGCTGCCAATGCCAACGGCAGCTATTTACTGAGTGTCTCTCCTGTATATGGAGCCCTGTGAGATGTCTGTGGCAATGGCTCTCAACTGGGGTCCATTTTGCCTCCTTCTCCTTCCCAGAAAACATTTGGCAGTATCTGGAGACATTTTTAAATTGCCATGACTAGGGGGTGCTACTGGCATCTAGTGTGTGGAGGCCACGGATGCTGCTAAACATCTTATAGTCCACAGGACAGCCCTCCAACAACAAAGAATCATCCAGTGCAAAACATCAATAGTATGAGGGCTTGAGAATCCCTAGTCTGTGGAAATGAAGACATGCCGAACATAGCCTCTTCCCCCATGGAGTAAAAGCAAGACAAAGGGAAATTGAGATAAAATATGTGTATAATGAGGCACGAAACAGAGAGGGGTCTGCCTTGTCTTTCCACCATATGCAATGTGTCATAGAGCAAAGCTGTTCATAATAAGAACGAGCACTTACCATGGGGAGTGAGGACCCCTAGCACAAGCATGGACAGAAGAAGAGATGAGGGTCACAGAGTTCCCTGGGGTTTGGGGTTGGGTCCTGTTTTTCTATATCTTCTATCCCCCTAAGGAGAGATCTCATCCAGCACCGTGAACTTTAAATAACCTCTTTAAACTGATAATGCTCATATTTCTGTCTTAATCTCAAGCATTTCCTCTGACATTTAGACTCACGTACTCAAACAGGTGATCTTATATTTCTGTGTGGCTATCCCTTAAACGTCTGTAACTCAATGTGTCCAAAATGGACCATTTGATTTTCTCTTTCAAACTTGTTCCCTTCCCCCAAGTATTCCCTCTTCCAGCAAGTATGCACCATCCTGCCAATTGTTCAGGATAGGAACATGATTCTTCTCATTTTCCAAATACTTATATCTGACCTATTATAAAGTTTATGGATCCTACCTTTTAAATATATCTCAAAACCTCCTTCTTTATGCCATCTCTTCTGTCACTTTCCTAGTTCAGGCTGCCATGACACGTAGATCCAAAGATGAACTTCCTCAGTGGTTCACCTTCATCCTTCCCCTCTTGCCCTGCCCCATTCAATCTATACATGATACCGACATATAAAATGGATCATGCCATTTCATTGCAATAAACCTTTAAATGTCATCATTCCTTTTACACTATGATCTGCATGCCTTACCTGGCTTCCAAATCCCCATGTGGTTCAGGGGGTTAATCCATTATGACTGGTGTCA